>NC_000019.10:37240874-37543904 GCF_000001405.40 Homo sapiens | reverse complement strand
TAGGTCTTAATGCAGAGATCATTTTGAGGGCTTTCCTGGTTACTGCATCTAAAATTTAACTCCCCTCCTATTTCATTTTGCTTCTTGACAATTATCAACATTTCTTTCTGTTTACTGCTTTATCCCCAGATCCTAGAACAGTGTCCAGTTCATAGTAAGCACTCAGTATATACTTGTGGATAAATGAATACTTCTGTTTAGTGGAGAACTTCCAGCAAGCACATCTAGAATCTGTGCACTCATGGTGCCCAGCAGCAAGTATGTGGCTTACTTAAACTACTGTTCCAACACAGTTGCCATCCTCACTCCTCCCTAGTTTCAAATAAGTGTTTCGCTGATGAGGTGGGTAGACTCCAAGATGGCCCCCAATGATCTCTGCTGCCTGGTAGTCTGGAGAAGGAAATTACTCTCATGTATAATTCCTTCTCTTTGAGTATGGCTGGGACCTATGACTTGTTTCTAGTAGAATGCAGCAAAGGTGACAAGACGTCATTTCCATAACCCTAACCTCAACCCTAGACCAAGTCAGGGTGCCATCTTGTCAGAAAATGGAAACATTTTCAAGGCTTCATTCAGTTTGAAATGTTTTCCCCCTTTATTTTGTTTTTCAAATTACAAAAGCAATATATGTGAACAAGACAATGCAAAGGTATTCAGAAAACTTATTACCCTTCTCCACCAAGGTAACCAATGAATGTTAACACCTTCGTGTGTATTCTTCTACACTTTTCTATGTTCATATAAACATCCACATGCATATATACACACACAGGAGTTTTTACTTTTTTTAAAAATAGAATCGTATACATTATTATGAAATTTTCCCTTTTTACAATATATACCATGAACATCCCCACAAATTAGCAAAATTCTAGCTCCCCCATCCCCAGCCAAATTTACTAACTCACACATTTGTGGTATCACCCGTGATTCAGTCATTTATGTATTTTTCTTTTTTGGTTTTCCTTTTCCCTACACCCCTGACTCCCCCATAACCTACCTGCATTACCCACCTCCCTCCAAGTCAATGCATACTCTTCTATACTTTTCTTCATGCACATAAAATCAAATAAACATATATAGATACCGTTTATTGCTGACAAACACCTAGAGACATTTTGTTAATGATTTAAAAAAATGGAGTCATATTTAACATACTTAATATCTACCTTGCATTTTTCACTCAAGAGAACATTGTGGAATTCCACTCAAGTCCACTAGCATAGTTTTAATTTGTCCACCTTAATGGCTATATTAACATTCTATGGAATGGATACACTATAGTTTTTTCCTTTCTACAATTTCCCAGTTGATGGGTATTTACTTTGATTCTAGTGTTTGCTTTGGTTTTGGGGGTTTTTTTGCCATTAAGAACAATTTTTACAATAAATGTCCATGTTCACATGTTCATCTGTCTTTTATGTATTGGAGCTTTTACTTCTAAGGGAAGATTCTCCAAAGTGACATAAATATTTTAATAATATTAACAGATTTCTTTTCTTTTCTTTTGAGATGGAATCTTTTTGCTCTGTTGCCCAGGTTGGAGTGCAATGGCGCGATCTTGGCTCACTGCAACCTCTGCCTCCTGGGTTCAAGTGATTCTCCTGCCTCAGCCTCCCGAGTAGCTGGGATCACAGGTGCCTGCCACCATGCCCAGCTAATTTTTGTATTTTTAGTAGAGACGGGGTTTCACCATGCTGGCCAGGCTGTTCTCGAACTCCCGACCTCAGACAATTTGCCTGCCTCGGCCTCCCAAAGTGCTAGGATTACAGGTGTGAGCCACCACGCCCAGCCTAAATATTACCAGATTTCTTTCCAAAACAGTAATTTGCATTGTTTTTCAAAATTTATTTCTCCACCAGCAGTGTGTAACATCTTTTGTTCTGATAGCTAAAAATGCTGTTACACAGTGTTATTTGATTTTAACTTTAAATCTGCATCCCCCAGTGACTACTGAGGATAAACATTTTTGGACAGGTCCATTGGCCACTTAGATTTGCTCTTCTCACAACTGTCAACTCATATTCTTTGCCACATTTTGCTATTGGGTTTTTTTCCTGTCCATTTCATGAATGCCTTCTCTCTGATCAGCTTTACAAATATTTCCCCACAATCTATTATCTCTTGAGTTTGCTGATGGCATCTTTTGTCACCCAAAAGATTGTACCAAAAGATTCTACGTAGTCAAATGTTTGTTTCCTTTTTTTTTTCTTTTTCTTTTTTTCTGAGATGGAGTCTTGCTCTGTTGCCCAGGCTGGAGTGCAGTGGTGCAATCTCAGCTCACTTCAACCCCTGCCTTCCAGGTTCAAGTGATTCTCCTGCCTCAGCCTCCCAAGTAGCTGGGACTACAGGCATGTGCCACCACACCCAGCTAATTTTTGTATTTTTAGTGGAGATGGGGTTTCACCATGTTGACCAGACTAGTCTTGAACTCCTAACCTCAGGTGATCCTCCTGCCTCAGCCTCCCAAAGTGTTGGGATTACAGGCATGAGCCACTGCACCCAGCCTTCAACTGCTTATTTCTAAATAGCTTCTGAGTGTCCTGTGTTGGTAAAGTTAATATCTCCCAACTCCTAGATTGTACACATAGGCTCCTTTGATTTTCTTTTAAGAATTCTGTTGCTTTAAAATTTTACGTCTTAAAGCCACCCAGAATTTATTTTTGTGCTGTTAATCCAAATTTTCTTCCTTTAAGATTAAAAGGTTCTGTTCCAGAATTCTTTTTAAGTAAACTACTCTTTTCCCCTGTGGTTTCAGATTTCACCTTTTTCACATATGAAAAAGTTCATATATATCGAAGTCTATTTCTGAATTTTCTACTGTGTTCTAATGATGTATTTACCTGTTCCTTTGCCAATACAATATTAATTTCATTAGAATGGCTTCATGTTATCTTCTGGTATCTAGCATGGCATTTTAAAAATTTTTAATTATTATAGATATATAATTGTTGTATATATTTATTGGGTACATGTGATGTTTTTATACATGGTATGATTTTTTTCATATATTTTTTTCAATGATTGTCAAAAAATCATTGAGATTTAGTGTAATTCCAAAAGAAGTACATATAAATTATGTTTTCTTGTCAGTATGGAGAACAGCTCTTGATTTTGGTACCCTGTCTTCTTAGAAAAGTTAACTCAAAAAATAGTCTTTTCATTTATTGGTGTACAACCATATCATCAGTAAAAATGGATAGTTTTACCTTTTCTGCTGTTTATACCAATTCATTTCTTTTTATTGCCTTCACTGGAATCTCTAAGCCAATATTGAATTCCTGATTTTAAAAAATGGCTTTGGCATAATATATGCTTTGGGGTTTGGGTTAAAAAAAATTTTTTTTAAGAAAAACCGCTTTAAGTGGTTCCCATCTATTACAATGTAAATTAACACATTCTATGAAATGCCTTCTCAGTATCTGTTGAGAGTTCATATGATTCTTCTCCTTTAAACTGTTAATTTGATTGATGCATTTCCTATTAACTGAACTGGTTTGGCATTCTTGGGATGACTCTTACTATGTCACTCTTTGGGTATATGGCTGAATTCTATTTGCTAGTATTTTAACTATAATTTTTGTTTCTATATTCATGAGTAAGACTGGTCTGAAGTTTTCTTTTTTTTTTTTTTTTTTTGACGGAGTTTCGCTCTTGTCACCCAGGCTGGATGGCACGATCTTGGCTCACCGCAACCTCTACCTCCTGGGTACAAGCAATTCTCCTGCCTCATGCCTCAACCTCCCAAGTAGCTGGGACTACAGGTGTGTGCCACCACACCCGGCTAATTTTTGTATTTTTAGTAGAGATGGGGTTTCACCATCTCGAACTTCTGACCTCATGATCCACCTGCCTCGGCCTCCCAAAGTGTTGGGATTACAGGCGTGAGCCACCGCACCCAGCAGAAGTTTTCTTTTTTCAACTATCTGTATTTGATTTTGGTGTTAAAATTTATTCTGACTTAATAAAATAAATGAGTACAGTTCATGGATTGTATTACATCCATATAATAAATAACACTGGTATTACTCTTTCTTTAAAAGATAGAACTAAGCATGAACTCTTCTGAGCCTGGAGCATTTTCCCATTATAGATCTTTAATAGCTTTTTTGAGTTTTTCAATGTTAACTATCCTACCAAGTTTTCTACTTCTTATTGCAGTTTTCATAACTTAAGTTTATTAGAAAAGCATCCACCTCCTCTTTTTAAAAAATATGTTGATTAGAGTTGTATGAGGTATCTTTTTATCACTTAAAAAATCATATTGATATCTGTGGTTATGTCTCCTTTCTCATTCTGGATCAGGCAGTCTTACATGGAGGGAAATCTTGAAAAATGTAGATTCCACATGGCCATTTATTTTCTAATATGGATGACATAGCAACTCAGGGAAGCAGACTTCTTTCCAAACATTGAAATAATTAAAACCTTGGGATTTAGTGTCTAGGACACTTGCAAGGAAATTTATATGAAAAAAATGAATATTCTTGAATTAATTTGCAGAGGGATAGAGAGAAAAGAAATTCTCCTTCAGTGGTCTACGCATGAAACATTTCTGAGTTATACAACCTGTATATAGAATAGTGTATCTAGAATAGTGTAGCAATGCTACTAATTTGCTACAAGATATTTTAAGCAAGACTAAGAAAATATGAACAGTGTACTGTACACCAGGGTGACACTACATTTTGTCAAATAGTTTACAGTGTTTCATTTACCCAGTATCAGGTTCTTAAACTATTCCTTAGCTTGCATTTTTAATATAAATAACTACATTTTAGTAAAATTTTTGGCCAAATTATCCAAATACATTTAAAAACACTGCTTTATTATTTCTGCAGAGGACAGTAACAACCTCTATAGCCATTTACATGTATTACAAAAAGGTGGAAAAATGTAGCTGGTATAATAAAGTTCTTTTAACAATAGTGGGCCATGTTGTTGTTATTTTTTTGTATTGTTAAGACATCAAAAGACAATGATGATATTTAAAGTGGAAAAGTTTTCTGAATGGCATTCTATATGTTGTGTGACATGTGTCTGATATTCACATTTTATGTTAATTTCACATTTACAACTCCAAAATACAAATAATGCTGATTGTATGGCTCACTGTGGAATATACCAGAGTATGCCTTTAAGTCTCTTCACAGATATTTTGTATTCTGCTGTTATTCCATTTAATACATTTTTAAACGTTTACATGCCAGGGTGTCCATGCTTATGTTTGAGAAAGTATTTTCTAGAAAAGTTTGTATCACAATTAGATCATGATTTCCATTATGATACAACACTGTCGGTTGGGCGCGTTGGCTCATGCCTGTAATCCCAACACTTTGGGAGGCCAAGGGCGGGGGGTTGGGGGGTATCACGAGGTCAGGAGTTCGAGACCAGCCTAGCCAAAGAGACCAGCCTGACCAACATGGTGAAACCCCATCTCTACTAAAAATACAAAAATTAGCCAGGCGTGGTGGCAGGTGCCTGTAATCCCAGCTACTTGGGAGGCTGAGGCAGGAGAACTGCTTGAACCTGGGAGGCTGAGGTTACAGTGAGCCGAGATAGTGCCATTGCACTCCAGCCTGGGAAACAGAGAATACAACTCAAAATAAATAAATAAATAAAATAAAAACACACTGTTCAAATTCATTAAAATGATAAGATTTCTCCTAAGGATAAATTCCCTACATACCGGCCAGGCGCGGTGGCTCACGCCTGTAATCCCAGCACTTTGGGAGGACAAGGCGGGCAGATCACAAGGTCAGGAGATCGAGACCATCCTGGCTAACACGGTGAAACCCCGTCTCTACTAAAAATACAAAAAAAAAATTAGCCGGGCATGGTGGTGGGCACCTGTAGTCCCAGCTACTCGGGAGGCTGAGGCAGGAGAATGGCGTGAACCCGGGAGGCAGAGCTTGCAGTAAGCCGAGATCGCGCCACTGCACTCCAGCCTGGGTGACAAAGTGAGATTCCAACTCAAAAAAAAAAAAAAAAAATTCCCTACATACCATGAAACCAGATATTTTGCTCAAGTATTTCCCACAATTATTAAGTTTTCATTCCTGTAGGCATTCTTCCGAGCATGAATTTTCTGATGTCTGCTGAGGTTTGGCTTCTGGTAGAAAGCTTTCCCACATTCATTGCACCCATAGGGCTTCTCTCCTGTGTGAGTTCTCCAATGTTTATTGAGGCATGACTTCTGGCTGAAGGATTTTCCACATTCTCTGCAACGATACGGTCTTTCTCCTGTGTGCATTTTTCGATGTACATTGAGGTATGACTTCTCACCAAACGATTTCCCGCATTCACTGCAGACAAAGGGTCTCTCTCCTGTGTGTGTTCTCTGATGTTCTGTGCGGTGTGACTTCTGGGTAAAGGCTTTCCCACAAAAAAAACATTCAAAGGGTCTTACCCCAGTGTGAATTCTCTGGTGTTTGATGAGGGTTGACTTATGTGAAAAGGCTTTCCCACAGTCAGTGCAGCCATAAGGCTTCTCCCCAGTGTGACTTCTCTGATGCCTAATGAATTCAGACTTGTAGCAGAAGGCTTTCCCACACTCACTACAGACGTGGGGTTTTTCTGTAGGTGGAACCCTCTTCCGTTTGTACAAGAGAGAATCACTTACTGCTGGTTTATACATAAGTGCCGGGTTCTGGGTGAAAGCTTTCTCACAGTGACTGCAACCCCGGGGCTTTTCTCCATTAGGTCGTCTACCATGATTTATACGCTGAAGCAATTTCCCATAAGCATAACACTCATCTTGCTTTTTTGCACAGTTTCTCTTAAAACCAATCAAGTCTAAATTATGGTTCAAATTCTTTCCACAAGGGTTCCAGTTACTAGGGCTCTGGATTGAAGAAAAAAGATCAGTGCTCAGAAGTGATATTTTCCCAAACTTATTATATTCACAGCTTTTCTCCTTGGGCAATGTTTTCTTGCTTATGGCTGCGCCTGGCCTCAAAAGCATGTCTTGCCGTCTTTTCCTCTGGATATTAACTCGCCAGATGTCTTCTGGAGAAAGTACAGTGAATCATCCTTATGAAACTTCATACTACTTAAGAAATGCTCTCAAAATTTAAAGAGTGCACAGCACACAAATAGAGAACATGAACCATAACCCAAAGCACAAACGCAGGGAAGAGTGTTCTATGAGTAAAGAGGATTCTGAACACTGGCACAAATGGAATTCAATATATCATAGAGTATAGAGACCAATAATTTCAAAGAAAATAGGATATTACAGAGCAGAGGTTGGCAAACTTATTCTTAAGGAGTCAGAAAGTAAAGGCTTTGTGGGCCATATGGTCTCCGTCACAATGACTCAACTCTCCCGCCATACCATGAAAATATAGACAACATGTAAACGTAAGAATGTGGTTGTGTTCTAATAAAACTTTATTCACAAAGCAGGTGGCCAATCGGTAGGCCACAGTTTGCTGATCCCTGTTACAGAAGAAAGAAGGTTAAATGTTATACAGTACCTTGCTATCCAGCATGTGGGTCTTCAAGTGGCAATTTTGGCCTTACTTGGAGCTTGTTAGATGTGCAGAATCTAAGGCACCGCCCCAGACCTACTTAATCAGACTCTGCATTTCAACAAGATGCCCCGGTGATTCCAAACACCTTGGAGCTTAACAAGCACTGGTATAGCAGTCATCCAAGGGAATATCATGTTGGGCTAGTTAGTTACAATATAAACGGTAAAGCACTCTAAGGTGAAACAGATTAAAAAATAAAATCAACAAAGCTAACTAGGACTTAAGCAAGAGTTCTTAACTTGGCAGAAAACAGGGGGCTTGTGAACTTTGATAGAAAAGAAATTACATTTTTGTTTTCACTGAGTTCCAACTACAATTGAACATTTCCTTTGAATATGAATATAAGCAACAAAACACAGTGGTATTAGTGGTTCCTGTGACTTGATACTAGTTTGTGAATATTGTTATTTTCATGTCACATTATTATGTTTATAATCATCTCTTCTTTGAGATCATGACAGTTATTAGACCTGATGCTAGGCCTCATTAACGTATAAATGAAAAAGTACATCTACTATTATATTGCACATTTTGAAAATATTTTGAAGCTGGGCGCGGTGGCTCACGCCTGTAATCCCAGCATTTTGGGAGGCCGAGGCAGGTGGATCATCTGACGTCAGGAGTTCAAGACTAGCCTGACCAACATGATGAAACCCAGTCTCTACTAAAAATAGAAAATAAGCTGGGCGTGGTGGCACACACCTGTAGTCCCAGCTACTCGGGAGGCTGAGGCAGGAGAATCGCTTGAACCCAGGAGGAGGAGGCTGCAGTGAGCTGAGATCATGCCATTGCACTCCGGCCTGGGCGACAGAGTGAAACTCCATCTAAAAAAAAAAAAATTTTTTTTTGATAACTATTTTCTAGCTTATTTTGATAATTACTGTACTTTAGTCATTTATTTTATAATCTTATGAACGTTATTATATTTTTATACATAGAAGTGAGGTCTATAGCCTTCAAAAGAATGCCTAAGAAGTCCATGGCACAAAAATAATTAATAACCCCTCACTTAAAGACATTCAGTCATGAGATAATCTGGGTCTCATTTTAGGAGATATCAGTGGAAAATTAAAAGTGGGGCTGGGTGCAGTGGCTCACGCCAGTAATCCCAGCACTTTGGGAGGCTAAGGCGGGTGGATCACGAGGTCAGGAGATCAAGACCAGCCTGGCCAAGATGGTGAAACCCCATCTCTACTAAAAATACAAAAATTAGCTGGGGGTGGTGGCACGTGCCTGTAATCCCAGCTACTCCGGAGGCTGAGGCAGAGAATTGCTTAAACCCAGGAGGCGGAGGTTGCAGTGAGCTGAGATGGCACCACTGCATTCCAGCCTGGGTGACAGAACAAGACTTCATCTGAACAATAACAACAAAAAAAAGTGGAGAAGGACTGGGCATGGTGGCTCATGCCAGTAAATCCAGCACTTTGGGAAGCCAAAGCAGGTGGACTGCTTGAGCCCAGGAGTTTGAGACCAGCCTGAGCGGCACTGCAAAACCCCTTCTCTACAAAAAAAATGAAAATTAGCCAGGTGTGGTAGCACGTGAATATAATCCCAGTTACTCGGGAGGTTAAGAGGTGGGAGGATCGCTTGAGCCCAGGAGGTCAAGGCTGCAGTGAGCCATGATCATGCCACTGCACTCCAGCCTGGGTGACAGAGTGAGACACTGTCTCAAAAAGAAAAAAAAAAAGCAGAGAGGAAGATTTAAAGCCATTTCTCAGAAGAAAAAAAATCAACAAAACCACACATATGAATGGAACAGTTAGAGTGAGTGGTAAAGGCAGAAGATTCAAAATGACCACACGGTAGCAAAGCCCTGGAATAATAAGCAAGATGAAGTGGTGTGTGTGTGTGCGTGTGTGTGTGTGTGTGTGAGTGTGAGTGTGTGTGTGGCAGGGGTAGCAAGGACAAATAAAGATGATTTTAGTTTTTGACACACAAAGAACAGGGTAAGTGCACACCTGTAGTGTAATCCACAGACTGGTTAAATGCGGGGGTGGGCAGTGCAAGGGGGAAAAAAGGGCCCAACATGGCAAAAGGGCTGGTTGTGAGAATCATGTACTCTCAGAATGGGTGAGTTCTTTGAGAGGATTACACCACTGGAAAGAGAACCAAGTTATGGAAAACAGAAAATGCAATTGTTCCTTGGAAGGAAAATGCTGGGTTTGAGCCAGGGAAATAGATAGTAACAGAGTAGCTGGAAAAACGGGAGGCTGACTAGATACATTCTTGTGGAATTTGCAGTTACGAAATTTTCAGAAGAGGAGAAGAAAAGAAGAGGAGGGCAACTGATAACCGGGATACCACAGTCTCAGGACAGCTGAAGAGCACAGTTTAATGGAGGAACACACTCCAGAGAGCGCCAGAAGCAGAAGTTCAGAGGCATCCCTAAGAGTGGGCCATCCATCAGCCCTCAGGGTACAATGGATATTGCTGGAATGTCTTACAGAGCTGAAGGGAGAGGGGCAGTGAGTCTGAGGGTTAATCAGCAGTGGTTAAGATGGGCCCAGCTCAGCCATTTCCTTCACACCTCCCCACCCCAACATGGAATTCACTGCTTCCTCTTCTCTGATCCCACAGTCATCTGTCTATGGGAGTGATTTAAATTTGAGTGCAGAAATTAGGGAAAGCAGGTAGCTCTGAAGCATTTTATCTGGAAAGTTTGTCACAACAGAGAATAGGAAGCAGGAACAGGAGAATCATAGAAGCTTTTATTTGTAAGAATACCTGCATGGGAAAGATTCTGGAGAAAGAGAGATGGACCAAGCACATAAGGGCAGAGGTGCAATCAAGTAGAGCCGAGAAAAACACTCAGATATGGGCGGTGGGGTTGCATGGAGGTTGAAGAGTCATTAACGTGGCTGAAGCTCTCGGAGGACTTTCAAGGCTTTTAAGAGAAGAATGCTGAACAAAATTCCAAAGGTGCCAGCCTCCTTCAGTACCCCTTTTGCTAGATTTATCACACTTACCCCAACAGTGGCAGCCCGGGCATGCTGCCTCACCAATCCATGGTGCTTCTTCCTGCTCCAGTCTGAGGATCACATCTGGTTTGGTGCCTTCATAACCTGTTCCGGGGAAATTGATGCAGGTCTTGGGCTGAGCTCCTTGGTCTTCAGGGCCTCTCAGGCAGCTTTAAAGGCTGCACAATAGATGTTATACTTGGGAGGGGACTAAACACACACCTTGTCCAGAACCAAATGGGATTAGTAATCCAGGACCATGGAAACTCAAGCCACACCCACTGAGGCAGCAGCACAAGGTAAGAATGCATTCTGTGCTGCCAGAATGCTGAGGTTCAAATCCTGACTCTGCTATCTACTAGCTGGGTGACTCTGGGCAAGTTACTTCACCTCTCTGTACCTCAATTTCCAAATGTGTAAAAAAGTGGTACTAATAGTAACTACCTCATAAGGCTTTTATGAGAATGAAATGAGTTAATATTTTTAAAGTGGCTAAAACAATTTCTGGCACATAGAAAGTGCTAGATAATTATTAAATAAATATTTCAGAAGTTCTAGAGTACTTCCGTTGCTTTTTTTTTATTTTTTATTTTTTGAGACAGTTTCGCTCTTGTTGCCCAGGCTAGAGTGCAATGGTGCAATATCGGCTCACTGAAACCTCTGCCTCCCGGGTTCAAGCAATTCTCCTGCCTTAGCCTCCTGAGTAGCTGGGATTACAGGCGCCCGCCACCACACCTGGATAATATTTGTATTTTTAGTAGAGATGGGGTTTCAGGGTTTCACCATGCTGGCCAGGCAGGTTTCAAACTCCTGACCTCAGGTGATCCACCTGCCTTGGCCTCCCAAAGTACTCCAGTTGCTTTTAGCAACTGAGAAAGGAAAGGTGGTCATTCGAACATAATCTGCATTGTATGGTGAGGATGTTCTTACCCACTGAGACGAGGTTGCTATAGGTTTCCAGCATCACATCCCGGTACAGGGCCCTCTGAGCAGGACTCAGCCGGTGCCACTCCTCTTGGGTGAAGCCCACAACCACATCTTTGAATGACACAGGTATCTGTTGAAACAAAAATGACATTGAGTCATGTCGAAAAAAAATGTTTGTGCAGGGCCAGGCATGGTGGCTCATGCCTATAATCCCAGCACTTTGGGAGGCCAAGGTGGGAGGATCAGGAGTTCAAGATCAGCCTGGCAAACATGGTGAAACCCCGTCTATACTAAAAATACAAAAATTCACCAGGCATGGTGGTGCACACTTGTAATCTCAGCTACTTGGGAGGCTGAGGTGGGAGAATCACTTGAATCTAAGAGACGGAGGTTGCAGTGAGCCGAGATCGCACCACTACACTCCAGCCTGGGCTAGAGCAGGAGTCCATCTCAAAAAAAAAAAAAAAAAATTTTGTGCAAGAGATGGTGCTGATTTTTATAATGTTTATAAGTTAGAGCTTATTATCTATCTGGAAGGCCTTTTATATTCTTGGCTTTGTGTTATATATGGTGGGGAAAAAGAAAATCACATTGGAAGCTATCTACCATTGCCATCCATACTTTGAGTCAACAAACATTGAAGACCCACTGTGTGTTGCTGGGGTCACAGTCATAGATGGGTCCTGACCTCAAGGAGCTCACTGTCTGGCACAGAGAGAGCAACATGTAAAGCCATCAGGGTAAAAATGTCACAAGAGCTGTGATGGCAGGACATCTAGGCTATGGCATACAGAGAAGCGAATGGTCTGTTAAATTTTTCAGGTTCTGGTTAGGCTTCAGAGCCCAGGGATATGGAAAGCTGACTCTCCTCCGCAGGAAGATGGAAAACTGCATTCTATGCAGGGGAGCAGTGGGAACAAAGGCCGGGGGGCAAAACGGTGATTTTAGGGGTGGCAAGTTACTTAGTAACAAGAGAAAAGTATGCAGAGGTCGGCCAGCAATGAAATGATGGACTTTAGGGCCGGGCACAGTGGCTCACCCCTGTAATCCCAGCACTTTGGGAGGCCGAGGTGGGTGGATCACCTGAGCTCAGGTATTCGAGACCAGCCTGGCCAACATGGTGAAACCCCGTCTCTACTAAAAATAGAAAAATTAGCTGGGCGTGGTGGCGGGCGCCTGTAGTCCTAGCTACTCAGGTGGCTGAGGCAGGAGAATCTCTAGAACCCAGGAGGCAGAGGTTGCAGTGAGCTGAGATTGTGCCACTGCACTCCAGCCTGGAGGACAGGGTGAGACTCTGACTCAAACAAAAAAAAACAAACAAAAAAAAGAAATGATGGACTTTAGGACAATGGAAACTCCATCCAAGAAGAAGTGTATGCAGAAAGTATATTCTAGAAGGCATGAGGTGAGCTTCTTGCATTCTATGTGAAGTGGTATAATGATAACTCTAAATAAACTGTGAAAAGTAAGATATATATTGTATCCCTGAAGTAACCACTAAAATCATAATGTGAGGTGTGCCTGATCTAAATAAACAGAATTTTGAAAAATGTTCCATTCATCCACACTAGCACAACAAAAGAGAGGAAAGAAGAAATAGAGGAACAAAAGAGTAGACGGGATAAACAGAAAACAGACACTAAAATGACAGATACAAATCCAACCATACCAATAATGTAATTTAATAAAGATTATATGTAATGTAATTTAATATAAATTGTGGGGAAAAGAGAGATCAGATTGTTACTGTGTCTGCGTAGAAAGAAGTAGACATAGGAGACTCCATTTCGTTCTGTACTAAGAAAAATTCTTCTGCCTTGAGATGCTGTTAATCTATAACCCCACCCCCAACCCCGTGCTCTCTGAAACATGTGCTGGGTCAACTCAGGGTTAAATGGATTAAGGGCTGTGCAGGATGTGCTTTGTTAAACAGATGCTTGAAGGCAGCATGCTCCTTAAGAGTCATCACCACTCCCTAATCTCAAGTACCCAGAGACACAACACACTACAGAAGGCCGCAGGGACCTCTGCCTAGGAAAGCCAGGTATTGTCCAAGGTTTCTCCCCATGTGATAGTCTGAAATACGGCCTCGTGGGAAGGGAAAGACCTGACCATCCCCCAGCCCGACACCCATAAAGGGTCTGTGCTGAGGAGGATTAGTATAAGAGGAAGGAATGCCTCTTTGCAGTTGAGACAAGAGGAAGGCATCTGTCTCCTGCCCGTCCCTGGGCAATGGAATGTCTCGGTATAAAACCCGATTGTATATTCCATCTACTGAGATAGGGGGAAACCGCCTTAGGGCTGGAGGTGGGACATGCGGGCAACAATACTGCTCTGTAAGGCATTGAGATGTTTATGTGTATGCATATCTAAAGCACAGCACTTAATTATTTACCTTGTCTATGATGCAGAGACCTTTGTTCACGTGTTTATCTGCTGACCTTCTCTCCACTATTATCCTATGACCCTGCCACATCCCCCTCACCGAGAAACACCCAAGAATGATCAATAAATACTAAGGGAACTCAGAGGCTGGCGGGATCCTCCGTATGCTGAACACTGGTACCCTGGGCCCCATTATTTCTTTCTCTATACTTTGTGTATTTTTCTTTCCTAAGTCTCTCGTTCCACCTAACGAAAAACACCCACAGGTGTGGAGGGGCAACCCACCCCTTCATAAACTGAACACTCCAGGCCAGGCATGGTGGCTCACCACTGTAATCCCAGCACTTCAGGAGGCTGAGGCAGGCAGATCACTTAAGGTCAGGAGTTCGAGACCAGCCTGGCTAACATGGCAAAATCCTACCTCTACTAAAAATACAAAAATTAGCCAGGTGTGGTTGTGCGTGCCTGTAATCCCAGCTACGCAGGAGGCTGAGGCAGGAGAATCGCTTGAAACTGGGAGGCAGAGGTTTCAGTGAGCCCAGATAGTGCCACTGTACTCTACCCTGGGTGATAGAATGAGACTCTGTCTCAGACTAAACATTCCAAAAAGGCAGAGATCATCAGACTGAATTAAAAAAAAAAATGCTGCCTACAAGAGATGCACTTTCAATGTAAACTCACAGGCAGTTTTAAAGTCAATGGATGGAAAGAGAAGTGTGGTGGGTGACCTGGAGGGACGTGAGAGGAAAGACCCTATAGTAACCTGGGTGAAAGGTGATGTTCACAAGCAGGACAGTAACCGTTAGAGAAAGATGGAACGCTGTAAAGAAGAGCAGACCCCATTCTGCATGGTGTGATAATTTCACATTGCATGATGCCTGTACCAAAACATATGCCCATAAATACACACACCTACTAGTACCCACAAACATTTTTTAAAAATTAAAACAACAAAACAAAACAAAAAGAAGAGCAGAACCTGCACCTTAACTGGTTGTGGGAGGGAAAGAGGGTAGGGGCAGGGCAACACCCAGGTATCTTGAAGGCAACCGGGTGATGATGGCGCCACACCTGGAGATGAGGAAACCATGAGGAACAAAGAGGAGGCTGTTGTGCTGGACCTGCCTGGGGACCACGTGGACATGTGGGTTTTGTGTCAGGAGCAAGATCAGGAATGGAGCTAAAATGCTGAGCATCAGCACAAAAGTGAGATTCCTCTGCAAGACGGGGAGAGCAGGGTGCCCAGGCCAGAGCTCCAAGGGACACTAATATTTAAGAAGCCAGCAGAAGATGAGTTCAGCAGGAGATCCAAAGGAGGAATAGTCTGAAAAGAAGAAGTCTTGACCGCCTGGCAGGCCTCGGGTTATGGGCACAGAGAACAAAAGTTCTCTAAAGAGCTGATAGCCCTGGAGATGCCAGCATAAGTTGTGAAGGAGCAGGACAGTCACTGAGGGAGACCCATGGGTACCAGCCTAGGAAGGTCCTGGTGATCCTGTCTTTAAGTGACTGTGTGGTAAAGAATTTGACCTTGCCAAAAGAGAGGTGTGGCCTTTGCCCTCAGCTCCTGGAAAGTAATCTCTATACTCTTGGAATGTCCTAAGAGTGTCCTTGTTTACCTAGTGGTCTTGGGCCACACTAGATAGTCTAATGATGTGGTTTATAATGAGGGCTTTGGGTCACAGGCATCAGCTCAACCTCTTGGAAGGGCTGGAAACTGAGGTCAGTGGTGGGAACAGTCAAGCCTTTCTACATGATCAACCACCAATAAAAAGTGGACACCAGGGCCTAGGTGCACTTTCCTGGTTGGCAAGGCTCCGTCTGTATTGGCACACATTACTGCTGGGAGGATTTAGCACTGTTTGGGACTTCCATAGGAGAGGACAGAAGTTCTATGTGTGGAACTCTCCTAAACTCTGCTTCATGAGCCTCTTCTCTTTGTTGATTTTACTTAATTAATTAATTAATTTATTTTGAGATGGAGTCTTGCTGTGTTGCCCAGGCTGGAGTGCAGTGGCGCAGTCTCGGCTCACTGCAACCTCCGTCTCCTGGGCTCAAGCGATTCTCCTGCCTCAGCCTCCTGAGTAGCTAGGACTACAGGCACACACCACCACGCCCAGCTAATTTTTGTATTTTTTTTTTTTTTCAGTAGAGACAGGGTTTCACCATGTTGTCCAGGCTGGTCTCAAACTCCTGACCTCAAGCGATCCGCCTGCCTTGGCCTCTCAAAGTGCTGGGATTACAGGCGTGAGCCACTGCACAGGGCCTTGGTTGATTTTAATCTGTATGCTTTTGCTGTAATTGTAACAATGAGTATAACAGCTTTCAGTGAGTTCTATGAGTCCTTCTAGTAAATTAGAAAACCCAAAAGTGTTTTGAGGGAGACCCTCAAACTTGCAGTTGGTGTAGAAGTGAGGGTCTTGTGGACTGCTCCCTAACTATATGTGACCACATAACATGAGATGCAAAGCAGTGGATTGGGGCTGGACTGCCTGAGTTCAAATATCAGCTCAGCCTACCCTGGGAAAACTATTTAGCCTCTCTGTGCCATAGTTTCCTCATCTGTTCAATGGAAATAATAATAGTATGTGTGTCTTAATTACTATGAGGTTTAAATTAGTTAAAAGGTGTAAAGCCTTTGAACAGTGCCTGGCACATAATACCATTATATAAATTTGCCTATTTTATTTAAGAAGAAAAATCATATAAATCAATATTTTGAAATCTGTAAGAAAGGGAAAACAATTCTGGCCAGGAGCGGTGGCTTAATGGCTGTAATCTCAGCACTTTGGGAGGCTGAGGAGGGTGGATCACCTGAGGTCAGGAGTTCAAGACCAGCCTGGCCGATATGGTGAAACCCCATCTCTACTAAAAATACAAAAATTAGCCAGGGTGGTAGCACATAGGCGGGTGGATCACCTGAGGTCAGGAGTTCAAGACCACCCTGGCCAACAGGGCAAAACCCCATCTCTACCAAAAAGACAAAAACTTAGCCGGGCGTGATGGTGCATGCCTATAATTCCAGCTACTCAGGAGGCTGAGGCAGGAGAATTGCTTGAACCTGGGAGGCAGAGGTTGCAGTGAGCCGAGATTGTGCCACTGCACTCCAGCCTGGGCGACAGAGCGAGACAACATCTCAAAAGAAAAGAAAAAAAGAAAGGAAAACAATTCTAAAGGACAAAAAATGGGGACTCAGTGCCTGTGCAGTGGGCTTTAAGTAGGGTAGGTAGCTCTATTGCAGTGCTGGGGCCACTGGCCTACCACCTCCAGGAGTGGCCGAAGGAAAGAAGCACCGAAGTGGCTCTGAGAGCAGCCCAGGCCCACGCCCCATTCTCAGGAGGCTGCAGACCTCCATGAGGAATGCTGGGCTTCCAGCAGCACCTGAGCAGTAGTAGCCCAGGCAAATGGGCCTAAAGGCAGGACCAAAAGCAGGGCAGGGGCCATGGAGGCTGGCACATGACACACTAAGACTCACATAGAGGGCACAGCGCACAGGGGGTGCCAAGCAAACACCCTCCCTGATGCCAGAACAACACACCAGGGTAGTAAGAGCAGCAGTCAGGGCTGATCACAGGGCACAGTGACAGGCTCTGGGTCAATATTTCCCAGGAAAAGATACAATTCTGCACCCAGGAAGCCATGCCATTTCCACAGAACACAGGAATGAAGAGGCAGCAATCACTGAAGTTGTGGCCAGGTGTGGTAGCTCATGCCTGTAATCCCAGCACTTTGGGAGGCCGAGGCAGGAGGACCACTTGAGCCCAGAAGCTCAAGACCAGCCTGGGTAATATAGTAAGATCCCATCTTTACAAAAAATAAAAAAATTAGCTGGGCATAGTGGCATGCGCCTATAGTCCCAGCTACTCGGGAGGCTGAAATGGGAGGATCGCTTGAGCCCAGGAGTTCAAGGCTCCAGTGAGTAAGACCCTGTTTCAAAAAAATAAAAAGAATCACTGAACTTTTAAAAATTAGCACGGCATGGTGACTGGGTAGAAGGAGGGGGAAAAGTAGGGAGGAAGTCAAGGGTAAATCTCAGGGTCCCGGCCTGCCCGATGGGATGGCACCATCTCCTGTGATGGGAAACTGAGAAGGGATGGAGGAGGAGGCAGGAATGAGAAACTCAGGGAAAGGAGAAGTCTTCTCAGGACACAGGGCCCTTGGGGGCTGGGAACACCTCACACTGAGACATTCCCAGGAATAAGATGTGTAACTGTTTGCTACCAAACTAGAACACACATATAAGAAGAATGACAGTCATTTAAATGCTGGGCAGTACATCTGTTCCTCAGTCCAGATCAAGGCTACAGCTGCCTTGGATCAAATTCAGGGCTTCTGTACACTTGAAGCAGCCCTCTGACCCCTTAAACAGAAATCATTCCTATTGGCCAGGCACGGTGGCTCACGCCTGTAATCCCAGCACTTTGGGAGGCCGAGGCAGGTGGATCACGAGGTCAGGAGATCGAGACCATCGAAACCCTGTCTCTACTAAAAATACAAAAGTTAGCTGGGTTTGATGGTGGGCGCCTGTAGTCCCAGCTACTTAGGAGGCTAAGGCAGGAGAATCGCTTGAACCAGGGAGTCAGAGCTTGCAGTGAGCCGAGATCGTGCCACTGCACTCCAGCCTGAGTGACAGAGCGAGACTCCGTCTCAAAAAAAAAAAAAAAAAGGCCAGGCACGGTGGCTCACGCCTGTAATCCCAGCACTTTGGGAGGCCGAGGCGGGAGGATCACAAGGTCAGGAGATCGAGACCATCCTGGCTAACACGGTGAAACCCTGTCTCTACTAAAACTACAAAAAATTAGCCGGGCATGGTGGCAGGCGCCTGTAGTCCCAGCTACTCAGGAGGCTGAGGCAGGAGAATGGCGTGAACCCGGAAGGAGGAGTTGGCAGTGAGCCAAGATTGCACCACTGCACTCCAGCCTGGGCGACAGAGAGCAAGACTCCAACTCAAAAAAAAAAAAAAGAGAGAAAACAGAAAGAAATCATTTGTATTTTCACTTTCTTCTCACTGACATGCAGCATTTCCTTCCATTATATATGTGGATCGCAAGCAACAGAAGAGTTAGGACTTCCTACAGCTTTGACACAGATAGAAAACATTGTCGTATCATTGGGGAGCTAGCACTTGGCAGTTTTGGTCACCTGAAAAACTGGGAGTTCTGCCTTGGGTCTAACACTCTATTCCAAGGGGAAACAATATAAAAAACCTATTTCGGATTTATTAGTTATTAAGAACTTTGTCTACTATCACTATCAATGTTTTTCATACTTTTATGTGCGTAAAGATCATCCAAAGCCTTTTAAACACACATTCCCAGGCTACACCTACAAATCACCCCATGAAGCAGGCCAGGGGCGGAGCCTGCCGTTCCATATTTCCCACAGGCTCCCAGGAGACGCCCAGGTCCCGGGACCACACTGTGAGAGGCTGTGCTTTTCTACTTCAGTCCTAAGAAGGCGTCTTGGAAAACACCTTCAAAAACTGCCTTGAAATGCTAATTTTCCACTGGAGATAACAATAGGCTTCTTCCTTATAAACAGTACAAATCTTGGGCTAACTGTATTTGCCTTTTTGTTGGGCTACCAGGAAGATCAGTTACTGACTCTTGGACTCTCCACTTTGTACATTGGTAATCCAAAAGAGAATGTTCCTTGCATCACTACTTGTAATATCAAGTCTGAAAATTACCCAAATGTCCATCAAATGAGGGACTGGTCAAATCAGTCATATTCCCTTGCATACGATGAAGCATTACATATCTGGTTTAAAAAAATGGTATGGTTTTAAGTAAGACCCCATCTTTACAAAAAATAAAGATAACATGTTGGTTACAGCAGTATGTGTTAAGTATCTTGCCACTGTATCTACATATAGAAAGGAGGCTCTTGCAGGCTTAAAACCCTTTATTATTATTATTATTATTATTATTATTATTATTATTATTATTATTTTGAGATGGAGTTTTGCTCTTGTTGCCCAGGCTGGAGTGCAATGGTGCCATCTTGGCTCACTGCAACCTCCACCTCCCAGGTTCAAGCAATTCTCCTGCCTCAGCCTCCCGAGTAGCTGGGATTACAGGCACCCACCACCATGCCCAACTAATTTTTGTATTTTTAATAGAGGCAGGCTTTCACCATGTTGGCCAGGCTGGTCTCAAACTCCTGACCTCAGGTTATGCAACTGCCTTGGCCTCCCAAAGTGCCGGGATTACAGGCATGAGCTACCCCTAGCGGCCGGCTTAAAACCTTTCTGAGAATTATCCTTGGCCAAAGGGTACTGCACCATCCAAGGATATCTACCCTCCTCGGGGCAGCCTACAATCAATGATTAGTTGATTTCAGAATATAAAAGCCTCCTTGCCTCCATTCACAACAATGCTGAAGGCCATCCCAGCTCCAGAGGATAAGATCCACTAAGGCCTCTGTTCAACAATTCCCTCAGCCCAATCCAGCTTCCCTCACTGTCTTACAGGTGTTCTAAGAGCCTGCCTAATCAACCTCCTGTGAGAAAAATCTCCATCTATGAGTCAGCTTCCCTGAGAACCCAGCCTGTATGTACAAACTGTACATACTTACAATGCACACCCTTTTTTTCCTCTAGGACAGTTTCCCCAGGAAGGAAAACTGGGCTACTTAATGTGATACTTACCTGGTATTCGATCATTTTCTGCTGTTCTTGAAAAAGATCTGACACCTGTAGACATGTGGGGGGAAGAAGATGGAGAAAGAGAGAACAGAGAACAGAGTGTAAAGAGCTAGGCCTGTCTTGGAAATTGCAAATTCCCTTTGTAAATATTGTACAAAAATCCATGCTTTTAGCTGGGTGTGGTGGCTTACACCTTATTTGAGGCCAGGAGTTAGGGACCAGCCTGGGCAATATGGCAAAGCCCCGTCTCTACAAAAAAAGATAAAAAATTAGCCAGGTATGGTGTTGCACACCTATAGTCCCAGCTACCCAGGAGGCTGAGGTGGGGGGATCACTTGAGCCTAGGAGGTCAAAGCTGCAGTGAGCCATGATCCCACTACTGCAATCTGGCCTAGGTGACAGAGTAAGACCCTGTCTCAAAAATTAAATAAATAAATAAACAAACAAATAAATACCCTTTATCTCTTATTTGTTTCAAATACTTTGAAATATTATATAGGTCATAAAGCATAGACCATAAAGCATGGTTGCCATAGTATCTAAATGCCCCACACCCCAAGACATTTAATGATTATAAAAGGAAAAGAAGTAACTTTGCCTTGGAAAAACTTGGCAGTATCACTTAGTCAAGTGATCAGTTAACGTGACCAGTAATGAGATATAAGACATCATGTGCCTCCTGATATAATGCACTGTGAAGGGTACAACATCCCTTCTGTGGTGTTCACACCCCAAATGCATACCTGAACCTAATCAATGAGGAGACATCAGACAAAACCATACTGAGTTACAATATACAAAATAACCTACCTATACTCTTCAAAAATGTCGACTTCATGGAAGATGAACACTGAGAAACTGCTCCTGATTAAAGGAGACTAAAGGGATGTGTCACCTAAAGGCAGCATATGATCCTGGATTAGATCCTGGAATGGAAAAAGAAAAGAAAAGTTGCTATAGGCCCGGGCACAGTGGCTCACCCCTGTAATCCCAGCACTTTGGGAGGCCGAGGTGGGTACATCGCCTGAGGTCAGGAGTTCGAGACCAGCCTGGCCAACATGGTGAAACCCCATCTCTACTAAAAATACAAAAATTTGCC
Organism: Homo sapiens; assembly: GCF_000001405.40. Taxonomy (NCBI): domain Eukaryota; kingdom Metazoa; phylum Chordata; class Mammalia; order Primates; family Hominidae; genus Homo; species Homo sapiens. The sequence goes on along the minus strand of NC_000019.10, from coordinate 37,522,358 downwards.
GGGTGTGCTGGCAGGCACCTGTAATCCCAGCTACTCAGGAGGCTGAGGCAGGAGAATCATTTGAACCCAGGAGGCAGAGGTTGCAGTGAGCCAAGATCGCGCCATTGCACTCCAACCTGGGTGACAAGAGCGAGACTTGGTCTCAAAAAATAAGAAAAAGCAAGAAAGAAAAGTTGCTATAAAGTGACAGTATTAGTTGACATCTGATTGTAGACTGGATTAATCTAGTCTATGGTCTACATTAATCTAGTTATCATGATTATTAAATCATTATAACACTGACTTTGTAATCAGTGTCAAATGCCTGGTTTTGAAAACTACTGGTTACATAAAAAAAAGTTCTTATTCTTAGAAAATATACCCTGAAGTACTTATGGGTAAAGGAGCATCATGTCTGCAAGTTAGTCTTAAGTAGTTAAAGAAAGAATAGGAATGATATATTTATGATATAACATAATTATCTATATACATATATATTTGTATATAGAAAGAGAGGACATGCAAACATGGCTTTATATAGATGAATCTAGGTAAGGAATACATAGGAGACCACAGAAATATTCTTGCTTTTTTTTGGAAAAAAATTTCCAAATAAAATGTTTAGTTAAAAACAAAAGGCTGGGTGCGGTGGCTCACGCCTATAATCCCAGCACTTTGGGAGGCCAAGGCAGGTGTATCACCTGAGGTTGGGAGTTCGAGACAAGCCTGACCAACATAGTGAAACCCCATCTCTACTAAAAGTACAAAATTAGCCAGGCGTGGTGAAGCGTGCCTATAATCCCAGCTACTCAGGAGGCTGAGGCAGGAGAATCCCTTGATCCCTTGAACCTGGGAGGTGGAGGCTGCAGTGAGCAGAGATCGCGCCATTGCACTCCAGCCTGGGCAACAAGAGCGAAACTCTGTCTCAAAAAAAAAAAAAAAAAAAAAAAGAGAATTGACCATGCATGGTGATTCATGCCTGTAATCCCAGCACTTTGGGAGGCCGAGGTGGGTGGATCGCTTGAGGTCGTAAGTTCGAGACCAGCCTGGTCAACATGGTGAAACTCCATCTCTACTAAAAATACAAAAATCAGGACAGGCACAGTGGCTCACGCCTGTAATCCCAGCACTTTGGGAGGCCGAGGCGGGCAGATCACAAGGTCAGGAGATTGAGACCATTCTGGCTAACACGGTGAAACCCCGTGTCTACTAAAAATAAAAAAAATAAGCCGGGCATGGTGGCACACACCTGTAGTCCCAGCTATTTGGGAGGCTGAGGCAGGAGAATGGCGTGAACCCAGGAGGTGGAGCTTGCAGTGAGCCGAGAATGTGCCACTGCACTCCAGCCTGGGCGACAGAGTGAGACTTCATCTCGAAAAAAAAAAAAAATTAGCCGGGCATGGTGGTGCATGTCTGTAATTCTGAGATTCTGCCATTGTACTCCAGCCTGGGTGGCAAGAGTGAAACTCCGTCTCAAAAAACAAAACAAAACAAAATTATATACAGTAGGTCCATAAATTCTGCCACCACCACCATTCTGAGAATCCAGGGCCATTTCTGCCTCTGAGTCAGGATGGAGTGAACTAATCACATTCCTAGAGGCCAGGTGAGGTGCCAAAAATGACGGGAGAGCAAGTCTAGAGAGGTCCAGCAAGAATAAAGAAGCAGATGGGCCACACCCCATACCACAAGATAGCAGAACGCAATGGGCTAGAAAGATGCCCCCTTCTCCTGAAAGAACATGCCTATCGCACCCGCCATGAGACTCTGGCCTCCCTACCTCTCCCTTCACTCTGTCTTCCTGGATCTTGGGCCAACCATCCTCCCTTCATTTAGCCATGGAGAGTCCCTGGAAAGAGTAACGTCTTCAGGTTTGGTCTTGCTCAGCTTCTGGCTCAGGGATGAAGCTATTTCCTTTTATGTGGGAGTCTTTGCTCTGACAAGAGGTATGGGGTCTGAGTGATTCCTTCAGAAGGGAATTTTCATCCCAAGTTCCCTTCTCCTGGACAGTGTCTTTAACCTGGCCTGCCCAGGCACTCACAGCTCCATCTCTCAACAGTAACTCACACTTAGCTGCAGGGCCTTCTGTAGATGTTGTGACCAAGGTCCTGTGGCTCTAAGGGCTGGCAGGAGCTAGAGAGCCCTCCCGTCCAGCAAGGTGGCAGGATCCAAAGGTCTGCAGGGCACCCAGAGAACCTGAAGATAAGCAGATCCCATGGTGAGTCATCCAATCGTCCTTCCCCAAACACTGCCTGGGGCCTCAGGGGGAAAAGCCTGCAGAGGCTGTGCAGGAGACAGCTGAGTGATGGCTCTGTTCTGGGACTGGGACAGGGGGAACTCCCACAAAGACCCTTGTGTCTGAGTCACTCCCTGAGCCAAGGAATGACTCAGATACAAGTTTGAAGCTAAGTAATTCCTCTGACTGACTGAGAGAATCTGGGCTAGACACTTTACCTCTCTAGGCCTGTTTCCTCACCTGTGAAAACAGAAAGAGGCTGTCAAACAGACTCGGGAGCCAGACAACCTGGGTTCAAATGCAGGCTCTGCCATTTACTGATGTGTGATGTTGAATGAGTTACTTAGTCTATCTGTGTCTCAGTATCCCTATCATTTATTTATTATTTTACCCTTCTTTGATTTCCAATGGAGAAAGATATTTTCCTCATCTATTTATTGGCCATTTGCATTTCTTTTGTAAACAATCTGTTTATGCTCTTAACTTTTGATTTTCCTGAGTTATTTTCAAAAATTCATTTACAAGTGTTCTTTCTATATTGAGGCTATTAATCCTTTGTCATATTTGTTATAAATATGTTTTTATAGTATAACATTTGTCCTTATTTGTCATTTGTCCTTAAACTGGGTTTATTAGTTTCCAAATACCAAACAAGTTTTATTGGTTATTTTTAATAGTCAACTTGTTGATATTTTCCCCTTATAGTTTCTGCTTCTGGTAGTATTTTTAGTAAAAGTCTTTTCCACAAGATTATTAAAATGGTCTTTTTGGCTTATAAGATTGGCAAAGATGGAAATCATATCTCTTACACTGCTGGTAGGAGGGCAGGATATTCCAGCTTTCTGAAGGGAATTTATATCAGAATTTTTTTTGTTTTTGAGTCGGAGTCTTGCTCTGCTGCCCAGGCTGGAGTGCAGTGGCATGATCTCAGCTCACTACAAGCTCTGCCTCCTGGGTTCACGCCATTCTCCTGCCTCAGCCTCCCGAGTAGCTGGGACTACAGGCACCTGCCACCACGCCGGCTAATTTTTTTGTATTTTTAGTAGAGACAGGGTTTCACCGCGTTAGCCAGGATGGTCTCAATCTCCTGACCTCGTGATCCGCCCACCTCGGCCTCGGAAAGTGCTGAGATTACAGGCGTGAGCCACCGCGCCCAGCCCTATCAGAATTTTTAGAGTGCACACTCATTAAACCACTCTTCAACATCCAATAATGTGTCTCAAGGAACTAATTAGTCTCGCTAAAATAAAAGATAAAGGTACAAGGATGTTCATCTCACCTTTGCTTACAAAAGTAAAACAACTGGAAGCAATCAAAATGTCCCAACAATAATTTATTTTTTTTTCATTATCTATTTCTTTATTTGAGATAGGCTGGAGTACAGTGGCATGATCATGGCTTGCTGCAGCCTCAAACTCCCAGGCTCAGGTGATCCTCCCACCTCAGCCTCCCGAGTAGGAGGACTATAGATGTGCACCAACATACCTGGGTAATTTTTTTTTTTTTTTTTTTTGTAGAGACAGGGTTTCACCATGTTTTTCGGGCTGGTCTTGGACTCCCGGACTCAAGCAATCCACCTACCCTGGCCTCCCAAAGTGCTGGGATTATAGGTGTGAGCCACCACACCTAGCCTGTCCCAGCAATTAAAAGATTGGCAGGCTGATATTGGTGAGCCACAGAATGGAACACAAGGCAGGCATTAGAAATAGTAGTGGAGGCCAGGTGCCATTTCTCACACCTTGTAATGCCAGCACTTTGGGAGGCCAAGGCGGGCAGATCAACTGAGGTCAGGAGTTCGAGACTAGCCTGGCCAACATGGTGAAACCTTGTCTCTACTAAAAACAGAAAAAATTAGCTGGGCATGGTGGGAGGGGCCTGTAATCCCAGCTACTCGGGAGGCTGAGGCAGGAGAATTGCTTGAACCCAGGAGGCGGAGGTTGCAGCGAGCCGAGATTGCGCCACTGCACTCCAGCCTGGGCGACAGAGCGAGACTCTGCCTCAGAAAATAATAATAATAATAATAATAATGGAGTGGTGTACTCCGACTTGGAACTGCATTTGTGATGTATTTTGAAGCAGAAAATACAAGTCATAACATACAATGTGAAGCATAATTCTATTTTTAAAATTATGTAAGTCCGAATCTATGAAAATATTAACATTGCTTTCTCTGAGTGAAGGGACTGAAAGGAATTTACGTTTCATTTTCGAAGTGTTCATTTTCTAACTTTTCCAATAGCCTCATAATTATACATTTATTTGGGTAACAGCAATAATAACAATAACAAAATGTACAATAATGACAAATCAAAACAAGCACACACAGGAAGAACAAATAAAACTATGACACATCATAGAAACTGATAGAAATAGAAAAAAAAAACCTAGCTTGTAGTTATTGAGCCCTGATCTCAACTTAGGCACTGTGCAAGGTTATTTCCTCATATGGACTCATTTATTCCTCACACTGCCCTCTAAACCGAGTCCTACTCCATTTCTACATAAAGACGTAGTGCCTGAGAGAGCTGAAGAACTAGCACACAGCAGCAGTGAGATACAGACCCGACTAGCCTGGCTGTGGCGCTTGGGTTTATAACTTCTCAGTCTTGCTGCCTCTCAGAGACAGATTTGCCTTCTAAAAGAGCAATGTAACATTTGCTGTGCACATTTTTTTTTTTTTTTTTTTTGAGACAGAGTTTCTCTCTTGTTGCCCAGGCTGGAGTGCGGTGGTGCGATCTCAGCTCACTGCAGCCTCTACCTCCTGGATTCAAGGGATTCTCCTGCCTGAGCCTCCCAAGTAGCTGGGATTACAGGCACCTCCAGCTGTAGATTACTAAAATCACCTCCAGCTGTAGATACAGACTAAAATATGAAGGCAGGAAACAGTAATTGGATACATATGGTAGAACTATGATGAATATTTGCTTCGATTTCCTTCAACAAGGTAAAATTAGTCTAGTAATTTTCCTTTTTTATTTAAAAACAGATTTTTTCCTACTGGGGATGCCCATCTGCACACAGAGCCAAGTGTGGCAGATAAAATCAGTGCCACCTATCCTGATGAAGTAAGGAAATGTGAAAAACAAAGTTCCCTTCCTCCCTCAGCCCCAATTCCTCCCTAAAACTGGGCAACTATGGGGAGAATCCACTTGAAGATGAAGGTCAATCATTATCTTTCTTAGTAAAGAGTCAATCTCAGGCCGGGCACAGTGGCTCATGCCTGTAATCCCAGCATTTTGGGAGGCCGAGGTGGGCAGATCGCTTGAGGCCAGGAGTTCAAGACCTGCCTGGCCAACATGGTGAAACCCCATCTCTACTAAAAATACAAAAATTAGCTGGGTGTGGTGGTCACACCTGTAGTCCCAGCTACACAGGAGGCTGAGGAAGAAGAATTGCTTGAACCTGGGAGGTGGAGGTTACAGTGAGCTGAGATCGTACCACTGTACTCCAGTGTGGGTGACAGAGCAAGAATCAAAATTTAAAAAAGAAAAAAAAAAGAGTCAATCTTGGAAAGCAGTATTGCCCTGCAGTCCGGCACTCTTCTAGCAGCATGGCAGCCATCTGATGGGCACCATCTCAGTCAGCATTGTGACGTGATTGTGACTTACACACCCTTATCAGTCCCTAACATTTGAACTCAAAAGCCATATTTTACCATATAGATACCATCATCTGGATGCTCTCAGTCACAATCTTAAAACTAGATCATAGGCCGGGCACAGTGGCTCACACCTGTAATCCCAGCACTTGGGAGGCCGGGGCAGGTAGATCACCTGAGGTCAGGAGTTTGAGACCAGCCTGACTGACATGGTGAAACCCCGTCTCTACTAAAAATGCAAAAATTAGCCGGGTGTAGCAGCACATGCCTGTAATCCCAGCTACTTGGGAGGCTGAGGCAGAAGAATCGCCTGAACCCAGGAGGTGGAGGTTGCAGTGAGCCGAGATCGCGCCACTGCACTCCAGCCTGGGCAAGAAGAGGGAAACTCTTGTCTCAAAACAAAACAAAACAAACTAGTTCATAGATCTCTCATTGCCACCCATTGTGGTTTCACAAAAGTGAACTCAGTATCTTCTACCTCAACTTATTCTTCCTCTTAGGTCGTAGCCTCTATCTCCTGAAGCTGTATGTTTGAAAGCTTTGTCTAGCACATTACCTCTTGTTACTTATTTTTCATAAATGTCCTAGATATTCTCAAATGTTTCATCTTCAACATAAACTGCAGAATTATTCTGTTACAATTTGGGGCAAAGAGATCCCTTCTTAAGATTTTGCTTAACATTGCACTGAATTTGTCCATTCATATAAGAAAATACTGACAATTTTTAAAATTGTCGAGTCTTCCAATCCAAGAACAAGGCTTCAATATTTATTCAAGACTTTCTATACATCTCAAAATGCAATGTTTTATGCTTTCACACAGGTACTCCAATTTTCTCTTTCATCTGTTACTGGATAGTCAACTGTGTTTTCAGTTACCATTCTAAATGGCATATTTTCATCCTTTTAATTACTGACTGCAATAAAAAAAGTCATCAGGCTGGGCGCGGTGGCTCACGCCTGTAATCCCACCACTTTGGGAGGCCGAGGTGGGCGGATCACAAGGTCAGGAGATTGAGACCATCCTGGCTAACACGGTGAAACCCCGTCTCTACTAAAAATACAAAAAAATTGGCCGGGTGGGGTGGCGGGCACCTGTGGTCCTAGCTACTTGGGAGGCTGAGTCAGGAGAATGGCGTGGACCCGGGAAGCGGAGCTTGCAGTGAGCTGAGATTGCGCCACTGCACTCCAGCCTGGGCGACAGAGTGAGACTCCATCTCAAAAAAAAAAAGAAAAAAGAAAAAAAGAAAAAAGTCATTAATCCATTTTCCTACAGTCATTTTAAACCAGCCCCCTTACTGAACTTCCTTAATAACTATAATGGTTAATCTTCCAGAGCTTTTGGGATAGACAATTATTTCATCTACAAATACAGTTTTTTCTTGTCTTGTCCAATACTTCTGTTTCTTATTTCATTCCCTGATTAACTGCACTGGCAGGCACTCTAGAGGAAAGCAAATCAAAGCAGGGAAGGGTGTTCACTTGAATGGGAAGGTAAGCAGAGTTCTGCCATTACGTCTGCTACTGACTTTTCACTTGAGACATAGGTCTTATCAAGTTAAGAAAGTATCCAAATTGTTCTATTTCATTATGTTTTTTAAAATCCAGAACAGATGTTGAATTTTATCAAATACTTTTTTCCCATCTATGAGGCGGCTATGGTATTCTCCCTTGTCCTATTAACATGGTAAAATTCATTAGTAAATTCTTTAATATTGAACTTACACTTTCAGGATAAATTTATTCTCAGTCATAATGCATTATTTAACATATTGCTAATTTTACATGTACATTCATAAGAAGGTTGGGCTATGGTTTTCTTTTGAAATGCCACCTTTTCCAGTTTTTGGAATCAATGCAACAATGTTGGCTTTATATAAAAAAAAAAGGGTTGGGTAATGGTGTATTCCTTTATAAATTCCCTGGAAGAGTCTATCTATCTATCTATCTATCTATCTATCTATCTATCTGTCTATCTATCTATCTACTGGAGACAGGGTCTCACTCTGTCACCCACGCTGGAGTGCAGTGGCACAATCATGGCTCACTGCAGTCTTAACCTACCAGACTCAAGCGACCCTCCCACCTCAGCCTCCCAAGTAGCTGAAACTATAGGTGTACAAGACCACGCCCAGATAATTTTTGTATTTTTTGCAGAGATAGGGTTTTGCCATATTGCCCAGGCTGGTCTTGAACTAAAGAATAGTGTGTTACTTGGAAGTCACTTTAAGGCTCAATAAGAAATCACCAATTGACCTATCTAACCTGATAGTTGAGATGGTGGACAGGAACTTTTTCAAGTATTTTAATCGTTCATAGCTATTGATCTTTTCATTTTCTCTTCTTAAGGAAGTTTTACATATGTATTCTGAAAAAATCTTTTGCATGCCACCTTTGAAATCTATGAAAGTGTTACAAAAATATTTCTTAATAATATGGTTATTCCCCTTTTTACATTCCTAATTTGTATATCTGTTCATTTCCTCCTGACTTGATAAGGTTTGCTAATGGTTTATCTATATTATTGACTTTTATTAAAATCAGATTTATCAGCTTTACCTTTTTCCTTTTTTAGATCGTTAATTTTTCTTTTTATATTAATTCCTTCCACTTCTCATATATATTTTCTAACTTCCTTGACTGAATGTTTCATCAAGACAGAAAATAAAAACTACAGAAAATCAATCACAGTTGGGTATAACTCAGTTGAAGGCACCATACCATATTCGCTCATCTAATCTTTTCCATCTTCATTAAAAAATACATAATATGATTCACTGTCACAGAATAAACAAAATTAAGAGTTAGGTTTTACAGCACATATAGATCATGTCATGTGGTTTTGACAGTTTTACCACGTTTCTGAAAGTTTCTTTCTTTGTCTTCTTAGTTGCCAATACCTCATTCTGAGAACACTGCAGAAATCTGTCTGGCCCAGAGTGGAACCCAGATGTTTCCTGTCTGTGTGGAGACATCACTTTGTCACATGATGTGACAACTGTTTCTCTGTAACTAGTCAATTTCCCAAGATGTTTTCTTTGTGATTCAGAAGGTCTGAGTTTTGGCGTATGGTCTAACTCAACATTTTAAACAGTTTTGTAAGTGTCTAATGTGCACCTCCTATTTTGTATGCAAATAGGACTTTTGTACTGATATCCTCCAGATGAAGAAAAGGGAAAGCTTCTACAATAAATACAGAAGGAAGGACACAATTGGAAAATCACCATTTGGTAACCATAATTAGAAGTAATTGAGTCACGTAAGCATCATTAATGGATACTAACTCTAGTGGATGAAAGTTTGAGGTTAATTACATGATCTCAAAATATCTCTCTACAACATACTTAGTAATAATATAACTTTATAGTGGAGAACCCTGGTGGGCATAGCCTTGATCAAGTGATCAAAGCTAACATCACCATTAATGTGACAAACCAACACTGTGTACCTTCTGGTATGGTACATTGAGAAGGACACATGATCACTTCTGTAGTATTCCTGTCCGAGATGTACAACATGACTCTAATCATGAGGAAAAATCAGAAAAATTCAAATTATAAAAATAACTGGCCTGAACTCCTCATACATGTCAAAGTTAAAAGAGGTAAAAAAAAATGACCGAGAACATACTCCAAATTAAAGAAGTCTAAAGAGATATGACAACTAAATACAACATGTAACACTGGATTAGAATCCTGGACCATTAAAAGGAATGAACATAAATGATATTATTGAAACAAGTGGAGAAATCTAAATAAAGTCTATGCATCAGATAATAATATTTCAATGTTAACTTCCCTGCTTTCGATCATTATATTGTGGTTAGTTAATTATTGTGATCACATACAAAATGTATATTACCTAGGAAATACACATTAGGAGTAAAGGGTCATCATGTTCACAACTTACAGACAGAGAGACAGAAAAAGAAAGTCTCTACACACACAGCAAAATCTTAATTACAGAATGGGGTGAAGGGTATAACAGGAATTTCTGTATTATTATTATTATTGTTAGTATTATTATTATTTTGAAACGGAGTCTTGCTCTGTCGCCAGGCTGGAGTGTAGTGGCGTGATCTCGGCTCACTGCAACCTCTGACTCCCTGGTTCAAGTGATTCTCCTGCCTCAGCCTCCTGAGTAGCTGGGACTACAGGCACGCACCACCACCCCTGGCTAATTTTTGTATTTTTAGTAGAGACAGGGTTTCATCATGTTGGCCAGGATGGTCTCAATCTCTTGACCTCGTGATCCACCCACCTCGGCCTCCCAAAGTGCTGGGATTACAGGCATGAGCCACCACACCGGGCCTATTCTTATAACTTTTCTAAATCTGAAATTATTTAAAATCAAAACCAAAACAAAACAATAATCTCTTATGTGTGTGGAAAGGTGAGCAAGATGAAAAGATTAAAGAAGAGGTTAGCTGCTTTCCCATATTGTCAGGTTGTATGTGAGGGACAGAGGCATCTCTGCCTGGGAGTGAATCTACCAGCAGCTTCCAGAATCCCTAAGGCAGACTCCTCCGAGATAACCCTGCATTTGTTGAGTCACCACTATGTCTTGGCCCTCAAGCAGCCAGCCTCTAGAGAGGCTCTTTTTCACGCTACTTCATTCAGGTCTCTGTAGTCAATGGTCAGTCCCTAAAGACTAAGAGATTTTGACCAAGGGACTGAAAATCCCCCTCCAAACTACCTACTGAGAAGAGTCCTTAACCGTTAGCTTCATTAATGGGACCCTACTAGAAACCCACTTTAAAACCTCAGGGTCTAGTTCACTGTGTATGTTTTTGGCTTCCAGGGAGAATAATAGAAAAGAGGCAATCTCAGATGGCCAAGCCAGAACTTCAGATTAGAATTTCTTTTTTATTTTTTTGAGACAGAGTCTTGTTCTGTTGCTCAGGCTAGAGTGCAGTGGTGCAATCTCAGCTCACCGCAACCTCTGCCTCTCAGGTGCAAATGATTCTCCTGCCTCAGCCTCCTGAGCAGCTGGGATTACAGGTGCTTGTCACCATGCCCATCTGATTTTTGTATTTTTAGTAGAGATGGGTTTTCACTGTGTTGGCCAGGCTGGTCTCAAGCTCCTGATCCTCCCACCTCATCCTTGCAAAGTGCTGGGATTACAGGCATGAGCCACCACGCCCGGCATTCAGCTTAGAATTTTGTCCTGGTATTCATGTGGTTTCAGAATTTCAAACAAAATTACCTCATGGTATGAATGCCTTGGCTTCACGTTTATATGATTCAAATGGAATCCTATCAAATTCAGTGAATATGAGTCAATCAAGTGGATTCACAGGGGAGATATATAATTCAATTCAAATTCAAAAGCATGCAAAAGTAATCCACTATATTAAACACTAGTTACCCCTAGGGTGGCAGTAGGTATTGACCAGTAAGGACACCTTCCAGGTGTTAGAAGTGATGAATATCTTGATCTAGGCTGTGGTTACAGGACTCTGTAATATAAAAATTCATTGAGCTGCACCTTAAAGATAAGCCCACTTCACTACATGTGTATTATGCCTCAATTTTTTTAAAGAATTTTTTGGCCGGGTGTGGTGGCTCACGCCTGTAATCCCAGCACTTTGGGAGACTGAGGTGGGCGGATCACGAGGTCAGGAGATTGAGACCATCCTGGCTAACACAGTGAAACCCCCGTCTCTACTAAAAATACAAAAAAGTAGCTGGGCGTGGTCATGGGCACCTGTAGTCCCAGCTACTCGGGAGGCTGAGGCAGGAGACTGGTGTGAACCTGGGAGGCAGGGGTTGCAGTAAGCCGAGATCGTGCCACTGCACTCCAGCCTGGGCAATAGAGTGAGACCCTGTCTCAAAAAAAAAAAAGAAAAGAATTTTTTTTTTTGAAACAGGGTCTCACTCTGTCACCCAGGCTAGGGTGCAGTGGCACAATCATAGCTCACTGCAACCTTGAACTCCTGGGCTCAAGGAATCCTCTCACTTCAGCCTTTCCAGTAGCTAGGATCACAAGTGTGAGCCACCACACCCAGCTAATTTTTTTTTTTTTTTTTTTGAGATGGAGTTTCACTCTTGTTGCCCAGGCTGGAATGCAGTGGTGCAATCTCGGCTCACTGTAACCTCTGCCTCCTGGGTTTAACTAATTCTCCTGCCTCAGCCTCCCAAGTAGTTGGGATTACAGGCGCCCACCACCAAGCCCAGCTAATTTTTTTTTTTTTTTGTAGTTTTAGTAGAGACGGAGTTTCACCATGTTGGCCAGGCTGGTCTTGAACTCCTGACCTCAAGTGGTCCACCTGCCTCGGCCTCCCAAAGTGCTGGGATTACAGGCATCAGCCAACATGCCCAGACTACCCAGCTTATTTTTAAATTTTTTGTAATGATGGAGTTTCGCTATGTTGCGCAGGCTGGTCTCAAGATCCTGGCCTCAAACAACCCTCCTACCCCAGCCTTCCAAAGCACTGAGATTACAGGTGTAAGCCACTGTGCCTGGCCAAACAAGGAATATTTAATGACCTGGAAAAGTATCTGTTATATAAATGAAATTATCTCAATTCAAACTTGGAAATTTTGTTTAAACACAGCCACATCTTGCCTCTCCCCATGGTGCTCCTCCCCCCCAATGAATATCCCATTAAATTAGAGATCAAAAACAGACAATACTAAGATTAGAAGCTAGGGAACCTCTGGCAGAGTAGTGACTGGGAGGGGCATCATGAGGGCACGGTGCTAGAATGTTGTTTTCTGATCTGAGTGCATTACCCAGGGGTATTCCCTTGTGACAATTCATTGAGCTACATATTTATATACATTTTTGCATATATATCACAATAAAAAGTTTATGTAAAATTTCTTTTTAATTATTTGCTCTGAAACCTGGCACTGAGCACAGTATAGGTGGTGAAGGGAATCAACATGGAGAAAAAATTACCCAAACTCCTTACCCTGGCTTATTATTTCACCCATGCTAAGCAGCTATCTGTCTTTGATTCTGTGCAAGTGAAAAACAGGGACTATCTGCTTTTAAAACTAAAATTTGACCTATGTGGGTTCTGAAAGATGTTACCTGCCTTAGCATCCAGCTGCCTTTATTTCTTAAGATGCTACAGGCATTGTGCTTTGTCTGAAGGTTACATAAAGATCAAACGTAATAATTTTTTAAAATTAAAATATTGTTTTGACATTGCACTTTTTCATTAATGGTCAAAATCTTATTTTCTAACTCAGAAATAGAAAGTCAAATACTGCATGTTCTCACTTATAAGATAATAATGTGTACACATGGATATAGAAAGCAGAATAATAGACACAGATGACTCTGAATGGAGGGAGGGTAGGAAGCGGGTAAGGGATGAGAAATTATCAGATTGGTACAATGTACATTATTCAAGTGATAGTTACACTAAAAGCCCAGGCTTCCCCACTGTGAAATATACCCATGTAACAAAACTGCACTTATATCCCCTAAATCTATTTTTTCAAATCTTATTTCCATTTTATTTGCAATCCCATCTCAGCCATTTTAATAACTATTAGTTCAATTTTAATTTCAGTGAGGAACAGTTTCTAAAAGTAGCTTACATTTTGTTTTGTGGCGGTTGTGGCTTTATCTGTCTTGAATTTTTTCTGCCAGGACTTTATAAGGAATTGATTAGTGGAGGTTAAAAATGGCTATGCCTAAAATATATAGGACAAGGCAAAAAGTTTCTCAGAATACAATAAATTCCAAATCTAGTTTCTCTTCCTTTGATAATTTAAGTTGAGCCTAGATAAAAGTATTTTCTAAACACTCTGTTTGCTCTTTCAGCCAAATCTTTTACATTATCATTTTATTTTATTTTGTTTATTTATATTTATTTATTTATCTTGAGACAGAGTCTCATTCTGTCACCCGGGCTGGAGTGCAGTGGTACAATCTCGTTTCACTGCAATCTCCACCTCTTGGGTTCAAACGATTCTCCTGCCTCAGCCTCCAGAGTAGCTGGGACCTCAGGCGCCCGCCACCACGCCCGGCTAATTTTTGTGTTTTTAGTAGAGGCAGGGTTTCACCATGTTGACCAGGCTAGTAATTCCTGACTTCAAATGATCCACCCACCTCAGCCTCCCAAAGTGCTGGGATTACAGGCATGAACCACTGCACACAGCCTACATTATCATTTTAGATACTTACTCAGTAAATTTGTTTTCTAACCACGGGCAAGGTCACATCCATCCCCGCTGTCACAGAGTCAGAATGGATTTCCAGAAACCAGCCTCACTCTTGGGATGCTGGCACAGATGCGTATGTCATTACCTTTGCCAGAAAGAGCCTTAAAGGAAACATTAGGAAAAAATATGCATTAGATCCCTAACAAGAATAGAAGCCACGTCTTTAGTAACATGTTACTTTAGATAAGTTTAGCACGCGATCCTTTCAAATTATTTTCATTATTGTAGAGAACAATAAAAAGGGTGTGGGTTCAAAAAAGAGTTTTCAGATGGGCCTTGGTGGAGAGGAACTGGCTGCTATTCAGCTAGGGAGTGTCACCTGAGTGAAATGTGTTCCCGCTATGCAGGCTTGCAGCCTCAAATCTGTGATTTTCCCATCCCCAATCTCCACATTTCAGGACCCTCAACACCAACCCCTATAAGTCTCCTAATCAGACACGCATAGTGCCCCCAATCACTGGCCTCCAATCTCCAACCCTCAGAGGTTTTCATAGTCACTGATATTCCCCTATGTTCAAATCTGACCAGGAGAGACTACAGGTCAGTAACTACAAAGAACACCGATCCGATCTGATTGCCAGTGAAATTACACAGCCCCCAATCATGAATCCACACTGATTGCCAATGATATCCCAACGACTGAGGATCAATTGTTGATTCTCACAGTCCCACTCCCACCCACAAGTGACAGTCCGAATCACTGAGCCTCATTGAGGCGTACCTTTAAGATAAGCACACTTGACTCTATTCTCCATTCCCTGATCTACAAAAGTCCAATCGTTAATACTCTCCGATCCTCCACCGATGATATGAAGTAAGTCTCAATCACCGATGGCCCAAAACATTTCTCCAAACATTCATCACCACTGACCTCCCTCATTTGAACCCCAAAGTTTCCACAATCACCAATTCCAGTACCCAAACTATTACTGCCCACAGAACTTAGAACCTCCGATCACTGATCCTCTCGGGCTCCGATCATTAACCTTAAAGATCTCTAAACCAGTGTCTGAAAAATCCCAACTGACCCCAGACCCATGAAGACCACTATTACTGACCCCATGCACCCTGAAAATCAAGACATTTCACAGAACTCGCATTTATTGATTCCCACACACTCCCAATCCATCTTCTTCAGAGACCGTGCCACTGACTCCCGCAAACCTCTGTCCGCCACCACTGAGGCCCCGCGAGGCTCAGACGCCGAATCTCTTAACCCTTCAGTTCCCTTGTCATTGACCCTCACGGGCACCCATAGCTGACCCAGTCGGCCACCGTAGTCGGCAGCTCACTATCCTCCACTAGTCCCAGGTTTGACCGTTTCTCAAACCGTGCCTTCCCATTTATGCTGCATCCGCGCCCTGAATCTGAAATTGGTCGTCCTGCCACGCCGCCTCACCGCGGTATAAGGTCGTCCCATCCTGAATGGCCGGTGCGCAGACTCAATTGCGACTTTGAGGCTGTCAGCCGCCACCCGGCAACCTTCCAGTGAACAGGATTCTGGGTTTCTCAAAGCTGTAATTGGAGGTATGATGGCGACGCCCACTTGACTCCTACCTGGGGCGGCCATGTTTAAAACTGTGCCGTAAAACGGATGATTAAGCCCTTTGCTAGACCAAAAGATAAGGCTATTTTAGGACAAGGAGAAGGAAGTGTCCCTGGATCCCTAAACAGAGATGTCGTCTCTGCTCTTAACTCAGCATCTCAGATGCCAAAACCTCCTGTGGCCAACATGGTGGCGCCCAGACATCAAAGCTGAGCTTTCTTTGTCTCCGGCAGCCTGGTAAGATGGCCGCGTACATTTTTACCGCTTCTTACGTGCAATGGGTGCAGCCTCTCCTAGGAGCTCCCCTATGGCAATGTGAAACTCTTTCTGAGCCAGCTCTAGGAGTTAGAGAGCAGCGAAGAGACTCGCTCTTAGGGAGACAGAGACAGCCTAAGGACGGGCGTGACTTCACGGAAAGGGCGGAGCCGCAAGGAAAGGGCGGGGCTGCCGCAGCGGGAAGAGATCAGAGTTCTTAGCGCATAATGGAAAGGAAATGTTGAAAGCAAGGTTTTTACCTAAGGAGGCTTGCCCGAGAAGCCGACCTGAGGAAAGAATGAGTGCAAGCAGTTTATTTGGTAGGTGGGGGATGGAGAAGTGAGACGGGAGCGATGGGAACGAATATACAGTGCATAGGTGAGCAGATTAGCTCTGGATCAATGAGGGCTCAGTCAGCTTGGGACCTCTGGGGGATTGTGTAGAAACCACTTCCAAGTTTTCACAACCACCAGGCCGATGAAGCTTACATATGTCTACACCATCTCTCTTCCTAATTGTTTTAGGGCCACTCCAGAGGTGTTAAAGCTCCAGCACTTCGAGCCTGCCTCGTGGGAAAGTCTTAGGCTGAGTCTGTAGGTGTCTGCAGTTAAGAAGCCAGCGGTCTGCATATGATTGCTCAGGGGTGGTGGCTGGGTCCAACAGCATTCACTACAGGCCTGCCTTGAATACCACCTAGCGCAGTGCTCCGCATATCACAGGTATTGGAACATCTCTAGAAAAGATTGCCTTGTCTTATGAAAATGGCTTTTTAAAAAAATCCTAATTCCAACTGGTCATCCTAGCAACTGATACAATAACTGACCTCAAAATGTTTCCCAATGATTCCTACCTCCTACTATTCACACTCTTATGTAGTTCCCTCCCACATTGTACCAGGGTTGGACTGTGAGACTAATAGAATGCAGTAGCAGTGATAGATGTCACTGCTGAGATTAAATATAATAAATGGCACCTTGAGTTCTGTCTTAAAGGCTGCTGCCCCCACTTTGAGAGAAGTTAGTTGCCATGTCATGAGGATACCGAGACAGCCTATGGAGAGGCCCAGGTAGCAAGGAACTAAGCCCTCCACCCAATAGCCTGGGAGTAGCTGGGGCCTTCCTATAACCAAGTGTATCACCCTTGGAAGCACATCTCCCAGCCCCAGTCAAACCTTGAGATGACAGCAGCCCCTGCCAATAGTTTGACTGCAACTGCGTGAGAGACACAGTCACAAGCACTCAGCTATAGCAGCTCCTATATTCCTCACCCTCAGAAAGTGTGTAAGATACTACATGTTTGTTGTTTTAAGCTTCTGAGTTTAGGGTAATTTGCTATGCATCAGTAGATAACTTCAATGCTGTGTTAAAATGCTACAATTGACATTTCTTCTTTTTTTTTTTTTTTGAGACGGAGTTTCGCTCTTGTTGCCTAGGCTGGAGTGCATTGGTGCAATTTCAGCTCACCGCAACCTCTGCCTCCCGGGTTCAAGCGATTCTCCTGCCTCAGCCTCCTGAGTAGCTGGGATTACAGGCATGCACCACCACGCCAGGCTAATTTTGTATTTTTAGTAGAGACGGGGTTTCTCCATGTTGGTCAGGCTGGTCTCGAACTCCCGACCTCAGGTGATCCGCCTGCCTCGACCTCCCAAAGTGCTGGGACTACAGGTGTGAGCCACCGCGCCCAACCCCATTTCTGAATTCTTTAAATAAAGTTCCTAAAGTTGCGAGATTATTCTGTCAGAGGAGATTATTACCAGTTTCCTCTTCTTCCTTGCGATGGAAAAATTAAAGGCCTATGGCTCTGCTAGATTTTTAAAATTTAACAAAGAGGTCAAGGGTCCTTGCTTCATTTGATTTAATATAAGTGGTTTATATGACAACACTTTGAAGTGATTATAGTAATTAATTTAAAATCACCATTTAGGCTGGGCATGGTAGCTCACACATGTAATTCCAGCACTTTGAGAAGCCAAGGTGGGCAGATCACCTGAGGTCAGGAGTTCAAGACCAACCCGGCCAACATGTTGGAACCCCGTCTCTACTAAAAATACAAAAATTAGCCGGCATGGTGGACGCCTATAATTCCAGCTGCTCGGGAGGCTGAGGTAGGAGAATCACTGAACCCAGGAGGTGGAGGTTTCAGTGGGCCAAGATTGTGCCATTGCACTCCAGCCTGGGTGAGACTCTGTCTCTAAAAAAACAAAAATAATAATATTGAAGTAAAATGAGTATTTATAAAGTGCCTATTAAATGCCTGATTGATCACTGGCCTGCTCACTTCAAGGGCTGTTCTTATTCTAGGATTAGACCAATAAAGCAGCCACAACTGGTAAATTGTCACTCATGAAGGCCGAGGGAAAGACAGCCTTTGAGGGTCTTTTGCTGGGAATTAAACGTTCTGCCTCAAAAACTATACATGTCATTTCCATTCACTAGTCTTTGAGACGTCACATGGCCACCCAGGAGTGTGATAGCAGACATGTAATCCTACCATAATTCTGGGATGGGAAGAGCTGGCGATATTTTGGAATAACATTAAAGACTGCCACAAACATTGTAAAGATAGTGTTATCATCACGCTTCAAAAGAAACTGCAACACGGGGGTGAGGTGACCTGTCCGTAATCATTCAGTGAGTAAATAAAGCAACAAGGATTCAGAGCTGGGTGTTTCTGTGTTATTCAGAAGTAAAGGATCATTAGCATCATTATTAAATTTTACCCAAAATTTATTAGAACCTAAATATATCTCAGCAACTGAATTGGGAAAAAGAAGACTGAGTACTCGAGTAAAAATAGAGGCTACTCAAGGAGCTGACCTCTTGATTGGGGAAGGAGTACACATGGAAAGAGGAAACAGGTAAAAGAAGAGTACACACTGTAGGACTCCAGTCATGAGAAACTCAAGAACAGGCAAAACAGATCTATTGAGTTATAAATCAGAAAGCAGTTGACTCCAGGGGCTATTTTTTTTTTTTTTTTTTTTTTTTCTGAGACAGAGTCTCTACTCTGTCTCCCAGGCTGGAGTGCAGTGGTGAGATCTCCATCTCGGCCCACTGCAACCTCCTTCCAGGTTCAAGTGATTCTCGTGCCTCAGCCTCCCAGGTAGCTGGGATTACAGGCATGCGCCATCACACCCGGCTAATTTTTGTATTTTTAGTAGAGATGGCGTTTCACCATCTTAGCCAGGCTGGTCTCAAACTCCTGACCTCAAGCGATCCGCATGCCTCAGCCTCCCAAAGTGCTGGGATTACAGGCGTAAGCCACTGTGCCTGGCTGGGGCTATGACTTCGAAGATAATTTAGGGGGTGAGGAAAATGTTCTATGTCTTGTTTTATGTGGTAGTTTCATGGGCCTACGTAATTGTCAAAGACTCATCAAAGTGAACACTTATTTGTGTTATTATATGTAAATTATACCTTCATTTTTAAAAGAAAAAGCATACTATTCAGAGTATTGAGTAATGATGTGGGCCAGGGAACAGAGGGAGTGAGAAAAGAAGTAACAGAACTTTATCATAGTCTGCAGAAAGATAGGACCCTGCCAAGGTCATCATTAGCATTTATGGCCTATGACAGTGTGATTCCTCTAGGCAGAGGAATTCGAGAAAGGAGCCTCTAGGCAGACTAGCTCCAAGGCTCTGGGCTAACCCAACCTGCAGTGACCATCAGCTCTCACCTGTTCCAGTGAGCTTATGCCTATAGGTCCAAGCCTTGAACTAAATGTGGTGGCCCTAGACACTGTCATCATTTAAAAGGGTACAGGGCCCCAAATTTGGCCTAAAAGGAGGCACAGCGCTTCCTTGCTCTGGAGCAGAAAGGACCTTACCTGGGCCTGAGTGTTGTTTGTTGTGGGGGAAAGAAAAATAGATCAGACTGTTATTGTGTTTATGTAGAGAAAGGAAGACATAAGAAACTTCATTTTGATCTGTACTAAGAGAAATTCTTCTGCCTTGAGATGCTGTTAATCTGTAACCCTAGCCCCAACCCTGTGCTTGCAGAAACAGGTGCTGTATTGACTCAAGGTTTAATGGATTTAGGGCTGTGCAGGATGTGCTTTGTGAAAAATGTGTTTGCAGGCAGTATGCTTGGTAAAAGTCATCACCAATCTCCAGTCTCGAGTACCCAGGGACACAATACACTGAGGAAGGCCACAGGGACCTCTGCCCAAGAAAGCCTGGGTATTGTCCAAGATTTCTTCCCATGTGATAGCCTGAGATATGGCCTCCTGGGAAGGGAAAGACCTGACCATCCCCCAGCCCGACACCCGTAAAGGGTCTGTGCTGAGGAGGATTAGTGAAAGAGGAAGCCCTCTTTGCAGTTGAGATAAGAGGAAGGCATCTGTCTCCTGCTCGTCCCTGGGAATGGAATGTCTCATAAAACCTGATCATACATTCTATTTACCGAGATAGGAGAAAACCGCCTTGTGGTTGCTGAGACATGCTGGTGGCAATACTCTTTACTGCACTGAGATGTTCGTGTAAAGTTAAACATAAATCTGGCCTACGTGCACATCAAGGCACAGCACCTTTCCTTAAACTTATTTATGACACAGAGTCCTTTGCTCACGTTTTCCTGCTGACCCTCTCCCCACCATTACCCTATAGTCCTGCCACATGCCCCTCTCCGAGATGGTCAACATAGTGATCAATAAATACTGAGGGAATTCAGAGACTGGGGCCAGCGCGGGTCCTCTGTATGCTGAGCGCTGGTCCCCTGGGCCCACTTTTCTTCCTCTATACTTTGTGTCTTATTTCTTTTCTCAGTCTCTCGTCTCCACCTTGCAAGAAATACCCACAGGTGTGGAGGGGCAGGCCCCCTTCAGTTTGTTGCTGTTTTTTTTTTATTTTTATTTTTTGGTGTTTTGTCTGGTTTAGTTTGGCTTTTTGGTTTTTTTTTTTTTTTTTTTTTTAGAGACAGGATCTTACTCTGTTGCCCAGGCTAGAGTGCAGTGGCACAATCATGGCTCACTGCAGCCTTGAACTCCTGGCCTCAAGTGATCCCCCTGCCTCAGCCTCCCAAGTAGCTGGGACTACTGGTACACACCACCATGCCCAGCTAATTTATTTTTATTTTTATTTTTTTGTAGAGATGGGGTCTTGCCATCTTTCCCAGGCTGTGGCCTGAGTGTCAATAGGGCTGTATCTTGGCATGAGTGTAGGGTGCTCTGGATCTGGGTGGGATGTGACCATCTCCTGGATCAAGGTTGACCGTGGAAGTAGCCTGGGATGAGGAGAGGCCACAGCCCATCCTGTCCTCAGAGTATGTGGAGGCAGGAAGAGCACCGGGGCAATGGGTGAAACAAGTATCAAAGTATAATTTTCAAAAACTTATAATTTTTAACTCTTTTACAGATATTCAAAGATTCATTTCACTTATTAGCAAGGGCATTGGAAATTGATTTCCAAGTGAACAGGTATATACCTATCTTCAGTGAAAAACAATAGAATCTTCGAATAAGATTGCAAAGTTAGATATAAAACTATTTAATATCCCTACAGGGCAATAAAACCATACCTTTAAGGTTATTTCTTCCACACAGAATCAATTTGTAGCTATACCAGATGAATATATGAAAATGCATCAATTGTCTGCTGGGCGCGGTGGCTCACGCCTGTAATCCCAGCACTTTGGGAGGCCGAGGCGGGCAGATCACGAGGTCAGGAGATCGAGACCATCCTGGCTAACATGATGAAACCCCGTCTCTACTAAAAATACAAAAAATTAGCCAGGCATGGTGGTGGGTGCCTGTAGTCCCAGCTACTTGGGAGGCTGAGGCAGGAGAATGGCGTGAACCCAGGAGGTGGAGCTTGCAGTGAGTCCAGATCACGCCACTGCACTCCAGCCTGGGCAACAGGGTGAGACATCTCAAAAAAAAAAAAAAAAAAGAAAAATGAAAAATGCATCAGTTGTCTGCAAGTTAACATCTATTTTTACACCACCTACATCCTAATAAATAACAGTCAATCAAATAAAGGTTCATTACACCAGAGCAATGAATTCTCAACCTGGGGCAGTTTTAAGCCCCAGGGGACATTTGGCAATGCCTGAAGACAATTTTGGTTCTCACAATGATGGGGGTAGGATACTACTGGCATCTAGTGGGAAGAGGCCAAGAATGCTTCCAGCCACTCTGTGTTGTAGAGAACAGTCCTCTGTAACAAAGGATTATCTGGCCCAAAATGTAAACGGTGCTGAGTGTTGGAAAACCAGTCCCTAGAACAGTTTGTTAGACTGTGCTGTAGTATGACTTTGCAAAGATATATGGGATAACAAAATAATATTTTTTCCTTATTTCCTAGTTTCATGAGTGGTGCAAGGTTAGAGATATCCAGGGGCACACATGCTTGTATCTTGCCACAATGTCAGGCTTTTATTGATGCTAGTTCAATAACAAAAGCCATGAGCTATGTGGAGTTCCCAAGGAGGCATTCTCCTTAGTACTTCCCCTTCACTCCAGAGGCAGAGCCGCAGGCACACAGGTTCAAGATACTCCAGAAGTCAGTCAATACTGCAAAGCATATATAATAGTGTACTTTTTTTTTTTTTTTTTTTTTTTTTTTTTTGCGGGGGTCAGAGTCTCACTCTGTTGCCCAAACTGAAGTGCAGTGGCGTGATATCGGCTCACCACAACCTCTGCCTCCTGGATTCAAGTGATTCTCCTGCCTTAGCCTCCCGAGTAGCTGGGAGTATAGGCACCACCATCCCCAGCTAATTTTTTCTAGTTTTAGTAGAGATGGTGTTTCACTATGTTGGCCAGGCTGGTCTCGAACTCCTGACCTCATGATCCGCCTGTCTCAACCTCCCAAAGTGCTGGGATTACAGGTGTGAGCCACTGCGCCTGGCCAATAGTGTACTTAATATATAAACATTCTTGGTCAAACATTCTACAACAAAGTAACATTTAATATCAAGAGGAAAAAGAGATAGGAGAAAGGGTTAAGGAACCAGTCCATGGGCAAAGACAAAAGAGGTCCTAGTCTGGACTAGGCAGTCCATCAGTCTTGCAAGAAAGAGTTTTTGATGTGGCACAGCCTTCCACAGCAGATGCCAAGTTCTTATCATGAGTAACTACAAGATAGTGTCAGTTAAGACGGCCGTTTCAAGCTGCTGAAGCCCTAATCTTTTATAGTCACAGAGTCCTCTGGTGAGAACTGATGATGGAAGAATGTGCTTGTTCATGTCCTTAACTGGTTGGATGCAGTCTTTATTCTTTTTTTTTGTTTATTAAGCAAAACATCCTGTTGGCAAAGTGTTCTATGAAAAATGAAATGGAGTCTTTTTCTAAGATGGAGTTAGGTATGTCAAAGGTGCTCTATACATCTAGTTTTTGATAATTTATTATTATTATTATTATTTGAGACGGCGTCTCACTCTGTTGTCCAGGCTGGAGTGCAGTGGCGCGATTTCGGCTCACTACAGCCTCTGCTTCCCAGGTTCAAGTGATTCTCCTCCCTCAGCCTCCTGAGTAGCTGGGACTACAGGCACACACCACCATGCCCGGCTAATTTTTGTATTTTTAGTAGAGACTGGATTTCACCATGTCGGCCAGGCTGGTTTTGAACTCCTGACCTCAGGTGATCCGCCTGCCTCGGCCTCCCGAAGTGTTGGGATTACAGGCATGAGCCATGGCGCCCAGCTGATAATTTTTCTTAACACCAAATTGGCAAACTGCTGATAATTGCTGAATTGGTGTAATTAATACATGATGATCTATTCATATTTTTTCTCTGTTTTTATATATGTCTGATTTTTTTCTATATTAAAAAGTGAAAAGAAAAAGAAAAAAACAGTAGATTCTAGTCTGTTAGCTTATGGTCAATGCTATCTATAAGTGACCACAATTAAAGATCATATTAGGAAATAATATTTAAGTCTAGAGGTTCCTTTTTTATGACCTGATCTCCATACTCGGTTCATCTCCAGTTGTTCTCAATTCTTTTTTTTTTTTTTTTTTTTTTGAGACGGAGTCTCGCTCTGTTGCCCAGGCTGGAGTGCAATGGTGCGATCTCGGCTCACTGCAACCTCTGCCTCTCAGGTTCAAGCGATTATCCTGCCTCAGCCTCCCAAGTAGCTGGGACTACAGGTTCCTGCCACGATGCCCAGCTAATTTTTGTATTTTTAGTAGAGACGGGGTTTCACCATATTGGCCAGGCTGGTCTCGAACTCCTGACCTTGTGATCCACCCGCCTCAGCCTCCCAAAGTGCTGGGATTACAGGCGTGAGCCACCACGCCCAGCCTGGTTGTTCTCAATTCTAACTACATCTTAAAATCACCCAAAGAGATTTTTAAAATCCCAATTCTTGGGCACCTCCAGAAATTCTGGTTTGATTTTCCTGGGGTAAAGCCCTGTTTTTCTTTTTTTCCTTTTTATATTTCACCAGGTATGGGAAGCTTTGGATTCATAAGCTCAGTAAATTAAGGAATTTCACATTATGAACTCAATTTGAGATGGGTTGGACTGGTGATACCTGGAAGGGGTAAATGAGAACCCACTCTGGAGGCACTTTACGCCTGAGGGAGCATCCACAAATAATTTTTCAGGTACAGTGACCAGCAAGTTGTCACAGATATCCAGCATGCAAGGGAACAGAACCACATGAATGAGATCAAATAGAAACAACAGATAGTATAAGCAGATTCATCTAAACAGAGTAGCTTTGAACTAGAGATGTTGCTTTGGTTTGGGTTCGAGGCCCTCATTCAACTTCTCTTAGCCCACAATGGTGAGTCTTCAAGAAATACGAATATACATTACAGTTGCAACTAGCCCTTGTTATCTGCTGGCACGTAGATACCATTGCATCATAGAACCTACCCCTGCCTCCAAAGTCTTTATAGGAGCTGCAGTAGTTGCCTCTGTTTAGATTATGGGGTTTATTTCCCACTCTGTCCTCTATATGTGGTAGTAGATATTGTTTATTTCTAATCAGCACTAATTTCTACCTCTTTTTGCGCTCTTACCTTTGTTTCAGGGGCTGGAAACCTAACAATTTCACTTCCTAGACAACTTGCTAAAAGTCACCTAAAGACAGTCTGGTTACTGCCAAAGATATGCTTTCAAATAAGATTTGGATAAAGAAGGGAGGTAGATGCCTTTTTTCAGCAGTGGAGTGATGTCTAGACCAGTAGATGTACGCATCTAAGTGAATTCATCACCAGCAACAATTTCCAGAAACTTCCTGACCTCCAGATTGCAGCTTCATTAGTGTGAGTTTAAAGCCAACTAGATGCCATTCTCAGATTCCACGCATATGGCCAAGGGTCCAGGAAATAAGAAGAAACAGGTTGAGGGGTTGGTGTTATGGGGCATTTACTTGAATTTTCTATGCTATAATTGTCTCATCTTTAAAACGGTGATAATAATAAAATTGTCAGTTATTAAATAAATTAACACAGTGAAAAAAAATTTCTTCAAGGTTCTTTCTTTTTGCTTTCATTAACAGTTTCTCAAAGCCTTTCCAGTTTCTGCCCATTCTCATGTGTGAGGTTTTTCTTATGGGCATATTCTACTTTCAGTTTTGTTTGTCCAACCTCATCAAACTTCATCCTTAAGATTGATGTATTTTATTTTATTTTTATTTATTTATTGAGATGGAGTCTTACTCTATCACCAGGTTGGAGTGCAGTGGCGCCATCTAGGCTCAATGCAACCTCTGCCTCCCAGGTCCAAGCAATTCTTCTGCCTCAGCCTCCTGAGTAGCTAGGACTACAGGCACTCACCACCACACCCAGCTAATTTTTGTATTTTTAGTAGAGACCGGGTTTCACCATGTTGGCCAGGATGGTCTCGATCTCTTGACATTGTGATCCGCCTGCCTGAGCCTCCCAAAGTGCTGGGATTACAGGCGTGACCCACTGTGCCCGGCCTATTTTATTTTAAACTACATACATAACTCATACCACAATAAAACTGATTTAAAGTATATGGCACTTATAAAAAATAACTATACCTAGTATATAAAAACATATAGAAGATTTTAGTTTTGGCAGAGGATTGAAACTATTGTAGAAAAAAAAAATGGGCCAGGCATGGTGGCTCATGCCTATAATCCCAGCGTTTTAGGGGGCCAAGGCAGGTGGGTCACTTGAGATCAGGAGTTCAAGACCAGCCTGGGCAATATGGTGAAACCCAGTCTGTACTAAAAATACAAAAATTAGCCGGGTGTGGTGGCAGGTGCCTGTAGTCCCAGCTACTTGGGAAGCCGAGGCATGAGAATTGTTTGAACCCAGGAGGTGGAGGTTGCAGTGAGCTGAGATTGCACCACTGCACTCCAGCCTGTGTGACAGAGTGAAACTCTGTCAAAAAAAAAAAAAAAAAATCCAAATGGTGATTTTCATTACTTTCAAATAACTAAAAGGACAATGGATGTAAAGATCAGATTACACACAGGGAACAAAAAGTTAATCAAGTGGAAAAGAGGACATGAATTCTGTAATAGAGTTTCAGGAGAAAATGAGGAGAAAAAAGCTAATACAGGCACAAGGTATATAATAATTAAGTCTTACTTTTATTAAATCAGGGTCCTGGAAGGAAAAGAGATTCAGAAGGTGCAGAAAATACTGGAAGATTAGAAAACTGGTAGATGAAAAGAAGGCACACTTTTTTGGTAAATGAAAATAATATATTTTTATTATTTTTATATTTCATTTGACCATCATTAGTTATGATTTTATAATAGTTCCTAACATCCTCACTATGGATTACTCTTTTCTTTTCTTTTTCTTTTGAGACAGGGTCTTGCTCTGTCACTTAGGCTGGAGTGCAGTGGCACCATCTTGGCTCACTGCAATCTCAACCTGTTGAGCTCAAGTGATCCTCCCACCTCAGCCTCCCAAGTGACTGGGATTACAAGCACGTCCCGCCATGCCTGGCTAATTTTATTTATTTTTTGTAGAGATGGAGTCTTTCTATGTTGCCCAGACTGGTCTCAAACTCCTGGGCTATTTGGTTTTTTTTTTTTAATTGACAAGGGCATACTTTCAAGAAACATGTCTCTGATGGGCGCAGTAGCTCATGCCTATAATCCCAGCACTTTGGGAGGAGGCCGAGGCAGGTGGATCATGAGGTCAGGAGTTCAAGACCAGCCTGGCCAACATGGTAAAACCCCGTCTCTACTAAAAATACAAAAATTAGCCAGGTGTGGTGGTGCACGCCTGTAATCCCAGCTCCTCAGGAGGCTGAGGCAGGAGAATTGCTTGAACCCAGAGGCAGAGGTTGCAGTGAGCCAAGATCGTGCCATTGCACTCCAGCCTGTGCGATAAGAGTGAAACTCCATTTCAAAAAAAAAAACCACATTTGTTAAAAGGCTAATGAAAAGGAAATCATAACTAAGATGAGAAGAAATCTGCTGAAACCAAAAACAAAGAAGCTTGCAAAGTTTTTTTTAAAAAAAAAAAAAAAAAAAGGACTTCTCAATGGAAATCAGTGGAAGCCAGAAGATTTAGCACTCTTAGGAAGTCACATACAGTGAAAGAAGAACTGGATATCACTCAAGAATAAAAAGGGGCTGGACGCAGCATCTCACGCCTGTAATCCTAGCACTTTGGGAGGCCAAAGGGGGCAGATTGCTTGAGTCCAGGAGTTTAAGGCCAGCCTGGGCAACATGGTGAAACCTTGTCTCTACTTAAAAAGAATAAAAAGGACTGGACTCCAGAAAACTCTCTCCAAACCAACTATTTTGTCATTGCAGTAGTCTCTCATTGGATCATTGAATGACATAATTTACTTTTCTTTTTTTTTCTTTTTTTATTTTTTATTATACTTTAAGTTTTAAGGTACATGTGTACAACATGTAACTAATTGAATGAAGAGAGTAGAGGATGAGTTACAAAAAGGAAATGATCTCTGTGAGTTTTTTAAGGCAGAAGACTTGGTAGATGATACCATAGATTAACAGAATATATACAAAAATGGAAAATGAAGACTCTAAGTTATATTGACCACAAATAAAGTTGGCATCCAAGCACAGAAAAAAAAAAAAAGAATAAAAGGGAAAGTACAGATGAAATAACAGACAACATGAATTAGAAGGCCAGGGATGGCTGTGGTTGGATATATGTTTTGTTTTGTTTTGAGACAGAATCTCGCCCTATCGCCCAGGCTGGAGTGCAGTGACGTGATCTCAGCTCACTGCAACCTCCACCTCTCAGGTTCAAGCAATTTTCCTGTCTCAGCCTCCCAAGTAGCTGGGAATATAGGCACCCACCATCACACTCGGCTAAGTTTTTTGTATTTTTAGTAGAGACAGGGTTTCACCATATTGGCCAGGGCTGGGCACGGTGGCTCATGCCTGTAATCCCAGCACTTTGGGGGGCCGAGGCAGGCGAATCACAAGGTCAGGAGATCGAGACCATCCTGGCTAACACAGTGAAACCCCGTCTCTACTAAAAATACAAAAAATTAGCCGGGCGTGGTGGTGGGCACCTGTAGTTCCAGCTACTCAGGAGGCTGAGGCAGGAGAATGGCGTGAACCCAGGAGGCGGAGATTGCAGTGAGCTGAGATCGTGCCACTGCACTCCAGCCTGGGCGACACAGCAAGACTCCGTCTCAAAAAAAAAAAAAAAAAAAAACAAACTCCTGACCTCAAGTGATCCACCTGCCTTGGCCTCCCAAAGTGCTGGGATTACAGGCATAAGCCACCACGCCTGGCCTCAGTCATTCTTTAATTGCAAAACCTTACTTGTTCAAAAGACACACAGAAACAGAGGAATACACACACATGAATGAAGCTCCATCACAGATATGAAAGACAAAGAGAGAAGGACATGTTAGGAAAGGCTGGAGGCAATGCAGGAGAAATCACTCCCAATAGCCATGTGGATCCTGGATGTTTGTGCAAGAGTGGTGAATTTTCCATAAAGGCTACGGTTTTAGTTAACAATACCATCCTCAAATTACTCTCCTTTTCTGCATGAATGGACTGTGTTCAGTTAGGTGCTATCATTAGGGGAAGGAGAAAAAGGAGTTATAAGCACCTTATTTAACCTCTTTCTGCACCTCTTGTCAGTCTAAATGAGTTCCTCAGGAGGTTTTTGTGGTTGGGTGGTGGTGTAGTCCTCTTGTTTTTAAAAAGGTGACCCCTTAAGAAGGGAGGGGCTTCATAATCCCAAAGCTATTATACTGAACAGGAAAAATTAAAAGCCTTTCCTCTAAGGACTGGAACAAGACAAAGACGCCATTTTTACTTTTTTTTTTTTTTTTTAAACAGAGTTTCACTCTTGTTGCCCAGGCAGGAGTGCAATGGCACAATCTCAGCTCACTACAACCTCCACTTCCCGGGTTCAAGTGATTCTCCTGCCTCAGCCTCCTGAATAGCTGGGATTACAGGCATGCGCTACCATGCCAGCTAATTTTGTATTTTTTAGTAGAGATGGGGTTTCTCCATGTTGGTCAGGCTGGTCTCGAACTCCTGATCTCAGATGATCCATCTGCCTCAGCCTCCCAAAGTGCTGGGATTACAAGCGTGAGCCACCATGCTCGGCCCATTTTTACCACTTTTATTCAACATAATACTGGAAGTCCTACCCAGGGCAATTAAGCAAGAGAATGAAATAAAGGACACCCAAATTAGAAGGAAAGTAATCAAATTGTCCTTGTTTGCAGATGAAATGATCTTATATTTAGAAAAACCTGAAGATTCCACCAAAAAACTCTTAGAACTATAAACAGTAAAGTTCCAGGATACACAATGAACACACAAAAATCAATAGGATTTATCTATGCTAACAGCAAGCAATCTAAAAAAGAAATCAAGAAGTTAGTTCCATTTACAATGGCTACAAAGACAATGAAATCCCTAGGAATAAACTTAACCAAAGAAGAGAAAAATCTCCACAATAAAAACTACAAAACACTGCTGAAAGAAATAGGACACCAAAACATGAAAGGATATTCCATGGCTATGGATTAGAAGAATTAATATTGTTAAAATGTCCATATTACCCAAAGAATCTACCAATTAAATGCAATACCTATAAAAATATAAATGACATTTTTCACAGAAATATTAAAAGTAATTATAAAATTCACTATGGAACCCCAAAAGACCTTGAATAGCCAAAGAAATCCTGAGCAAAAAGAACAAACCTGGAGGTGTCACACTACCTGACTTCAAAATATACTACAAAGCTATGATAATCAAAAGAGCATGGTACGGGCATAAAAACAGATATGTAGACTGATGGAACTGAACAGAGAACCCAGAAATAAATCCGTGAAATTAGTGCCAACTCATTTCTATAAAGGTGCCAAGAACATACATTGAAGAAAGCACACTATATTCAACAAATGGTGTTGGAAAAACTGAATATGCATATACAGAAGAACGAGACTACATCCCTATCTCTCACCATACATAAAAATAAACTCAAAATGGATTAAAGACTTAAATGGCAGACCCAAAACTATAAAACTGCTAGAAGAAAACATTGGAGAAGTGATCAGCAAATTGGTCTGGGCAAAAATTGTTTGGGTAAGACCTCAAAAGCTCAGGAGACAAAAGCAAAAATAGACAAATGAGATTATATCAAGCTGAAAAGGTTCTGCACAGCAAAGAAAACAATCAGTAGAGTGAAGAGACAACCTACAGTAAGGGTGAAAATATTTATACACTAGACATTCAATAAGGGATAAGCAAAATATATAAGGAACTTAAACAATAGCAAAAAAATCTGATTTTAAGATGCGCAAGGGATTCGAGTAAACATTTCTCAAAAGAGACATACAAATGGCCAATGGGTATATGAAAAAATGCTCAACATCACTAATCATCAGGGAAATGCAAATCAAAACCACAATGAGATACTATCTCACCTCAGTTAAAATGCCTATTATCAAAAGATAACAAGTGTTGGTGAGGATGTGAAGAAAGGGAATCCTTACACACCATTGGTGGAAATGTAAATTAGTATGCTATTATAGAAAACTGGAGATTTCTCAAAAAAACAAAAATAGAACTACCATACGATCCAGCAATCTCATCTCACTGCTAGGTAGACATCCAAAAACAAAACAAAACAAAACAAACAAAAAAGGAAATCAATATATCAAAGAGATATCTTCACTCAAGAGGGTTAATTGACTCACAGTTCTGCATGGCTGGAAGGTCAGGAAACTTACAATTATGGTGGAAGGTGAAGGGGAAGCAGGCACCTTCTTTATAAGGTGGCAGGAGAGAGAGAGAGAAAGCAGGGGAAACTGCTGCTTTTAAACCATCAGATCTCATGAGAACTCCCTCACTATCACGAGAACAGCATGGGGAAAACCGCCCCCATTATCCAATCATGGCTCAAACCATCCTTCTACCTCAGACTCCAGAGTAGTTCAGACTACAGGCTACAGGCACATGCCACCATGCCTGGCTAATTTTTGTATTTTGTATAGAGACGGGGTTTCACCATGTTTCCCAGGCTGGTCTCAAACTCCTGAGCTTAAGCCATCCACCTGCCATGGCCTCCCAAAGGGCTGGGATTCCAGGTGTGAGTCACCGCACCTGGCCAGATTAGTAGTTTCTTAGCTATGATACCAAAGGCATAAACAAGAAAAGAAAAAATAGATAAATTAGAGTATATCAAAATTAACAATTTTTTTAGTTGTTTTTTATTTTTTGCTTCAAAGGGCACTATCAAGAAAGTGAAAGGAAAGTCTACAAAATGGAAGAAAATGTTTGCAAATAGCATATCTGACAAGGCCCTTGTATTCAGAATATACGAAGACCTCTTACAGCTCAACAATAAAAAGGCAATTCAATTTAAAATTGGAAGTGGATTTGAATAATCACTTTTCCAAAGAAGATATACAAATGGCCAATACACACACGAAAGGATGTGCAACATCATCAGTCATTAGAGAAATGCAAATAAAACCCATAAGTAGTACCACTTCACACCCACCAGCTTTTGTATCCACTTGCCAGTCTATAATCCATGTTCAATAACTGGCTGCCTGGTGAATACAGCTCACCTCAGAGCTGTTCATGAGCATAGGATTTATACAGCACAGTCACACGATATGACATAGGCAGTTTTTATTTCCTTAACTACTTTCAGACACTATGTGGCCAGGCGCGGTGGCTCATGCCTGTAATCCCAGCACTTTGGGAGGCTGAGGCAGGCAGATCACGAGGTCAGGAGTTCGAGATCAGCCTGGACAAACTGGTGAAACCCTGTCTCTACTAAAAATACAAAAATTAGCTGGGCATGGTGGCGGGCACCTGTAATCCCAGCTGCTCGGGAGGCTGAGGCAGGATAATTGCTTGAACTGGGGAGGCAGAGGTTGCAGTGAGCCGAGATAGCGCCACTGTATCCAGCCTGGGCAACAGAGAAATGCTCCGTCTCAAAAAAAAAAAAGAGACACTAGGCTATAGCTCAGATTCCACAAGTATCTCTATCTAAAGGATATGAATGAGTGAATGAGGCAAAATAGGGAAGAGAAGAAGGGCTTTATTTATTTATTTTTTTTTTTGAGATAGAGTCTCGCTCTGTTGTCCAAGCTGGAGTGTGGTGGCGCAATTTCGGCTCACTGCTACCTCTGCCTCCCAGGTCGCGGTTGAAGCAATTCTCCTGCCTCAGCCTCCCGAGTAGCTGGGATTACAGGCACACGCCACCATGCCCAGCTAATTTTTGTATTTTTAGTAGAGATGGGGTTTCACCATGTTGGCCAGGCTGGTCTTGAACTCCTGACCTCGTGATCCACCCACCTTGGCCTCCCAAAGTGCTGGAATTATAGGCATGAGCCACCGCGCCCAGCCGGGTTTTAATTTTTATCTACTGCTTTAACTTTCACTTCAGTGTGTTGGAGTGTGGTGGACAAGCACTCTTCCTCACTCTGCCATCCTGTTTCTGTTGATATTTTCAACCATTCAGCTATGGATGTCTGAAGCCTCTCTTTGACAGTGATAGACAATTTCCTTGATATTCTTAATTGCTTATTTTTCCATTGACTTATAAATGAGAAAAATATAATAAAAATGGGAAGCTATCAACAAATTCTGCTGGATATTGATTATAATCACAGTGACTAAGTTAGGCATCCATTTTAAAATCCAGAGTTACTATGTATTTGTTTCTGTATGCTGCCTATCTGAAGTAAATTTCTGTCTCTACCGCTTGCTTCTACTGTAACAGCCTCATGCCATTTCCCTTCCTGTTTCCTTTCACAACCCCCAGTATATTTTATAAAATAATAACTTTTACTAAATACTGCTGTAAATTTAACATGTATTATGACAAATGCATGTAACAGTTCTAAAACAAAGAATTACCTCCCTTTAACATCTGAGAAAATTGAGTTCAGAAAGGATAGTAATTGGCCCACAAAAATTCTGGACACTTAGTACACAAAGGGAAATTAACAAATCATGGTGCATATACAATGGGGTCCTGAAAACAATAAGAATGATGATGGGAAAATTAGGCTTATAAAACCCTTAGCATAAAACGTCATTCTCAAATGAGTCAAACATGGAAAGATAGTCTTAAAATTGTTAACAATGGTTGCCTCTGCAAATAGACCATATATAAGCTTCTTTCTGAAGAAAATGGTGGATACAGGAATACCAGTGGCACACCTTGGGAATAGTAAAAAAGTAACTGACAGGGCACAGTGGCTCACGCCTGTAATCCCAGCACTTTGGGAGGTCGAGGCAGGCAGATCACCTGAGGTCAAGAGTTCAAGACCAGCCTGGCCAACACGGCAAAAGCACATCTCTACTAAATATACAAAAATTAGCTGAGCGTGGTGGCGTGTGCCTGTAATCCCAGCTATTTGGGAGGCTGAGGCAGGAGAATCGCTTGAACCTGGGAGACGGAGGTTGCAGTGAGCCGAGATCATGCCACTGCACTACAGCCTGGGCGACAGAGTGAGCCTCCATCTCAAAAAAGAAAAAAAAAAAAAGAACTGATAGAAGCAAACATCATTTAAATATTCTTTATTTTTTTGCATTATGAAATAGTTTATACAGAAAGATACAGAGAGTAAGAACTGACTCATATACTCACAGCCAGCTTTATCAAATTTTAAGAATTGGCTATACAGTATTTGCTTATTTTTAAAAGAAATGAATAATTAAAGGTATTTTCATTTGCATCCTTTCCCCAATCTCAGTTGTCTTTCTCCCTGCAGGTCACCACTGTTCTGAATCTGATGATTATTTTATTAATTCTTTTAGATCCTTTT
This sequence comes from Homo sapiens, assembly GCF_000001405.40. NCBI lineage: Eukaryota > Metazoa > Chordata > Mammalia > Primates > Hominidae > Homo > Homo sapiens. Next base: position 37,488,389 of record NC_000019.10, on the reverse strand, counting down.
TATATAGTATTTAGCCATGACAAAAATACATAACACTAATTTGCATGTTTTGAAATTGTACGTTATACTGTATTATATAAAATAGTCTGTAGTTCAATTTCATTAATACTATTTTTGAGGTTTACCCATGTTGACAGAAATATCTCTAGTTATTCATTTTAGTTTGCATTCTATCTTGTATTTAACCTAATGGTTAGATTGCTTTCAACTTCTCATTCTCACAGTTCTGCAATGGACCATCATATGTATCTCCTTGAAACACGAGGAGAGACTATGTAGAGGTTTAAACATGGAATTGCTGGGTCAAAGATTATTCACATCTTCAACTTTACTAGACATTGCCAAATTATGCTAAACACAACTACTTCCTATAGCACCGTATGAGTGTTCCTATTGCTCCACATCTTTCCAGTAATTGGCACTCTAATGCTTTTGCCAATGTGATGATTTTGAACTAGTTCAATGTGATTTTATTTTGCATTTCCCTTACTACTAGTGAATCCCCTTACTACTAGTAATACCCCCAAATCCAATCTTTCTCTCTACTGGTATGAACCATCATCATATGCAGTTTCTACAAATAGATTCGAAATTTTTCTTGCTGCTCTTAAGAATTTATACCTCATAAATTTCAGAACAAACCTGTGAAGCTAAAGGGCAAAACAAAAACAAAAACAACAAACAAAAAAAACCACTGAAACATTTTGGCTGGAATTGCAGTAAATTTGATAATTAGGAAGAATCGCCAACTTTATTATATTGAGTCTCTGCAGTCTAGGCTATATAATGCTCCTTGATTTAGTTTCTTGTTACTCTTCCGTTTTCTGCGTTTAGAAAATCTACTGTTTTATATTTAAGTATTAATTACATGTCTCCACCTCTGGAATTTTACTCCATGAGAATGTGGCCTTTGTATTGCTCACTGTCATTTCCTCATACCTAAAACAGTGTCTGACAAACAGTAATTACTCAATATTAACAGAATGAATGCCTATATTATTTGTGTATCTATCTGTTTTCTTCCCTTAATCCCCTTTTGATTTCAATTTTGCAACCACTGGATAAATAATTTTAAAACTTTACATTTTTCTATAGTATGGAACACTTTACATGCCTTCTAAATTACCCGAATTTAACCATACAATTAGCTGGGGGTAGTGCTTTTTTTTTTTTTTTTTTTTTTTTTTTGAGATGGAGTCTTGCTGTATTGCCCAGGCTGGGGTGCAGTAGCACGATCTCAGCTCACTGCAACCTCTGTCTCCTGGGTTCAAGCAATTCTCTTGCCTCAGCCTCCTGAGTAGCTGGGATTACAGGCGTGCGCCACCACACCTGGCTAACTGTTATATTTTTAGTAGAGATGGGGTTTCACCATGTTAGGCAGGCTGGTCTCGAACTCCTGACCTCATAATCCACCCACCTCGGCCTCCCAAAGTGCTGGGATTACAGGAATGAGCTACTGCACCTGGCCAGGGTGTGGTGCCTATTTAAGGGGATCACATGAATTTCTATGTTTATTGATTTTTTTTGGTTAATTGTGACCATTTCTATTCCTTCCTTGATTTAAATGTAGGTTCTGCATTCTTCCCAGTGAATTCTATTTTTCTTAATTGGCTTATCCAATTCATTATCTGTAGAAACTTCCTAAAACTGGCTGTCAGTGTTATAGTTCCACTACCTGACTTCATAACAACTACTAAGCTACAGTACAAAGACTGCCATTTATGTTCTAACATTTTTAGATTTTCCAAATTCTGAACTGGTGTTTTGCAGGAATGCTCCACTTTGTCCAATAAGGAATCTTGTTTTGTGAGGAGTAGATGAGTTAATATATGTAGAGTATGTAAGACAGTGCCTGATGTGTAGTGGGCACTCAATACATGTTAGCTATTATCATTTATTGAATATCTGCTATATTTGACAGACTATATGAAGTATTTTACATGCAAATTTCTCATTTAATATGCATCAATCTACAACAGACACTATTTCACTTAATACTTACATTTCTACAGTACAGTATCCTATATTATTCCTATTTTAAGATTTAAAGAAAACCCTGAGGTTTAGATAAGCAAATTGCTCAAAGTCACGCAATGCCATAGTAGTGTTGGAGCTATGATTTTCCAGAATCTAAGCTCTTAGTCCTGGGAAGTGCCTAGTGCCCAAAGAAGAAGACTGGAATAAAATAAGGCTGAATGGTGTGTAAGAACCAAATAACAAAAGCCTTGCAGACAATTTTAAAGGCTGTGAATATTAGTCTAAGAACAATAACAAGCAAAAAAAAAAAAAAAGTTTTAACTGGAGATAGTAACATGTGTTTTCTTTTCTCTTCTTTTCTTTTTATTTTGAGACGGAGTTGCAGCCTTGTTGCCCAGGTTGGAATGCAATGGCGCCATCTCGGCTCACTGCAACCTCTGCCTCCTGGGTTCAAGCAATGCTCCTGCCTCAGCCTCCAGAGTAGCTGGGATTACAAGTGTGCACCACCACGCCCGGCTAATTTTGTATTTTTAGTAGAGATGGAGTTTCGCCATGTTAGTCTGGCTGGTCTCAAACTCCTGACCTTGGGTGATCTGCCTGCCTTGGCCTCCCAAAGCGCTGCGATTACAGGCATGAGCCATCACACCCAGCCCATGTGTGTTTTCTTATTCTTTAAAAAGAACACTTTGAGGCTGGGCGTGGTGGCTCATGCCTGTAATCCCAGCACTTTGGGAGGCCGAGACAGACAGATCACTTGAGATCAGGAGTTCAAGACCAGCCTGGCCAACATGGCAAAACCCCATCTCTACTAAAAAATACAAAAATTAGCCAGGCATGGTGGTGCATGTCTATAGTCCCAGCTACTCGGGAGGCTGATGCATGAGAATTGCTTGAACCCTGGAGGCAGAGGCTGGGAGTCAGAGGTTGCAGTGAGCTGAGATCGTCCCACTGTACTCCAGCCTGGGCAACACAGCAAGACATTGTCTCAAAAAGAAAAAAAAAGAAAAAAAAGATCCGTTTGAGTGCATTGTGGGAAATGGATTTAAAGGTAGCAAAAATAAATACAGGAAAACCTGTTTGAAAGCTATATTAGTAATCAGAGTGAGATGAATCAGACCAAGGTGACAACATTAAAGATAAAAAACAGTATAAATTCTAGAAACATTTAGGACTCAGGATCTATAGGACTTGGTGATTGACTGGGTTGGGTGGTGACAGTGACTCCCCAATGTGAATTCTCTGGTGATGAGCAAGGTGTGCATGCTGCCTGAAGGTTTTTTTGCATTCCTTACATTCATAGGGTCTCTCTCCAGTATGAATTCTCTGATGTTGGGCAAGGGATCCACAGTAACTAAAAGCCTTTCCACAAACAGTACATTCATAAGGTTTCTCTCCAGTATGAACTCGCTGATGTTGAGTAAGGGACGAGTCATTGCTAAAAGCCTTCCCACATTCAATACATTCATAGGGTTTCTCTCCAGTATGAACTCTTTGATGCTGAGCAAGGTAGGCAATCTGGCTGAATGCTTTCCTACATTCCTGACACTTATAAGGTTTTTCTCCAGTATGAATTCTCTGATGTTGAGCAAGGTGTGAATTCTGGCTAAAGGCCTTCCCACATTCCTTACATTCATAGGGTCTCTCTCCAGTATGTATTCTCTGATGTACAGTAAGGTATGCACGAAGGCTAAATGCTTTCCCACAGACATTACATTCATAGGGTTTCTCTCCTGTATGAACTCTCTGGTGTTGAGCAATGGATGATCTGTTGCTAAATGCTTTCCCACATTCGATACATTCATAGGGTTTCTCTCCCGTGTGAACTCTCTGATGTTGAGCAAGGTAGGCAAACTGGCTGAAGGCTTTTCGACATACCTTACATTCGTAAGGTTTTTCTCCAGTATGAACTCGCAGATGTTGAACTAGGTGTGCATTCTGACTGAAGGCTTTCCTACATTCCTTACATTCATAGGGTTTTTCTCCAGTATGAATCCTCTGATGTTGAACAAGATTTGATCTCTGGCTGAAGGCTTTTCCACACTCTATACATTTATAGGGTTTCTCTCCAGTATGAATTCTTTGATGAAGAGTAAGGGATGAACTCTGGCTGAAGACTTTTTCACAGTCATTACATTTCAAAAGTTTCTTCTCTGCACAGACACTCTTGGGCTTAATAGCCATTAAATTTTTTTTAAAGCTTCTCTTTTGTGTGTCATGTTTATGTACTTTCTCCTCTTTGGGGATTATCTTTTGTGTACAAAGCAGTGGGTTCTGATGAAAACTTCCCCAAGATTTATATTCTTGTTCTCTCTCATCAAAAAGGGGTTCTTCATGAGTGATTATCTCTTCCTTGAAACACGCCTTCTGATTACCTGGTTGCCTTTCAAAATAGCCCTCACATTTCCACTCTTCTCTCAAACTGGAGTATTCAAGGTTATAGCTTGTAAGTGTTTCTATTATCTTCTGGGATTGATGTTCTTCATAAAAATCCTGCTTTGGGGTTAATTCTTCAGTCTCACATATAGGCTCCCAGCCTGAAAAGTAATAATAAGAAAAAATGTCTCCTCTATTGAGTATCAGAAAGTACATTTAATAAAGTACATCTGTAAAGTAAAATATGTGAATTAAATAGCAAAACCCACAGGAACATTGGCTTTTGCAGTTCTGAAGTGTACAAGAAGAGAAACTGAAAACAGGTCATACAGAAACCTAAGAAGGAATGATTAGAATTATAAAAGAAAAATCAGTAAATCTCAGGGCAGAAGAAATTAGAGATGTGGTCAGAGTTGGTTACAATTTTATGCCTGTATTCATAAAATAGACACTGAAACAGTCTCCATTCTTTTAGCTGCTTCATTCAAGAACATTCACTGAACAAATATTTACCTTTTGCCAGATACTGTTCTGATGCTTTTAATATCACAAAACAAAGATCTTTACCTTCAGGGATGTTATTTTCTTAGAAGAGACAGAAAATAAGTGATAAATAAGTAAATTTCATTTTATGTTAGAAGATACTACGTGCTTCAGAGAAAGAAAATCAGGGTAGGGGATGTCATGGATACTGATGAAATTAGAGCTAGGAATCATTAACAAGTTAACATTTAAGCAAAGATTTGAAGAAAGTGAAAAAGTCAGTCAGTCATTCAAGTCTCTGGGGAAAAAGCATTCAGGGAAGAGGCAGCAGCTGGTTCAAAGGCCCAAAACTAGAAGCATGTTTACTATGTCTGGGGAATATTAAGAAGGCCAGTGTGGCTATAGAGTGAGTAGTAGGATATAAAGTCAGGAGGTAAAAGGTAATGAGATTATTTAAGCTTCACCGGCCTTCTAAAGAATTTGGCTTCTACTCTGAGAGGGACGGTGTATTAGAACATTTTCACGTTGCTGTAAAGACACTACCTGAGACTGGGTAGTTTAATTGACTCACAGTTCTGCATGGCTGAGAAGGCCTCGGGAAACTTACAATCATGGCAGAAGATGAAGGGGAAGCACGCACCTTCTTTACAAGGTGGCAGGAGAGACAGAGAGAGGGAGAAAGGGGGGGAGGGGGAGAGAGAGAGAGAGAAAGAAAGAGAGAGAGAGAGAGAGAGAGAGAGAAAGCAGGGGAAACTGCCACTTTTAAACCATCAGGTCCCTTGAGAACTTCCTCACTATCATGAGAACAGCATGAGGTAAACTGCCCCCAAGATCCAATCACTTCCCACCAGGTCCCTCCCTCAACACATGGGGATTACAATTCAAGATGAGATTTGGATGGGGATCCAGAGCCAAACCGTAACAGATGGTAATACAGCTCCATCCAAATCTCGTGTTGAAATGTAATCCCCAATGTTGGAGGTGGGGCCTGGTGGGAGGTGACTGGATCGTGGGGGTGGAGTCCTCACGAATGGTTTAGTACCATCCTGTTGGTAGTGTCATGATAGCGAATTCTCATGAGATCTGGTCCTTTAAAAGTGTGTGGCACCTCCCCCATCTCTCATGCACTCCTGGCTTTTGCCAAGAGATGTGCCTGCTCTCTGTTCACCTTCTGCCATAATTGGAAGCTTCCTGAGACCTCCTCGGAGGAAGATGCCGCTATGCTTCCTGTACAGCCTGCAGAACTGACAGCCAGTTAAACCTCTTTTCGTAGAAATTACCCAGTCTCAGGTATTATATTTCATTATAGCAGTGCAATGGCCTAACACAGATGGAGACCCATTGAAGTGGTTTGAGTAGAGGAGTAATAGCTGGTTGCTATTCCATGAAATCACCACAAAATGTGGTATATACGTACAATAGATTATTCAGCCTTAAACGAGGAGGAAATTCTGACATATGCTATAATACAGATATAACTTGAGGACATTACAGTAAGTGAAATAAGCCAGTCACAAAAGGACAAATACTGTATGATTCCACTTATATGAGGTACCTAAAGTAGTCTGGCAATACAGCAGACTAGTTATAATGACAAATCTTCCTGGTACAAAAAAGCTTACAATTTTGTAGAAATAGAAAAACTTTCTTTTAGCTGCATTACCAAGCTGGCAAGAAATTAAGGTAAACTCTCAGAGGTCAAACAGACTGTGGAAGGCACTTTCAAGTAAGTAAGGTGGAACTGAAGCTGGGAGCATCAATTTATCCCTGGTGAGTCTGGTCTTAGGCACATGTAACTGGAGTTTTAAGAAAAATAAACACAGAGAATGGGAAAGTGACAATATGTGAAGAGATAATAGCTGATAATTACCCAGAGTCCATTAATGGTCAGATAAAAAAAATCACAATAAATCCCAACTACAGCAGCTGAAATTTACATCTAGATACATCACATTGAAAATACAGAATAACCAGGGCAAGAAGAAGAAAGTTCTTAAAAGTTGCAAGGAAGAATATATTAATGAAAACTGACTTCTCAAAAGCAAGAACAGAAGCCAGAAAAGCATGGAATGGTATCTTTAAAGCACTCATAAAAATAATCTGTCACCGGGCACAATGGCTCACGCCTGTAATCCCAGCACTTTGGGAGGCTGAGGCGGGCAGATCACGAGCTCAGGAGTTTGAGACCAGCCTGGCCAACATAGTGAAACCCCCATCTCTACTAAAAATACAAAAAATTAGCCAGGCGTGGTGGCACGCCCTGTAATCCCAGCTACTCGGGAGGCTGAGGCAGGAGAATTGCTTGAACGCGGGTTGGGGAGGTTGCGGTGAGCCGAGATTGCACCACTGCACTCCAGCCCGGGTGACAGTGCAAGACTCCATCTCAAAAAAAAAAAAAATCTGTCAATCTATGACTGACAGAGAAAGCTTCTTCTATGCATGACAGCAAAACTATCATATAAATGAACAAAACATAACAACAATAAAAGTTGATATGAATAGTATATAAATATTTATAAAGAAGTTACTTCAGGAAAAAGTTCTGGGACAGAATGGTGAACAGGGAAAATGACAAACATGGATAATTTTTTGTTTTGTTTTTTTTTTTGAGACAGAGCCTTGCTCTGTCACCTAGGCGGTAGTGCAGTGGCACGTTCTCAGCTCACTGTACCTTGAACTCCTGGGCTCAGGCGACCCTCCCACCTCAGCCTCCCAAGTAAATGGAACTACAGGCACACACCCCATACCCAGCTAATTTTCGCATTTTGTAGAGACGGGGTTTCACCATGCTGCCCAGGCTGGTCTCAAACTCCTAGACTGAAGTGATGCACCTGCCTTGGCCTCCCAAAGTGCTGGGATTACAGCCATAAGCCACCACACCTAGCCAAAAGTGGATAAATCTAAACAACACTAAATATAATATGGTCTAAATTAAATAAATATAATAATGGTCTATTATACAACTTCATAAAGCAAAATAATAATTTAAGAAAAGCAAGGAATAACTGAAATGAGGGTAAGTGAAGTTAAGACAGTCTAAGGTTCTTGGTGTTTTGTTTTGTTTTGTTTTTTGAGATGGAGTTTTGCTCTTGTTGCCCAGGCTGGAGTGCAGTGGCACGATCTTGGTTCACTGCAACCTCCACCTCCTGGGTTCAAGCGATTCTCCTGCCTCAGCCTCCCAAGTAGCTGGGACTGCAGGTGCATGCCACCACGCCCAGCTAATTTTTGTATTTTTAGTAGAGACGGGGTTTCACCATGTTAGCCAGGCTGGTCTCGATTTCTTGACCTCGTGATCCACCCGCCTCGGCCTCCCAAAGTGCTGGGATTACAGGCGTGAGCCACCGTGCCTGGCTACGTTCTTGTATTTTTAGTGGTCAAATATAAAGATTAGAATTAATTTTAGGTTTTGTTAAGGTGACTATAAATGTTAGATTTTCTAAGGTAACCAGTACAGAATAGAAATAGATTGTAAAACATTCAAATTAGGAGATGGAGAAAAACCAAGAAATAAGAAAAATTTGAAAAGGCACAATTTATAAAAGAAAGTGAGGTAGTGGAAAATAAATCCAAATCTATTAATAGTACCAAAAAATTTAACTGACCACCACCATCATTTGGTTAAAAGATAAAGGTTATCAGACTGGATTTTAAAAAATGTTTATCCAAATACTGCTTATAAGAGAAACACACAGCAAGCCGGAGAATAAAGGAGTAGGAAAAAACTACATCAAGTAAATATTAACAAAAGGCAAATATAGCTATAACAATATTAAGTGAATTCTTTTTGCTTAATCAGATAGTCACTAGAATTAAAGAGAGTAACAATAATATAAGAATTCACTAGAAAAATAAAACATTCTAAAAACATATGACCAAATGAAATACCTTCAAAATATAAAAAAAACTGCTGTTACAATTACAAGAAAAAAATTTATGTATTTACCACCAGAGTAGAAGTTTCTTTAACATGTCTCTCAGTAATTGATGGCTCAAAGACATTTTTTTTAAATTCATAAGGACACAGAAGATTTGACCAGCACAGTTAATGAGCTTAACCTAATGAGCAAATATCAAACACTGTATTCAACAACCAGAAAATACATATTATTTTCAAGGACACAAAGAATATTTACCAAAACTAGCCCTAAGAAATAAAGCAAGTCTCAAAATACTTTCAATAAATGTATATTGAAGAGATCCCATTCTCTAACCATAATACAATTAAACAAGTACCAAACAAAAGCCTTCAATTTCAAACTTCTAAATAATTCACGGATCAAGAAATCATTGAGAACCAGAAAAATAATGGACAACTTCATCTAATAAGTTTGAAAACTTACATCAAAACTAAAAATATTTAGAAAAAAATACCCTAATTGCCTCTAGGAGAAATAGAAAACCTAGAATTTTAGAACATATCAAATTGAATGATTAGTTTAAATTCTTTTAACAATAAAAATTCCAAGCCAAAATGAACAAAGTTCTACCAAACATTCAAAAAACAAATAATTTTTATTTTACACAAATGTTTCTAAAGAAGAAAAAGAGAATTTACGAGACTAATCAACCTTGATTCCGAAATCTGACAAGAAAGGAAAACTGAAGATCAAATTCACTAATAAATACAGATGCAAAACACCCAAACAAAATATTGGCAAACAGCAACTAGCAAAAAGTGGAAAAGATATAAAGATGGGTTTAACTTGGGAATGCAATGTTGGTTCAACATTTGAAAATGTATGTAATTTACCACATTAAGATGTGAAAAACTAAAACCTATTAAGAGGTAAAAATCACCCACAGATGGAGAAAAACATTTGTTAAAACTCAAAAGCTTTCCACAATGAAACTCTAGCAAACAGGAATGAAAGGGTATGTACCAAAACTTTTAAGCATCAAAATTATTAAAAAACAAAATGCTAAAGTATTCTTATTAAGACCGGAAGTGGACAAGAATGCCTGTTATCACTACTTCGATTCATATTATACTGGAGATACGACAAAGGCAACAGAAAAATAAATTAAGGTATAAGAATTGAAAATGAAGAAACTACCATTATTCACAAATATATCTACTCATACATAAAATCCAAACATATTTAAAAATATTATTAACAGGAGAGATTGGCAAGGTTGCTGGATATAAGGCCAATGCATACGAAGTTAATTTCATTTCTATATATGAGCAACAAACAGAAAATATAGATAACATTTAACACAGCAACAAAACTAATATGTTTAATGTTTACAATTTAATCTAACAGAAGATGTGCAAAGCCTTTTTTGGAGAAAATTATAAAACACTGAAAAAAGTGAAAAAACCTAAATAAATGGAGAGCTATACCATGTTAATGAATTTTTAAAATTTCCAGAATTGATTACAGAATAAATAAAATTTGAATCAAAAGTTAAAATTTGAATCAAAAGTTAACAGCATTTTGTTGTTTTCTGATAGAAATTTACAAGTTGACCCTAAACTTTATATTGATGTCCAAAGGGCAAACAAGAAATTCTAAAGAATTTAAACAAGCTGTAGAGATTTTCCCTAGCAGATAATTATCCTTCTAATAAACTATTTTTATTAAGACAGTGTGGTACTGGTATAAGGAAACAGAGATCAATGAAACTGAATAAAGCTTAAAGTCAAACCCATATATAGACTAAAACCTGGTATATTAAGAGGTAACATTCAGAAAAACAGGCAGAGGGAACACTTATTCAAAAAATATCTGGGACCTTTGGTTTTCCATAAGATACAGAAATTAAATTCTTATTTAAAATAATCCTCAAAAATAAGTTCCAATTGGATTATGGACCTACATATAAAAGGACAATCTTTAAAAGACTATTTTCAGATATCTATATGAACTCAGAACATAGAAAGGTTTCTTAAAGTATCAAAAACATAAGCTACAGGCTGGGTGCAGTGGCTCACGTCTGTAATCCCAGCACTTTGGAAGGCTGAGGCTGGCGGATCACCTGAGATCAGGAGTTGGAGACCAGCGTGGCCAACATGGTGAAACCTCGTCTCTACTAAAAATACAAAAAAATTAGCCAGGCGTGGTGGTGGGTGCCTGTAGTTCCAGTTACTGGGGAGGCTGAGGCAGGAGAATCACTTGAACCCAGGAGGCAGAGGTTGCAGTGAGCCGAGATCATGCCACTGTACTCCAGCCTGGGCAACAGAGCGAGACTCTGTCTCAAAAAAAAAAAAAAAAGTTACAAATACACACACACACACACACACACACACACACACACACACACACACGACAACCTCCCCCACAATGAGCACCTTAGGAAAAATCACACATGCAACCTGTTTTTCCTTTTCTCTCGCACCACAACAATAAACACAGAAGGCTTCTGTGACTGAATGTGGGGGTTTCTCTCCACCAACAAGCAAGCAATGAATTCTGCAGTGGGTGTCCTCTACCTCAGCTCTATTTTGATACTGTCTACCTGGAGATAGCATCAGATCCCTCAGGTTGAGGACTCAGTCCCCAAGGCTGCCTACACTTCTGATGCTCTGTAGAGCTCAAAAATTTATAAGAGGCCAGGCACAGTGGTTCATGCCTGTAATGCCAGCACTTTGGAAGGCTGAGGCAGGCAGATCACGTGAGGTCAGGAGTTTGAGACCAGCCTAACATGGAGAAACCCTGTCTCTACTAAAAATACAAAAATTAGCTGGGCGTGGTGGCATGTGCCTGTAATTCCAGCTCCTGGGAAGGCTGAATCAGGAGAATTGCTTGAACCCGGGAGGCGGAGCTTGCAGTGAGCCGAGACTGCACCACTGCACTCCAGCCTGGGTGACAGAGCGAGACTCTGTCACAAAAAAAAAAAAAAAAAAAAAAGTTTATAAGACTACTACAAGATTTTTTAAAGACTGAGAGGCTTATGAAACTGAGAGGGGATGGGACTTGTTAGAAAGGAGATAGGAAAGTAAGAGAAGGGAAATAATTAAAAATAACAAATGTGGGAGAACATCCTAAATGGCCCCAAATTTTTATGAAAACCTAGAACATTTGAGAAGAATTTGGAAGCCTGAAGAGTGAAGAGGTGATACCTTTGAGTCAAGCTGAGCTGTCACGTGCAAAGATTTTTGCCAATTTCCTCTTCACTAACCTGAGCACAAGCCTTTTGTCAGCTCTCTCTTCACCATCCAGGGTGCTTTTCCTTGTTCCAACAATAATATCACACTTGGTTTGGAAAAGCAAAGTCCTGCAAATACGAAAAAAAAAAGTAGAGTTTTGTCATGCTGTGGATATTCCAGAACTCACATTCAATCCTTAGCTCATCAGGGAAAAGGGAGTTTACAGTAAGCAAAAAGAGAAATGTGTAAAGGACATGTATTAGAAGGATAAGGAAGATGAAGCTTCAGGCACAGGCCAAGAATATGTTCACTGCCAAATCCACAAACACTAAGCCATTTGTTTGGCATAGGCAGCAGACATTCAGCCAAATTTTGCAGATATTATCCAAAAATTCACAATAGTGGTAGCAAAGAGCCCCTTTTGAGCAGAAGCTCAGTTTTGCAAGAAGATATCCTTACCCAGTGATACCAAGATCCTGTAGTTCTCTAGCATCACATTACTGTACAGATGTCTTTGAGAAGAATCCAGACAATCCCATTCCTCTTGGGAGAAGTCTACAGCCACATCTCTGAAGGTCACCAACTCCTGAAATGAAATAAATGGAAGAACCTTATCTCTTACCATATTCACCTCATTTCCTCTGCCCTAGGCACACTGGGCTCTCTCTGATATTACATCCTCAAATATGTAACCATGTTATCATATTTGTACTCAGGGCCTTTGTATATCTCAGATTATTCCAGTATAAAATAGCACTGCTTCCACCCCAATTCCCTATTTCCTAACCCTCCTTTATTTTTCTCCACTGCACTTAATTATTTTATTCATTGCCTGTTCTTCACCCTCCTCAACTAAAATTTAAGCTCCATGAGGGCAGAGTATGTTTTGGCTTTGGTCACTGCTTTATCCCCAGGTACAGAATAGAACCTGGCACATGTGAAGTATTCAAATTCTGACTCAGTTGAATTAATCAATGAGTGGTTTGAAGAAAATTTCAAGAAGCTAGAAAGGGATCAAAAACAATACCAGAAAGTATTCACTGTATCTCTGAAAACTGTGCTAGACCAAGCAGAGCAGAGCATCAATTCCATTAAAATTCAAATACTTTAATCCAGAGTTCCCAAAATTTTGTGTAAAGAAATGGGTGTTCTACTCATAATATTGCTTCTGCCTACAGGGGTTAGAGAAAGTTCTTAAAAACTTGACACTGAGCTGGGCTCACGCCTGTAATCCCAGCACTTTGGGAGGCCAAGGCAGGTGGATCACCTGAGTTTAGGAGTTTGAGACCAGCCTGGCCAACATGGTGAAACACTGTCTCTACTAAAAATACAAAAATTAGCCAGGTGTGGTGGCACATGCCTGTAGTCCCAGCTACTCCAGAGGCTGAGGCAGGAGAATCGCTTGAACCCAGGAGGCGGAGGTTGCAGTGAGCCAAGATTGTGCCACTGCATTCCAGCCTGGGCGGCAGGGCGAGACTCCATCTCAAAAAAAAAAAAAACAAAAACAAAACAAAACAAAAAAAACTTAATGCTGCTGTGATGCCACTGGATTCCAGGTTTCTATAATGTGACCACTTGCTGATGAAACAAACATACATTATATGTGTATGTATTAATTTAATTTTTTACAAAATTAAAAGATGTGAACCTGTCAATGCAACCTTTTGCATTTGACACAATTTTGTTACAGTTAAAGAAACTGTCTCTAGGCTGGGTGAGATGGCTCACACCTGTAATCCCAGCACTTGGGAGGCCGAGGCAGGTGGATCACTTGAGGTCAGGAGTTCCAGAACAGCCTGGCCAACATGGTAAAACGCTGTCTCTACTAAAAATACAAAAATTAGCTGGGCATAGTGGTGCGCACCTATAATCCCCGGTACTCAGGAGGCTGAGGCAGGAGAATCGCTTGAATCCGGGAGGCAGAGGTTGCGGTGAGCTGAGATTGGGCCACTGCACTCCAGCCTGGGCAACACAGCAAGACTTTGTCTCAAAAACAAAACAAAACAAAAGAAACTATCTCTACAGAAGCAAAATTCTTCAAGTTCAATGCTCAGTCACCTTTTTTCTTACTTAATTATAGGAAGTAGGTAAATCTCTCCCTCTCTGCTCCTGCTAACAATGCTTCCTAAAATGTTTTCCTTAGCTTATATAAATACATATAATAAATGTATAAATATTTATATATGACATACATATTTTCCACTGATTCTTGATAGTCAACAAAAATAATTTCTATGTCAACATAGGAGCTTAAATTCTGATCTTAAAATATTTGACCCCTAACAAATACTTGGTTTCAAAATCCATTCACAATTATCATTAAACCAGTCTGAAGCAAAACTACAGTTCCCACTTTTTCCTGTTTTCTTTCTGCCCTTAAAGAAACATGGCTTCCAGCTGAGAGAACGACTTCCCCTGATGCCCTATCACTGATGAATGTTTTATTCCCCACATTCCTTGTACCACAGCACCTGAAGGTGAGGCAGGTCACCTCTTTGCTCTTATTTCCAAACCATTTCCTCCTCCCTAAAAGACATCTAGTTTTAAACCTCATGAAATTAGGATATGTCAATCACAATCCCTCCTTGTGATATATATCTACTAATTTCTGATAGACACCAGTTCTCTGTCAGTCCTTAAATTCTTCAGCACCTGACTCACTGTTACTCTCTTCAATGCCATTCCTATCATTCTTTGGTCACTTCGATATCCACATAAATAATACTCCCCACAACCTCGCCTCTTAGTTCTCTGACCCCTCTCTCCTGGAATAGTCTCATCCTCTACGCTTCTACAGTCATTCATTCCCATGGTCATAACCCAGACCTTGTCAGTACCAGTCAGTACCAAACCCTTCATAACCTCAATTATCCCACTCTGACTTCTACCTCCTATACCTCAACTGTTGCCCTATGATACCCCAAACTGGATAGTTATTTGACTCCACCAGAAATCAAATTCTGGAGAAGTACAATTCACTGATCTTACCACTTTTTGCCACTTTTTCACTGTTCCTCATCCCCGAGTACCCTCACTTCCCAGCACAACCACCTGTTATAATCACCCCCTGCATATGCCCTTGTCTTCTCTGCCCCTCTCTCACTTAACTGTACTCACTTGGTTAAACCACAGCCATTTTTCTGCTTACTCTGTGCCTGTATCCTGCATAGCTGAACTCTGCTAGAGAAAATCATACCAACCATGCTAAGCAGTCTCACTTTAAATTCATGATCACTTAACCTCAAGTGGGCGGAAATGCTGCATGATACATTTCCCTAGTCCATTCATCCCTTCACTCTGCTAAATGACCATTTGATACTGTCCCCTCTCACCTCACACCTTCAAGATCTCCTTCCCCATGCTCACTCTCAGCTGATAATCTTATTTTCTCTGAGAAAACAAAACCCATTGAAAGATAATTCCCACAAACTCCCACCACATCTACACTTCCACCTGCACCTGTGCTTGTACACCCTAACATGCCCTTATTCCTATAACTGAACAACCCACTTTCCTAGAAAAGGCCAAACACTTAGCTCCTCTCACCTACTTAAGCACATTGTTCCAGCAATTCCTTTTTCTCTATTCATCTTCAAATTTCCCTTTCTACTGAATCTTTAACATCAGCCTGCCAACATATATCCATCTTTCTGAAACTTTGTCAGTTATGACTTTCTCCTTCAGTTACCACCCATTTCTTTCCTTCTTTTTTTTTTTTTTTTTTGAGACAAAGTTTCACTCTTGTTGCCCAGGCTGGAGTGCCATGGCACCATCTCAGCTCACCGCAACCTCCACCTCCCAGGTTCAAGCGATTCTCCTGCCTCAGCCTCCTGAGTAGCTGGGATTACAGGCATGCGCAACTACGCCCGGTTAATTTTTTGTGTTTTTAGTAGAGACGGGGTTTCTGCATGTTGGTCTGACTGGTCTCGAACTCCCGACCTCAGGTGATCCGCCCACCTCGGTCTCCAAAGTGCTGGGATTACAGGCGTGAGTCACCGTGCCCAGGTCTCTCCTTCTCTTATAGCTAAACTTTTTGAAAGAGTTGTCTATGCTTTCTATTACTTCCACCCACCCCCGCCTATAAATAATGACATCATACAACTTATGTATTAACAAGATCACTTTGGCTGCTCCATTGAGAACAGACTAAAAAGAACAAGAGTAGAGGTAGAGAGAGAAGTTAGGAGAGTACCACAGTAACACAGGTGAGAGATGATGGTACAGAACATAATGGAAGCAGTGGTGATAGTAAAAAGTTCTCTGGGCCGAGTGCGATGGCTCATGCCTGTAATCCCAGCCTTTGGTAGGCCGAGGCAGGCGGATCACAAGGTCAAGAGATAGAGACCATCCTGGCCAACATGGTGAAACCCTGTCACTACTAAAAATACAAAAATTAGCTGGGCATGGTGGCACGTGCCTGTACTCAGGAGGCTGAGTCAAGAGAATCGCTTGAAGCAGGGAGAGGCATAGGTTGCAGAGAGTTGAGATTGTGCCACTGCACTCCAGCCTGGGTGACAGAGTGAGACTCCATCTCAAAAAAAAAAAAAAAAAATAGTAGTCTGATTCTGGATGTATTTTGAAGTCTCTAATTTCCTGATAGAAGATGTTTAGCTTAAGCAATGGAGCCAGGAAGTACGTTAAGAGTTTCCTAGTTGAGTTCCCTAATTCTATCCTTGTCCCATTCAGTTTACTCTCAGTAGCAACCAGAGTGATGCTACCAAAATGAAAATCAGTTCATGTCACTCATGTTCCAAAACCGCCAATGGCTCATTTCACTCCATTTGTAAGATGTTTGCATTTGACATATCTCTTATGCAACCAAATGAAGATGTAGGCAGTCAGGTATACAAGTCTAGAGTTCAAGAGAGAGGTCTGGGCTGTACACAATTTGGTAGTTGTTGGCATATACATGGTATTTGAGGCTATGAGACAGGATGAGATCACCAGGGTAGTAAGTGTAGAGAACAGGATGAGGGACTAAGACCTGCGACACCCAGTGGTAATGGGTGCTTACTAAAAATTAGAATGAATGAACGTTTTTGGTTAGAGACTAGAGTGAGGAAGTTGGTCTGTATCGGGTATCTGAGGGAACAGTATCCCAGGCAGAGAGAATAGCAAGTGCAAGGCCATGCATTAAGAATGCATGGGTGCAGTGGCCGGGTGCGGTGGCTCACGCCTGTAATCCCAGCACTTTGGGAGGCCAAGGCGGGCGGATCACGAGGTCAGGAGATCGAGACCATCCTGGCTAACATGGTGAAATCCCGTCTCTACTAAAAATACAAAAAATTAGCCAGGCGTGGTGGTGGGCGCCTGTAGTCCCAGCTACTTGGGAGGCTGAGGCAGGAGAATGGTGTGAACCTGGGAGGCAGAGCTTGCAGTGAGCCTAGATCGTGCCACTGTACTCCAGCCTGGAGACAGAGCAAGACTCCGTCTCAACAAAAAAAAAAAAAAAAAAAATGTACTCACTGGCCAGGCATGGTAGCTCACGCCTGTAATCCCAGCACTTTGGGAGGCCGAGGCAGGTGGATCACCTGAGGTCTGGAGTTTCAGACCATCCTGGCCAACATGGTGAAACCCCGTCTCTACTAAAAATACAAAAATTAGCTGGGCGTGATGGCGCACACCTATCGTCCCAGCTACTCGGGAGGCTGAGGCAGGAGAATCGTTTGAACCCAGGAGGTGGATGTTGCCGTGAGCCATATTGCGCCACTGCACTCCAGCCTGGCAACAGAGTGAGACTCTGTCTCAAAAAAAAAAAAAAAAAAAAAAAAGAATAAATAAGAATGTACTCACCACATTACAAGGAAGCTAGTGTTGCTGGAACTGAGTGACTGAGTTAAAGACAGGATGAGAAAAATTAGATGAAGTCAGAGGGACAGTCAGGGACCAGATTATGCAGGGCCCTGCAGGTCAAGACAAGGACTTACGCGTTTATCTTGAATAAGATGGGAATCCAATGGAGAGTGTTGATAAGGGACATGACTGGTTACCCAGAAACGTTTCAGCAGAAGGAAAATTAGTACCTGCTTGTTTTGAAAAGCAGACAGGTATTCAGGAAATCGAGAAAACACCAACACACCTGGTACATGGCTTTAAGAAGCCCAACAGCCATTCTTTCTTCCTCCTGGCTCTTCTCTTGGGAAATAGCAGTGGCCTCAGATGACTGAGATGGGGAAAAGAACATGAGAAACTAGACTTTTCTTGCAGCATCCAGAATCACCAGTCTAGACTTTTTAGGATTCTCTTTCCTCCTCTTGCAACCTTCCCTCCAATAGAGAGAGCATAATGGAGACCTAGGAATTTGTTTGCATACAATTTAACTGATGCCTAAATCATTTCCCAATTCCTTAGGTTAACAACAGATGTTCTAGGCTTTACAAATACAGACTCAGAGGAATGTAAGTTTTCACATAAAGACACAGAACTAACAAATAAGAGCACCAAGATCAAATAAAAGAGGACCTGACCCCACAATCCTCCTCTCCAATAAATCAGTGATTCTGAAACTTGGTGGCACATTGATATGACTTGGGCTGGCTTTAAAAGCCTCTCCGTGGCACACAGTCTCTCACTCAATCCCCCACATAATCAGAGTCTGAAAAACTACAGTGCCAACCACCGTCTTACCCACGCCACAGTCAGAGGCCATGGGTATGGACTGCCTCACACGGGCACCCTTTCCCATACCGGCAAGGCTCAGCCACCAGGGTATCTATCACAAGCGACAATCTCACAACCCAGTCACAAAGAAGCCGCGGGTATCGGCCCAACAAGGTGCAGCGAACAGTCGCCCGCTCCCGCCTCAACTCACAGCCTCACATTCCACGGTGCCATTGACTTCCTCGCACCCAGTCACACAGGACGTGGACAGGCACACGGGGTGACAGCCTCGCACTGAACGGTACCAACCTCCACTCGCACCGGAGTCACACAGATGGCCTGCGACGAGCTTCCGGAGACCCACACGCCACTCCTCAGCCCACTCCCGACCTGCAGAACAGAACTGGTGGAAGATCTCCTTCCTGCCCCGAAGGCTCGGGGAATCTGCACTCGGGTCTCACCGCTACCCTTAGTTGGATGGAACCCAGCCCTTACGGGCCCGGAAAGAAGCGCCTCAGCTGCCTCCGCCCCCGGAGGAC
The DNA here is from genome assembly GCF_000001405.40 of Homo sapiens. Lineage (NCBI taxonomy): Eukaryota > Metazoa > Chordata > Mammalia > Primates > Hominidae > Homo > Homo sapiens. Next base: position 37,469,327 of record NC_000019.10, on the reverse strand, counting down.
ACAAAGGGGCCGCCGGCCCAACTCCCGCGGGGTCCGCTGGGAAACGTAGTCCGGAGTAGAAAAGGTCGCGGCGTCGCAGTGTCTGGCAGCAGCGGTGCAGCTCCGCGCAGGGTTTGTAACACGGCCTCCTCCCCACCAGGTCCTCCCACACTGGCCTCTCCCCGGCCTTCCAGAGAGCCCGAAAGTCCGGATTCCCTGCAGCTCCGAGCCTGGCCCGGTCACAGGGACGGGGCCCAGCGTCACACTACACGGGCTGGTGTGGAAGTGCGCAGGCACAAGCGCTCTGCGCGCCTCCCTTAGCAACCAGGGCGGGGAGTTGAGAATCGCAGGTTGGCCGCAGGGAAAAGGTTTGTGCGTGGGAACGCGCTAGTGGCGCGTCTACTCAAAATGGGTGGGAGGCGAATTCCTAGAATTGTGCTGGATACCCGAAAAAAATTGGGAGGGGAGCGGGGTGGGGGGGATGCAGGGTGGTAAACTGCGCAAGCGCACTACACTCCTGGCAGTCTCCCACCCGCTACCCTCAGCCTGGCACGGTGGCTCACGCCTGTAATCCCAGCACTTTGGAAGGCCAAGGTGGGCAGATCACGAGGTCAGGAGTTCGAGACCAGCCTGACCAACATGGTGAAACCCCGTCTCTACTAAAAATACAAAAAAATTAGCCGGGCGTGGTGGCACGCGCCTTAAGTCCCAGCTACTCAGGAGGCTGAGGCAGAAAAATTGCCTGAACCTGGGAGGCGAAAGGAGGCGGAGGTTGCAGTGAGCCGAGATCGCGCCACTGCACTCCAGCCTGAGCGACAGAGCAAGACTCCGTCTTAAAAAACAAACAAACAAAAACCTCGTGACCTCAAATGATCCGTGCGCTTTGCCCACCCAAAGTGCTGGGATCACAGGCGTGAGCCACCGCGTCCGGCCTATTATCTCTTTATTAAAGGTATTAAGACCGGCCCCGTGCGGCTCATGCCTGTAATCCTAGCACTTTTTGAGGCCCAGGCGGGAGGATCGCTTGAGCTCAGGAGTTCGAGAGCAGCCTGGGCAACATAGCGAGACCTTATCTCTACTAACAAACAAACAAAAATCAGCCGGGCGGAGTGTCCCTTGATTGTGGTCCCAGTTACTCGGAAGGCCGAGGCAGAGAATCGCTTGAGCCCGGGAGTTCGAGGCTGCAGTGAGCCAACATCGCGCCGCTGCACTCTCCAGCCTGGGCAACAAAGTGAGGCTCTGCCTCAAAAAAAACAAAACAAACAAAAAAAAAAAAACACGAAAGGCATAGAGAAGTTAAGTACCTAGTCTGAGATGACACAGCTAGTAAGGCCAAGTCTGTTTAGAAGTCAGGCGGTCTGGCCACACTACTTTTCGCTCACGATCCCGGGTCATGAAATCCAATAACACTGTCACACTCACAATCGAGAAGTCCAGAAAGAACAAATACATGCACATTGTCTCTGACAAAACTGCAAGGTCAGAATCAAACAGCCACGAGAATATAAAACGCGACCATGGTCACACAAAAGGTCGCATATTCGCACGACCTCAGATGTCACTGGACAGGGTCTCTCGCCCTGGAAACCCCACTCCAAATTCCATGGCCGAAGTTTCACACATACAGTCACACTACGTCACTCCTCCCTCTTCTAGCCGCTGTCAGGACCTTAAGGCTCCAGCTGACCCGGCCTTCACTGGCCCTGGAGCTCTCACCACCTTCACCCCGCTGTATTCTAGCCTCAGGTAGAGACCCAAAAAGACGGAACTAAACACACTGAGCCGGGCTTCCTTCACGGACCTTGCGAACCTGCAGCTCCAGCCGACTGTAAGAAGGAAGTGCCTTTTTGCAGGTGGGGTCGGGGAAGTAGGGCCGCGAAGGCCTCTGGGAAATGTAGTTCGGCGCAGGAAGCAGCGGAACGATTCGATTCTTCTCAGCACCAAGTTGCGCTCCCAATCTCTCAGAGCTGGGCTCGCGGGAGGCCGCTCGTGCAAAACCTAGGCTGAGCTCCCCTGCGCGGAGCTGTGAGCCCTGGAACACCGTGGTCTGCTTCTCAGGACGCGCAAACAGTGAAGCCAGTCCCGCCCGGGTGAGCCGCGGGGGCCTCTGGGAAGCGTCGCCCCTGGTGTAACGGACCGAGACTTGTGGCGCTCTCAGCCACCGACAGCGCCGGCCTCAGTGCCGCCTCTGTCCCAGCCCGCGCCGGCTCTGCCACTTTGGCAGCGTTAAGTGTGGAATCGGGGCCTGTGTCCGCGGGCTTGGTGGTGAGTCCTCGGGAAACCGCTAGCTCTGAGCGCCGGACTCTTTGTGCTGGGTGGGAGTGGGGGCCCGCGGTCCTGGTGCCCCAATCTTTGGAGGAGGACGCCGGGCGGGGCGATGCCTGTGCTTGTGGTTCCCTGAGGCAGTGGGAGTGGCGTGTGAAGGACTGTGAGAGTCTGGCGTGAAGTGACTGTCATTTGCCAGACATTCGTCTGGCTGAGTGTGGCCCCGGGATCGTGTCCGTAAGCGGATTTCGTGGAGGCGCTTTCCCTTTTATCTTTCAGTATGAACCTGCGTGCAAACGTGCATGACAGTGGGATCTTGAATGAATGAAAAACTGTGGATACAAGGTAGGGTGTGCTTGTGGGTGTAGATGTGTGAGACTTGGCGTTTGTGCCAGCGCTGCATGTCTTTAGCTTTGGTCATTGGAAATACGTTGTTTTTTTGTTTTTGTTTTTGAGATGGAGTTTCGCTCTCGTTGCCCAGGCTGCTGGAGGGCAATGGCGCGATCTTGGCTCACCGCAACCTCCGCCTCCTGGGAAGAAGCAATTCTCCTCCCTCAGCCTCCCGAGTAGCTGGGATTACAGGCGCACCACCACGCCTGGCTAATTTTGTATTTTTAGTAGAGACGGGGTTTCTCCATGTGGGTCAGGCTGGTCTCGAACAACTGACCGCAGGTGATCCACCCGCCTCGTTCTCCCAAAGTGCTGAGATTACAGTCGTAAGCCACCGCGCCCGGCCGGAAATATGTTTTTATATGAAACATCGATATCCCCAACACTTTAATATTTATTTATTTTTAATTTTATTTTCGTGTATTAGCTACGTTGTTTTGTGTACTTACTAAACTCATTCTCCTCCTTCCCTACTCCACCCCATTTGGGGAGTGGAGTGGGGTGGAGAAAAATACAGAAAAGCTCGAAGAACAAAAATCATTCATAGTTCTACAGGCCATGCAACTACTGTCAAAATTTACTTTCCATCTTTTCACCCCCGCCTTTGTGTATACATACGTATACATTCATATGTTCTATATGTGTGCATAATGGCTTCAAAATTGCAGTAACACTATACATACAGCTCTGTAACCAACCTTTCTTGTTTAACAATGTATGATTAGTATCTTTCCATTTAAACAATCACAAATTATGCATTCATTTTAAAGTATTTCATGGTATACGTTTACCCCTGTTGATGGGTGATTTAGTTCTCTGTAGCTTCTTGAAATTATAAACTGTGTTTATCAGCAACTATTTGGCACGTGTTTAAATATACTTTTCTAAATTTTTTTGGAGGGGGAGCAGACTCCTAAAAGTAGAATTGATAGGTTAAAATGTATGCTTTTATTAAAGGTTCCCAGAACCTATCCAATTATTCTGTAAAGTTCCAATAATCTGCAGTATTATTGGCATAGTATAAGACTGCTTATATCCTCATACACTGTTGATAACAATGGATATTCTAAATAGTAGTAATCTTTGTTAACCTCATGGATATAAATTAATTTGCTCTAAAACAATTGTTTCATTACTTATTGAAGTCAAGCATTTAAAAAAATCTTTTGTAAATTATATGTTTTCTAAAGTAGTGTTCTGTTTTCAAATTTCTTTTCCAGAGTTCTTCATATATTAAGGATTCATTCATTCATAGACTCATTTATTGAAGGCTGTCTGTGTAACAGGCACAATCCTAGGTGCTTGGGATATAGCAGTGAACAAGAGACAAACCCCCTACTATCATGGTACTTACATTTTTGTGGGCTGGATAATAAACAAGGTAAGTAAATTAAGTATGAAGTATTTTAAATGGTGAAGAATACTAAGAAAAAATGTGAAGTGAGAGGATATTTAGAACTAGAGATAGGAGTCTGAGTTTTAGATGGGCTCGCCAGGGAAGGCATCCTGAAAAGGTAGTAATAAAGATATGAAGGAAGTAAAGGAGCTATTTATGCGTGAGTGAGAAAAGTTATTCCAGGCAGAGGGAACAGCAGTTGTAAAGGCTCTGAAGTGGCAACATGCCTGTTAATGAAGAGGCTAAAATAGAATAATTGAAGGGGAGAGTAGTGGGAGAGAAGAGAAGAAAGGTAAGTGGATGGGAGGAGGGCAGATCAAATTGGGCTTTATGGCCCGTAGTATTAATTTTGGCTTTTCCTCTGAGTGAGATGGGAAGCTGCTGGAGGGTTTTTGAGCATGGAAGTGATACTATCTGCTTACAATTTAAGAAGACAGCTTTGGCTGCTCTGATGAGAATGGCCTATGGGAGGACGAATGAGGAAAGAGCAGGGAGGTCAAGGGAAGAAGCACAGAGACCAATTAGGAAGCTACAATTGTGTTGCTTAATGATGGGGATACATTCTGAAAAATGCATGGTTAGACAATTTTGTCCTTGTATGAACATCATGGAGTATACTTACACAACCTAGATGGTATAGCCTCCTGCAAACCTAGGCTATATGGCACAGCCTATTGTTCCCAGGCTACAAACCTGTACAGCATGTTACTGTACTGACTACCATAGGCAACTGTAACACAGTAGTAAGACTTTGTGTATCTAAACATATCTAAACACAGAAAAGATACAGTGAAAATGCAGTATATAAAGATTAAAAATGGGCCAGGCGCGGTGGAATCCCAGCAGTTTGGGAGGCCAAGGTGGGCGGATCACGAGGTCAGGAGATCGAGACCATCCTGGCTAACACGGTGAAACCCCATCTCTACTAAAAATACAAAAAATTAGCCAGGCGTGGTAGCACACGCCTGTAGTCCCAGCTACTTGGGAGGCTGAGGCAGGAGAATTGCTTGAACCCGGGAGGCGGAGCTTGCATTGAGCTGAGATTGCGCCACTGTACTCCATCCTGGGCAACAGAGTGAGACTCCGTCTCAAAAATAAATAAATAAATACGATTAAAATTGGTATACCTATATATATATTTTGTGTGTGTGTGTGGTGGTGAGTGAATATGAAGGGTTAGGACGTTAGTGTACTCTACTGTTGACTATAAACACCGTACACTTAGGCTACACTAAATTTATAAAAACATTTTTCTTTTTTCAGTAATAAATTAACCTCAGCTTACTGTAACTCTTTTACTTCATGAACTTTTAAATTTTTTAAACTTTTTTACTCTTTTATAATAATACTTAACTTAAAACACATATTGTACAGCTGTATAAAAAGATTTTCTTTATATCTTTATAAGCTTTTTTCTATTAAAAATATTTTAACTTTTGAAACTCCTTTGCTGAAAACTAAGACACAAACATATTAGCCTAGGCTTACACAGGGTCAGAATCATCAATATCACTGTCTTCCACCTTCACATCTTGTTCCACTGGAAGGTCTTCAGGGGCAATAAACATGCATGGAACAATAAACATGCATGGTTATCATCTCCTGTGATAATAATGTCTTCTGGAATACGTCTGGAAGGACCTGCTTGAGGCTAATTTATAGTTTACTTTTTCTTAGGTAGGGATATACTCTAACAATAAAAAGTATAGTATAGTAAATACATAAAGCAGTAACAGTCATTTATTATTATTGTCAAGTATTATGTACTATTCACATGATCAATAATCAATAATATTATCAAATACTAATACCATACACAACTGTATGTGCTATACTTTTATACCACTATCAGTGCAGTAGGGGTGTTGACACTAGCATCACCACAAACATCATAGAGTGTACTTATATAAACCTAGGTTACGTGTGTAATGCATTGTGTTACGATGTTATGATGGCTATGATGTCACTAGGTGATAGGAATTTTTTAGCTTCATTAAAGTCTTATAGGACCACTGTTGTATATGTGATCTGTTGTTGGCTGAAACATTGTTACGCAGCACATGACTGTATTGTAGTACTTTAGGGAAAAGATATTGGTGATCTGGACCAGAGTAGTAAAAATGCTAAGAAGTAGTCATGTACTAGATATAATTTAAAGGTAGAGCTGCTGTGATTTGCTGACAAACTGAGGTAGAGTGTGAATGAGACAAGGTGACACAATACTGTTTTTATGAGTAACTTGAATGGGTGTGTCATTAACTGAGAAGGGGAACAATGTAGGAAAAACTGACTTGGAATGTAGTGAGATTTCAGTTTGGAATATAGTATGTGAAATGTGAGAATGCCCATTAGACATTCAAGTGGAGATATCAAGTTGGCAGTTGGATATACAAGTATGAAATTCAAAAAGAGAGACAAAAGGGAGATCTAAGATCTAGGATGGAGACATATATTTGGGAATTATCAGCATATAAATGGTATTTAACACGAGACTGAATGAGGTCACTTAGAGGGTAGGATAGATAGAGAAAGGTAGAGGCAAATGACTGATCTCTGAGTCACTCCAACATAACAAACTCTGGGAAGTAAGGAGGAATTAGCAAAAGAGACTGATGGGGACTAGCTTGAAACGTTGAAGGAAAACTAGGTGAGTGTGATATTCTGGAAACCAAGGGAAGAATGTGTTTTAACAAGAACTGTGTCGGGTGCCACATAAAATGAGGAGTGAGAAAGAAGCATGGAATTTGGCAACATGAAATTCATTTATTAGGGACCCTGAAAGCAGTGTCCGTGGAATTTTAGGCCAAAGAGAGAACTGGAAAAGAAAACGTTGGAGATATCAAGTCTAGACAACTCTTGAAGACTTTTTTTTTTTTTTTCTAAATGGAAGAAGTGAAATGGAATGGTAGCTGGAGTTAAGAGGTACACATTCTGTTTATATACTGATTGAAATGATCCGGTAGAGAGAGAAACTACAATACAGGAGAGAAAGCAGATAATATAAAAATGTCCTTAAGTAGCCAGAGCAAATGAGATCTAGTGGCAGAGTTTGGCTGAGCTTGGAGCTTGACCACGGCAATAACAGGAGAGAGGGAGAAGTACCCAGGCACAGATACAAGTAGATGGGCAGATGTGTTGGTGAGAACTTGTAAACCTTCTCTTATGATTGTTTTAACTTTATAGTGAAGTACCTAGCAAGAGACTCAAATGAGAGTGAGATTGGTGGAGGACGTGCTAGAGTTTGAGAAGAACAGGGGAAAAAAAATCACAGAGATTGGGACAGAGAATAGAGAAATTATGATTTTCAGGCACCATCAAAGACCCACTTAATGTTAGTATTTATGAATTTAAAGTGAGCCTATTCTGTGTAGCTGTGTGATTTTTCTCCTGCAGTGTTCATCCGCATAGTTGCAGCCAGACAGGCTAGGGGGAGATTTGGATTTAACCAGAATGTTGGTTTCATGAAGCAAAGAGGAATAATGTGAGAGAGAGGCAAGAAGAGTCTTAAGTTGGCAAAATAATTGATTGTTGTTTTGACTGTGGATTTTAGGCTAGGTAAGTGGAAAAGTGAGGATAGGAAGAGAGTGAAGGACAGTAAAAAATTAGTAGAATCAAGGAATGGAAGCTCCTGACAGGGCTGAAGGACTATTGGGTTGTAATATTAGAGGAAGTAAGGTGAGACATAGAAGGATGGGCTGGGCATGGTGGCTCATGCCTGTAATCCCAGCACTTTGGGAGGCCATAGTGGGCACATTGCGAGATCAAGAGATCAAGACCATCCTGACCAACATGGTGAAACCCTGTCTCTACTAAAAATACAAAAATTCGCTGGGCATGATGGCGCACACCTGTAGTCCCAGCTACTCTGGAGCCTGAGGCAGGAGAATCGCTTGAACCCAGGAGGCGGAAGTTGCAGTGAGCCAAGATCACGCCATTGTACTCCAGCCTGACAGAGTGAGACTCTGTCAAAAAAAAAAAAAAAAAGAGGATATTTTTCATATGTTTTAAAAATAGAACAGTTCTTCTTACCACTATACCGGTTTTAGAAAACATGGATGATTACTAACTAGACCCATTATTTCAGTAAGGGCTACAAAATGGCGATATTCTAATTCTGTCATTACTTCGTTTACTAGCTAGAATATTTTCCTAAAGAAAAAATTTTCCTCGTCAACTCTTTGTTCACCCTTAGGTACAGTTTGTACAGAAAAGGCAGAATAAATGGATTATTTCCCTTTATATGATTTTGAGTTATTGGAGTGGTTCCCTGGCATCTCCTAGTGGGTTGTTTTTATTATTATCACCATTATATATTCATCATTTTTAGCATATTTGATGTGTTTTAAATCACTGCACTTATTTTCTTTTTGAAGCTCAAATTTTTTTGTTAAGTGTTTGCTTGGGTGCAACCTTTGACTATCTCCCAGAATTTCTGAAAATCTGGTTCAGACAGGTTTTGCCTTTTGTTTGTTTTTTTCATTTCTAGGGAAGGATAGGCCACCAGTCTCATCCCTTGACTTTTTTTTTTTTTTGAGACAGGGTATCACTGTATTGCCCAGGCTAGAGTGCAGTGACTATTCACAGATGCAGTCATGGCACACTGCAGCTTTGAACTCCTATGTTCAAGCAAACTTCTGCCTCAGCCCCTGCAAATAGCTTGGACTACAGGTGCACGCTACCACGCCTAGCTTCATCTCTTTACTTGTAACTTGAATGTTAAAGTGGGTTTCTTATAGACATATATAGTTGTTTTTTTTTTTTTAAATGCACTCTGACAATCTGTCTTCTAATTGCTGTGTTTGGACCATTTACACTTGGTGTGATTATTTTTGTAGTTGGATTAACATCTACCATTGGCCAGGCGTGGTGGCTCATGCGTGTAATCCCAGCACTTTGGGAGGCCAAGGCAGGCGAATCACCTGAGGTCAGGAGTTTAGGACCAACCTGGCCAACATGGTGAAACCCTGTCTCTACTAAAAATACAAAAATTAGCCAGGCATAGTGGTGCATGCCTGTAATCCCAGTTGAGGCTGAGGCAGGAGAATTGCTTGAACCCAGGAGACAGAGATTGCAGTCAGCCAAGATCGTTCCACTGCACTCCAGCCTGGGCTGGAGTCTCCAGTGAAACTCTGTCTCAAAAACAAACAAACAAACAAAAAAACACTACCATCTTCCTAGCTCACTACCATCTTCCTAGCTGTTTTCCATTTGCTTCGTATGCAAATAGAAAATTTTTTTATTTCTTTGTTTTGTTTCTTCTCTTCTCCCCTCCTTTGTCTGATTACTACGGTTTTCATTGAGCATTTTATATTATTTCATTTTATCTCCTGTTTACTTTATCATTTATACTTCTTTTAAAAAATTTTAGTGTCACCCTAGAGTTTTCAATGTGTATTTTTAAGTAATCTAAATTCACTTTTGAAAATGCTATACTGCTTCATATGTAGTGCAGGAACTTTACAACAGTATTCCCAGTTCCCCCTTCTTCTCCGTTGTTATGTCACTTGTGATGTCCCTGTCATTCATTTCACTTATCCGTGTGCTGTAATCACCTAATACATTGTTATCATTATAGCCTTTAACAAACATTTATCTTTTAGATCAATTACTAATAAAAGAACCAAAAGATTTTATCTTACCTTCATGATTTTGTCTCTGGTGCTCTTCCTTTCTTTATGTAAATCCATGTTTCTGACCTATATTGTTTTTCTTCTGCCTAAATAACTTTTTAACATTTCTTACAGGGTAGGTCTGCTGGTGATGAATTCCCTTAGTTTTTGTTAGAAATGAAAGTCTTCATTTCTCCTTCAACTTTGAAGGATAATTTCCCTGGATAGAGAGAATTCTAGGTTGGTGGCTCTTTTTCATTTAATGCTTTAGATATTTCACACCACTTTCTTCTTGTTTATATAGTTTCTGACAAGAAGTCTGCTGTAATTTTTATCAGTGTTGTTTTATAGGTAAGGTGTTACTTTTCTCTGGGTTCCTTGACTATCTTTTCTTTGTTTTTTTTTGTTGTTGTTTTTTCAGTTTCAATATGATATACACGTGTGGTTTTTTTTGGTATTTATCTTGCTTAGTGTTCTTTGCGCTTCCTCAGCCTATGGTTTGGTGTGTGTCACTAATTTGAAACATTCATGGACATTATTACTTACAATATTTCATCTGTGTTCTCTTTTTTCTCCTTTTGGTTTTCTAATTGGGAAAATAGATGTCTGTTTAATAGATACATGTTTTGATATTGTCCCATGGTTTGGATGTTCTCCCATGGTTTGGATGTTCTCTTTTGTTTTTCATTCTTTTTCCTCTGTGCATTTTAGTTTGGGAAGTTTCTTTTGAAGTTTCTATTTTCAGGTTCACTGATTGTTTCCTCTACTGTGTTGAGTTTGTTGATGAGTCCATTGAAGGCATTCTTTGTTTTTATTAATATGTTTTTGATTTCTAGCATTTCTTTTGATTCTTTCTTATAGTTCGCATTTCCCTGCTTACAGTACCCATCTCTTTTTCTAACTTTCTCATAGAGCACTCAAAATATTAATCATAGTTATTTTAAATTCATTGCACAAAATTACTGCACATCTTTTCTTATATAGGTTGTGCTGGGCCATGAAACATCAAACCATATGACCAGTCCCTGCCATAAGTGGTTCACAGTCCTACTTAGATAAATCAGTGGGTGCACTGGCAGAGTGATAAATGCCACAAGATGGTTAAGCTCATGAGATACAGAAGTACAAATAGATCTACATAGACGGATATCCCAATCAAATGATAAAGTTGTTCTTAATCTGATCTCTTTAAGAACAAGAAGGTATTGGTCAAAGGCAAGAAGGAACTGATGATCAGCAATCAAGAGATAGTTTTTAGGCATGGAAACGTAATATACAGTAACTGTTAAGGAGCAATGCTTTGTATATTTTAAGAAAGGTATGTAATTATGTATGGCTGGAGTTTACTTTCAAGGAGTGAAAGATGAAGCTAATGAGGTATTCAGAAACAAAATTATAAAAGTTGTCATTGAAGTAATTTAAGGTAATACTCATGTAACAAACAAGCACATGTACCCCTTGAATCTAAAATAAAATACACTTTTTAAAAAGGACTCCATAAAGAATATAAAAATATCAGGCTGGGCATGGTGGCTCAGGCCTATAATCCTAGCACTTTGGGAGGCCAAGGTGGGCAGATCACTTGAGCCCAAGTGTTCAAGACCAGCCTGGGCAACATGGCAAAACCCCATCTTTACCAAAAATATCAAAATTAACCAGGCATGGTTGTGCATGCCTGTGGTCCCAGCTACTTGGGAGGCTGAGATGGGAGAATCACTTGAATCTCGGAGATGAAGCCTGCAGCGAGCCATGCGCTCCTCCAGCTTGGGCAACAGAGCGAGACTCTGTCTCCAAAAAAAAAGAATATAAAAATATCTAAGATTTTCCAGTTTTATTTTGTTTATTCTTTTTTTTAATACTTTAAGTTCTAGGGTACATGTGCACAACATGCAGGTTTGTTACATATGTATACATGTCCCATGTTCGTGTGCTGCACCCATTAACTCGTCATTCACATTAGGTATATCTCCTAATGCTATCCCTCCCCCCTCCCCCAACCCCATGACAGGCCCCAGTGTGTGATGTTCCCCATCCTGTGTCCAAGTGTTCTCATTGTTCAGTTCCCATCCATGAGTGAGAACATGTGGTGTTTGGTTTTCTGTCCTTGCGATAGTTTGCTCAGAATGATGGTTTCCAGCTTCATCCATGTCCCTACAAAGGACATGAACTTATCCTTTTTATGGTTGCATAGTATTCCATGGTTATTTTGTTTATTCTTAAACATTATATACCAATTCCACATTCCATCACTCTCTTTTTCTTTCATATTTCCACATACCTCAGTTTCTCTGTTACCATAAGCCAGTAAATTTTGGGCAAGGGGAAAAAAAGAAGTTTAAACAGGGGAGTGTTACTTAAGATGCATTTTATAAGTATAGAATTCTCGATTAAATCCTCAATTTATTTTAAAATTGGTTTTAAAGGATATTGTTGCGACAACTAGGGAAGTATAGAGATAATATATTTTATTGTACGAATGTTTAATATCTTTGGTGTGATAATGGCATTGTGTTTATGTAGGAGGCTTCTTAGTTTTTGGAGGTACATTCTGAAAGAGTTAACGTGAAGTTTGTGTATATGTTTTTAGAGAAGGAAAGAGAGGTAGAAAAATGTGGCAATGCTGAATATAGATTAAGGGTTTTAGAAGTATTCTTTGTACTGATCTTCCAACATTTTTGTAGTTTGAGTTTTGTGTTTTTTGTTTTTTGTTTTTTTTTTTTTGAGACGGTGTCTCCCTCTGTTGCCCAGGCTGGAGTGCAATGGCGCGATCTAGACTCACTGCAACCTCCGCCTCCTGGGTTCAAGCGATTCTCCTGCCTCAGCCTCCTGAGTAGCTAGGATTACAGGCGCCTGCCACCATGCCCAGCTAATTTTTTGTATTTTTAGGAGAGGTGAGGTTTCACTATGTTGGCGAGGCCAATCTCGAACTCCTGACCTTGTGATCCGCCCACCTCAGCCTCCCAAAGTGCTGGGATTACAGGTGTGAGCCACTGTGCCTGGCCTCGAGTTTTTAAAAGTAATAAATTTTGGAAGAAAATTTCTAGAATGTATACATACAAGTATGTTTAGAGTGAACTAGAGGGAAGGAAAGTAGGAGGCAGTTAAACTGTTTTATGAAGCTTCAACTCCCTGTCTAAAGAAAAAGTTTTCTTAATGGAGAGCTCTGTGACTTAATGTTTAACTAACATAAGTGGGAGCTTCCTTCTCAAACATACGGGCCCTAAGAGAGAAGTAGAAATGTTAAGAGATAAAATATAAGACACTTAGATGATCAGTTTAAGGGATAGATCATCCTATTCTTAGGAATTATACGTAAGAGAAAGTAGAGAAAATGAAAACAAAAACGTGCAAGAAAATTTCCTAGAAGAGAACAATAAATATACGGATTGAAATGACCGTATGTCCGTGATATATACTGACCAAAAGCTCAGTGCGATTAATGAGAAAAACCCACACCAACTATCGGAAACCAATAAGAGAGAAGAAAGGCCAAAAACTTTCTACAGAGGAAAAAAAAAGTTGGAATGATCTAGAAGTAGAATGTCAATGTACAGCAACACTAGAAGTCACTGGAGCCACAAAGTGAAGTCACATTGCTTTAAATTTCTAAGGAAAAACTGTTTTTCTGAGAAGCCTACAGTTAGCCAAATTATTATTTGAGTATGAGAGTAGAATAAAAATGTTTTCAAACATGCCAACCAAATTAAAGAGAAAACAAAGTAAAGAAGCTTTTGAGAAATTAAATTTTTGATTCCTGTAGTTGCAACTGGCTTTGGCAACTTTAGATCCCAGATAGAGCGGTACCCACAGAGTTTAATGCTGTTCTTCCAGCCATCAGTGGGTGCCCTTATATAAGTGGGTCCAGCCCTTATATCCTTCTTTCATGTGTCATTGGCCCTTTTCCCTTGTGATTTAAACATGTGTTGCAAAGTGGTGTGGTAGGACCTGGAATCCGGGGACACATGGAAATAGTGGAGAGAAGACTAGGAAAGAGTTGGGGGTGGGGGAGAAAATACTGTTGTCCACCACAGAGCCATATCCCCAGTCTGTGAGTTAGTTCACGCTAACTAGAGAATTTCTGCCTTGAGAGATGCTGCCAGGTGTAGAGCTTTCAATGAGTTTTAGGTTTTTGGCAAAACGTGGATTCAAGCAAGTGGAGTGTTAAAAAATATATATTATTATGTAGATATGGCAGTTGCTGTAAGCATTTTAACTGTATCAGAGCTCATTTCAGGAGGGAATCATGCATGATAGTCCAGAAACTAAACAAATTGATATGGCTGGAAGTAAGTTCTTTGCAGTGGAAAGAAAAATAACATTTGTTATGAATATAACATTTAGTTTGTGAATTTATTTCTAAAGTATTTCCTCAATTAGCTTAAAGTTGAGTTCCTCCAGTATACTGAATTCCGTCTTTTCTGAGGCCTTACCAATTGCTACTGCTTTGCTTGTAATGCTTTCCCACTCCCACTCCATCCTAGCTAATTTACTTGACTTTAAACTGTTATCCTAATCCTAACTTTATTTGCAAGGTATTTTTGAGCCCCATGACAAAATAAACTGAAGGACTTCTCAAAAGTTTATTGTAATGAGGGGACTTTGGGTTTCTCCTTAGGGATGTAAACAGCTGGAAAGAACTTTGCTTCAATCATTACAACAAGGAAACTACAAACTTCTACCGTACAACAAGGAAATGGACAAACTACAAAATAATTTTTCTAGGACCCTTCAGAGAACTGAGGTCACAGGGCAACCAAGTAATCTTAAATCTGGGGAAAGAAAGATGCCAGCTGAGAGAAACAGGACTCAAGCTTTACTTACCTGGGATGGACTCTGCCAGACACCATATAAGCCAGTAAGAAAATACAGCTATCAAGTTTTTAAACAAATTTTTAAAGTGTGAATGTCAGCTAATGAAAGTGTGAAACCACTGGGGGACTTGCAAAATTAGGGAGGTGGGGGTTGCAGTCTCTTGTAGGCTTTTCCTCTGGGAATCCCAACAGGCACTCATAGGGAAGATGGGAGTGAATCCTGAGAAGCCTTTCCTTGTGGTGTTAGCTGGGGGAGGGCAACAGCAGCCCAAACCCATCTTCCCTATCACTGCATAATGAAGAGCAGCAAAAACAGTTGCCTTAGGAGACTTGTAGAAAGCTATTGCAGTTTAGGAAAGGGACCTGAAAAAAAGTAATATCTCTGGGAGTAGGGGAGGAATATGCTCTAGGACTAGCACTACAGCTGGCAGAGCGGCAAGAGCACTTGTGAAGGCCACATCCCCAAGACTTAGGGATATGGTGTCTGCCTAAGACTGAGGCTTAGTGAGATCATAAGAGAATGCTATCCCTCCGTCTACTCAACCCCCACCAAGATAACAAGAATCAAATAGAAGCAATAGTAGAGTACAGCTAGGAAGCCTGCAAGAGAGATTCTCTCTGGGGAGCAGCACAAATGGAACACCCAAAACTAAGGGAGAAACATGCATTGAGAAAACAACCATGGGAAATCAACCCTTACCTTAAACACAGATATTATTAGAGGATATTATTGAAGCCTGGGGTACACTCAGTGTAACCACAGCAATGACAAACCTCAAACCCTGTCCAGCTATTGAATAGACCAGCATAACCCCCCATGTTAAAAACCTAGCAGAAGAAAAGACATACTCATGTTTAAGTGTAAAAACTTCTTAACCTTCATATCTACTGTACTATCCAAGATGTACAGCCTTCAATGAAGATTATGAGGCATATAAAAAGGCAAGAAGAAAAAGAAAAAACATACTTCAAAGAGACAAAGCAATAATCATAACTGACTTAGTTATGACATAGGTATTGCAACAACCCAACAGGAATTTAAGATAACTATGACTTATATGAAATGGACCTGATGGGTAATTGGAGCAGAGATGGAAGAAAAGTATTTAAATAAATGATGGCTGAGAATTTTCCAAGTTAGTGACACGAAACCATAGGTCCAAGAAGCTCAGAGATAAATACCAAAACAAAATTTTAAAACACATCTACACATATTATATTTAAACTGCTGGAAACTAAAAATAAAAGGAAAATCTTGAAGATAACAAGAAAAAAATTGTCTATTGAGGAACAAGAATAAGAATTACATATAGCAGATCTATTATCAGAGACCATGCAAGCAAGAAGACAAGGGAGAATCATTTTTAAAGTGCAGAAAAACTGTCAATCCAGGATTTCACACCAAGCAAAAATACCCCTTCAAAATGAAGGAGTGGGGGGTGACATCAGCAAGATGGTGGTGTAGGAAGACTTGGACCCTTCCTCACCTTCCCAAAATACTAATTCAGCAACAATTCACAGACAAATTCTGTTTGTGAGAAATCAGAAACTAATTGTAAAGGCTGTTGCATCCTGAGAGAACATGAAACAAGACTAGTGAAGCTAGTAGGGAGATTCAGGATACCCTGTTGCTGGAGATACTGCCCCTGGTACAGTACCAGACAGTCAGGAAGAGATGCCCTAACTCATCCAGGGGAGAGAAGGGGTTGGTTTGTGCAACCAGTACGCCATCTTTTCTTTGTGGGCTCTCCAGAGAATTGGCTGAAAAATTCACTAGAAGGATTCAACATCAGACTAAATAAAGCAGAAGAAAGGATTAGCAAACTGGAAGACAAGCCATTAGAAATAATTCAGTCAGGGGAGTGATAATAAAAAATAATGAAAAAGAGTGAAGAAGGCTTAAGTGGGTTATAGAATACCATCAAGCAGACTAATATATGCATTATGGGAATCTCAGGAGAAAATAGAGAAAAAGGACCAGAAAGCTTATTTTAAAAGTAATGGCTGAAAACTCCCCAAAGCTGGGGAAGGAAACGAACATCCAGATTCAGGAAGCACAAAGGACACAAAATAAAATGAAACAAACCCATACCAAGATGCATTATAGCAAATTGTCAAAAGTCAAACACAGAATTTTGAAAGCAGCAAGAGAAAAGCAACTTGTCACATACAAGGGAACATCTATAGGACTATTAAGGGATTTTTTTCAGCAGAAACTTTGCAGGCGAGAACAGAGTAGAATGATATATTCAAAGAGCTGAAAGATCAAACAGACAAAACAAACAACAATAACAAAAAAATCTCTGCCAACCCGGAATACTATACTTGGCAAAACTATCCTTTAAAAATGATGATGAGAGAAAGACTTTCCCAAACCAAAGCATCACCACTAGACCTGCCTTATAAAAAATGCTAAAGGGAGTTTTCAAATAGAAATGAAAAAACACCAAACAGCAAAAAGACAGTATAGAAAAGTATGAAACTCATTGATAGAGGTAAATATATATGTAAATACAGAATACTGCATTACCATAATGGTGGTGGGTAAATAACTTTTAATTCTACTATGAAAGTTAAAAGACAAAAGTATTAAAAATAGATATGAAATATGTTAAAAGATACACTGTGAATAGATGTGAATTGTGACAGTTATAACCAAATGTGGGCAGGAGAATTTAAAATGAAGAGTTTTTGTATGTGATTAAACTTAAGTTTGTTACCAGCTCAAAATAGACTGTTACATCTATATTTTATGTAAGCCCCAAACTAACTACATATGCCAGAAATTACCCATAGAGGCTACACAAAAGAGAAAGAAGTCAAAGCATATCAATACAAAAAACTAACAAAACACAAAGGGAGACTGCAAGAGAGAAGAGATGAAGGAAGAAGACTAACATAAAGCAACTAACAAAATAGCAATAGTAAATTCTTCCCTAGCAATAATTACAGGAAACGCACATTAAACTCCCCAATCAAGAAACAGAGTGGCTGAATGGATATATAAACAAGACCCAACTATATGCTGTCTACAAAAAGCTCACTTCAGATCTTAACGGCACACATAGGCTGAAGGTGCGGGATGGAAAAAGATGATCCATGCAAATGGTAACCAAAAGACAGCGGGGTAGCTATACATATGTCAGATAAAATAGGATTTAAGTAAAAAACTGTCACAAGAGACAAGGAAGGACATTTTATAATGATAATAGGTCAACCCACTGGGAAGATAGAATGATTATAAATATATATGCACCCAACACCAGGACATCTAATATGTAAAAGAAACACTGGCAAAATTGAAGGGAGAAATATACAGCAATACAATATAATAGGAGACTTTAATACCCCACTTTCTGTCCATTAATAATGGACAGAACTTCCTGACAAATCAATAAGGAAACATTTGACTTGAATAACACTGTAGACCTAATGGATCTGAGAGACATATACAGAACTTTTTTTTTTTTTTTTTTTTCAGATGGGGTCTTGCTCTGTCACCCAGGCTGGAGTGCAGTGGCACGATCTCGGCTCACTGCAACCTCCGCCTCCCGGGTTCAAGTGATTCTCCTGCCTCAGCCTCCCGAGTAGCTGAGATTACAGGTGTCCACCACCATGCCCAGCTAATTTTTGTATTTTTAGCAGAGACAGGGTTTCAACATGTTATCCAGGCTGGTCTCGAACTCCTGACCTCAGGTGATCTGCCTGCCTCAGCCTCCCAAAGTGCTGGGATTACAGGCATGAGCCACCGTGCCTGGCCATCTACACAACTTTATACCCAACAGCTGTAGAATACATATTCTTCTCCAGTACACATGGACATTTCTCCATAATGCATCATATATTAGATCACAAAACAAATGTTAAAAAATTTTAAAATATCTAAATCATACCAAATATATTTTCTGACCACAGTAGAATGAAACTAGAAATCAATATAACAAGGAAAACCAAGAAATCCAGAAGTATATTGAAATGAACATAATCTTGAATAACCATTGGGTCAAACGAGAAATAAAAAATGAAATTAGAAAATACCTTGAGGCAAACAAAAACACAACATACCAAAACTTATAAGTTGCAGCAAAAGCAGAACTGAGAGGTAAATTCATATGGATAAGCTCTTACCTGATAAAAGAAGAAAGATCTCAAATAAACAACTAACTTTACATCTCAAGGAACTAGAATCAGAAGAGCAAACTAAGCCCAAAGTTAGCAGAAGAAAGGAAATAAAGGAAACGAGAGCATAAATAAATTAAATAGAAAAGTGACAGAAACTAACAGTTGGTATTTGGAAAAGATAAACTGACAAACCGTTAGCTAAACTATGAAAAAAATAGAGAAGACTCAAATAAATAACATCAGAATTGAAAGAAGAGACAATACAACTGATGCCACAGAAGTAAAAAGGATCTTAAGAAAAAACTGTGAACAATTATACATCAACAAACTGGATAACCTAGAATAAAAAATTAAATTCCTAGAAACATACGAACTACCAAGATTAGATCATGAAGAAATATTATAAAATGTCTGAACAGACCTATAACTAGTGTGGAAACTGAATCAGGAATCAAAAACCTCCTAATGGAAGAGCTCTGGACCATACAGCTCCACTGGTGAATTCTACCAAACATTTAAAGATGAATTAATGGAAATCCTTCTCAAAATCTTTCAGAATATTGAGGAGGAGGGACCAGTTCCAGACTCATGAGGCCAGCATTAACCTGATACCAAAGCAAGACAGAGACACAAGAAAACTGCAGGGCAGTATTCCTGGTGAGCACAGATGCAAAAATCCCCAACAAAATACTAGAAAACCATGTCCAACAGTACATTAAAATGTCATCCACAATGACTAAGTGGGAGATAAAACAGAATAATAAAAAGTGTGCAATTAAACGAAACCAAAGGAGAAAAGTGGGGGAAGGAGAGCGAAAAAGAACAAAGGAGCAAATAGAAAACAGCTAAGAAGATGGTACATCTTAATCCAGCTGTATCAGTAATCAATTTTAATATCATTCTGAATGCACCAGTTACAGATAGAGCTTATCACATTGAATAAAAGAGCAAGATTCATCTAAATGCTGTTTTACAAGAAACCCATTTTAACTACCAGACTACAAGATGGAGTAGCCTAAGATACCCATTTTAAATATAAAGATAAATAAGTATATTAAAAGCAAATGATATTAAAAAAAGCCACAAAATACTAACCAAAAAAAAAAAAGAGGAAGCAACTTTAATATTAGACAAAGTTTAGAACAAGGGATTTAATCAGGGATGAAGAAACATAATGCTCAAGGGGTTAGTAAGAAGAGACAACAATCATAAATGTGTATGCAGCTAACAGAGCTTCAAGATATACGAGGCAAAAACTGATAGAACTGAAAGGAGAAATAGACACACGCACAATTATAGTTGGGGACTTAAAACTTCTCTTTCAGGAATCGATAGAGCGTGAAAGGATATCAGAAAGGTTACAGAAGACTCCAAAACGGCATTATCAACCAACATTCATGTATTGAATGTCAATTTTTTCGGTGTTCAAATGTGAGTGACATTTATAGAACATTCTAAACAACAGCAGAATACATGTCTTCCTCAAGTGCGCATGGGCATTCACCTACATAGATCATATTTGGGGCCATAATAGAAATGTCAAGAATTTTAAAGACATAAAAGTCATTCAAAGTCTGTTCTCAGAACATAGCAGAATAAAACTAGAAGTAAAGAACAGAAAGGTATCTGGAAAATCTCCAAATATTTCAAAATGAAACACACTTCTAAATAGTCCATGAGTCAAGAAACATTATAGGAAATTAAAAAATAATTCGAAAGAAAATGGAAATACAGCACACCAAAATATGTGGGAAGCAGCTAAATTAGTGCATACAGGGAAGTTTGTTGCATTACATGATATAAATAATTAGAAAAATCATTACTACACTTCTGCCTTAACAAACTAGAGGGGAAACAAGCAAACTAAACTCAAAGCAAACAAAAGGAAACGGATATTAAAGATTACAGCATAGGCCGGATGCGGTGGCTCTTTGGGAGGCTGAGGTGGGTGGATCACGAGGTCAGGAGATCGAGACCATCCTGGCTAACACGGTGAAACCCCGTCTCTACTAAAAATACAAAAAATCAGCCGGGCGTGGTTGCGGGCGCGTTTAGTCCCAGCTACTCGCGAGGCTGAGGCAGGAGAAAGGCGTGAACCCGGGAGGCGGAGCTTGCGGTGAGCTGAGACCACAACACTGCACTCCAGCCTGGGCGACAGGGCCAGACTCCGTCTCAAAAAAAAAAAAAAAAAAAAAAAAAGATTACAGCATAATTCAGGACAATTTGAAACCAAAAATAATGGAGAAAAATCAGTGAACTAAAGGCTTGTTCTTTGAAAAGATCAATAAAAGTTGAAAAAAAGAAACAAATTGCTGATAATATCAGGAATGAAAGATAGGGTGTCACACTCACCCCCACAGATTTGAAAAGGATAATAAAAGAATACTGCAAACAACTCCATACCTGCGAATTTGACAACTTGGATGAATGAGTAAATTTTTTGAAAGACATAAACTACCAAAATTCAGACAATAAGAAATAACCTGAATAGTTGTATATCTATTAATGAAATTGAATTTGTGATTAAAAACCTTCCAAAATGGAAACTCCACACCCAGATAATTTCCCAGGTGAAGTACTAAACATCTACGGAAGAAATTCTAATGATTCTATACAAACTTTTCCAGAATATAGAAGAGGAGGAAGACTTTTCATCTGATTTTATGAGGCCAGCTTTGCCCAGATACCAAAGCCAAAGATATTACAAGAAAACTACAGACTAGTATTCCTCATGGAGTTAGAAACAAAAATCCTCAACAGAATATGGGTGAATTGAATCTAGCAATATGAAAAAAGTATATCACAATAGGGTTCATCTTGGGAATATGAGATGAATTTCCAGTTCATCCTTTGAAAATCAATTACTACAGTTGACTGTAATAAGAGAATAAACATATGACTGTTAGTAGATGCAGAAAAGCACTTGACAAACATTCATTCATGTTAACAACAAAAAACAAAGCAACTCCTCAGCAAACTAGGAATTGAAGGGAACAACCTTTACTAAAGGGCATCTTCAAAAAACCTAGAGCTACATTACAGTTAATGGTGAGATACTGAATGCTTTATCTCTAAGACTGGGAACAATGCAAGGATGTCCTCTCTTACTACTATTATAATAGTCACTATTGTACTGGAATTCCTAGCCAGTGCAATAAGGGAAAAGTACATAAAAGACATAAAGATTGAAAAGGAAGGAATATAACTGTTTCTATTTGCAGACAACATAATTAAGTAGAAAATGCCAAAGAATCTACCATAAACCTCTTCTGTAGTACAGTTAAATTAATGTGTCATATTCTACATTCTATTTTAGATTCCACCTCCCAGAATTCACATCCTGGTTGAATTCTATTTGTATACAGTAAAATTCACTCTGTTTTTATGCCTTTATTTTGTTCCTTTTTATATATAGGCTGGTTCCATATTTTTGCAATTGCGAATTGTGCTGCTATAAACATGCATGTGCAAGTATCTTTTTCCTGTAATGACTTCTTTTCCTCTGGATAAATACCCAGGAGTGGGATTGCTGGATCAAATGGCAGATATACTTTTAGTTCTTTAAGGAATCTTCACACTGTTTTCCATAGTGGTTGTACTAGTTTACATTCCTACCGACAGTATAAAAGTGTTCCCTTTTCACCACATCCATGCCAACATTTATTATTTTTTGATTATGGCTATTCTTGCAGGAGTGAAGTATCATATGGTGGTTATGGTTTGCGTTTCCCTAATAATTAGTGATGTTGAGTATTTTTTCATACGTTCGTTGGCCATTTGTATATCTTCTTTCGAGAATTGTCTATTCATGTCCTAGCCCACTTTTTGATGGGATTGTTTTTTTCTTGCTGATTTGTTTGAGTTCCTTGTAGATTCTGAGTATTAGTCCTTTTTTGGATGTATAGATTGTGAAGATTTTCTCCCATTCTGTGGGTTGTTTACTTTGCTGATTATTTTGCTGTGCAGAAGCTTTTTAGTTCAATTAAGTCCCATCTGTTTATCTTTGTTTTTGTTGTGTTTGCTTTTCGGTTCTTGGTCATGAAGTTTTTGCCTAAGCCAATGTCTACAAGGGTTTTTCGAATGTTATCTTTTAGAATTTTTATGGTTTCAGGTCTTAGATTTAAGTCTTTGATCCATCTTGAGTTGATTTTTGTATAAGGTGAGAGATAAGGATCCAGTTTCATTCTTTTTTTTTTTTTTTTTTTTGAGATGGAGTCGCGCTCTGTTGCCCAGGCTGGAGTGCAGTGGTGTGATATTGGTTCACTGCAACCTCCGCCTCTCAGGTTCACGCCATTCTCCTGCCTCAGCCTCCCAAGTAGCTGGGATTACAGGCACCTGCCACCATGCCTGGATAATTTTTTTGTATTTTTAGTAGAGACGGGGTTTCACTGTGTTAGCCAGGATGGTCTCAATCTCCTGACCTCGTGATCCGCCCACCTTGGCCTCCCAAAGTAATGGGATTACAGGGGTGAGCCACCACACCTGGCCCCAGTTTCATTCTTCTACATATGGCTTGCCAATTATCCCAGCACCATTTGTTAAATAGGGTTTCCTTTCCCCACTTTATGTTTTTGTTTGTTTTGTCAAAGATATGTTGACTGTAAGTATTTGGCTTTATTTCTAGGTTTTCTATTCTGTTCCATTGGTCTATATGCCTGTTTTTATACCAGTACCATGCTGTTTTGGTGACTGTGGTCTTATAATATAGTTTGAAGTCAGATAATGTAATGCCTCCAGATTTGTTCTTTTTGCTTAGTCTTGCTTTGGCTATGTGGGCTCTTTTTTGGTTCCATATGATTTTTAGGATTGTTTTTTTTTCTAGTTCTGTGTAGAATGATGGTGGTACCTTGATGGGAATTGCATCAAATTTGTAGATTGCTTTTGGCAATATGGTCATTTTCACAATATTGATTATACCCATCCATGAGCACGGGATGTGTTTCCATTTGTTTGTGTTATCTGTGATTTCTTTCAGCAATGTTTTGTAGTTTTCCTTATAGAGATCTTTTACCTCCTTGGTCAAGTACATTGCTAAGCATTTTATTTTTTTTGGCAGCTATTGTAAAAGGGGCTGAGTTCTTGATTTGATTCTCAGCTTGGTTGCTGTTGGCATATAGCAGGGCTACTGATTTGTGTACATTAATTTTGTGTCCTGAAACTGCTGAATTCAATTGCCAGTTCTAGGAGCTTTTGGGATGAATCTTTAGGGTTTTCCAGGTATACAATCATGTCATCAGCAGCAGCAACAGTATGACTTCCTCTTTACCAATTTGGATGCCTTTTATTTCTTTCTCTTGTCTGATTGCTCTGGCTAGGGAAAAGTACGGATTTAACTCTCTTACCATCAGTACCTCCGATACACATTACTCACACATAAAAACTTTTTATTTGTTCCTCAAGATATATCACCTTTTAAATTCTTTTAAATTGCTACTTCTTTTTTAATTGCTAATTATGACTGTCTTAAATGTCTCAATACTTTAAAATACTTTAGGTGTTTTGTCAGTTTCATAATTTTCCTGCATATATGCTTTCATGATGCTACATGTATTCTCTGATACAGAGCTCCCACATACGCACCCCTGTTTCTATCCACCCTGTGCCCAAGCTCTGCATGATTATTCCAATCATCCTCACACCTATTAAGAACCTTTGTGGTATGAATATTCTTGGCATTTCTGATAGATTTAATTATCATTCCACTACAGGGTGACCTTTAATCCACCCTGTGTGTGCATGTTTCTGAAACTAAAGACAGGCCTATTTTAATGACTTTTATTCTCTTCCCCAGCTCTACTTCTGCAGGCCCCATCCCTTCCCAGAAAGAAGAGGAAATGACTGAGTCCCAGGTAAATGTTAAATAGTGTATTTGTTTCTTGCCTTACTCTCCAATGCAATTTAAGGGGATTGCAGTAATTCATACAGTAAATTATAAAGGTCTGTATACATAAAACATATTTTCAGGGGAAATAGAGTTGAACGATTAAAACTAGGGAAGAGTTAAAATGTGGGTATTTTATGAAATTCATTCAGAGAGATTAAAGCTGGGCTTCAAATTTAAATTTCCTTTTTACAGGTAAAGAAAACCAGAGCAAAAATTTGTTACATAATTTTCATTGTAACAATAAAAAATCAACATTTTCTAACAGAAATAAGCTTTTCATTGATACCTAGGTCAATGAAAACATTGTAGTGTTACTTCTTGTAGTTGATAAACCTAGCTCTTTTGATGTTCTCTTTCGATCAAGGATAAAACAAAGTGTAACTATCAAAATAGCCCAGCATTAGAAACAATGCAAATGAAAATTAACAGGAAAAGGAATAAATTATAGTATTTCACACGGTGAAATACTACTTAACAATAAAAAAGAACAGATGACTGTTACACGCAACAACCAACATGGATAGATTACACAAACATAGAATGAAAGAAGCCAGAAACAAAAAAGTATATATCATAGGGTTCCATTCATATAAAGTTGAAAATGGGCAAAACTAATGTATTGTGATAGAAGTCAGAATACTGGTTACCTCTGAGAGGGTATTTACTGTGAAACAGCATGAAGAAATCTGGAGGGGTGAAAATGTTCTGTATTTTGACTTACTGGTAGGTACCCATGTCTATAAATGTATACAGATTTATCAGATTTTATGCTTAAGACTAGTCCATTTTACCACATTACTCTATGCATGTCATACATAAATTTATTTATTTATTTACTTATTTATTTATTTTTTGAGATGGAGTCTTGCTCTGTTGCCCAAGCTGGAGTGCAATGGCACGATCTCAGCTCACTGCAACCTCTGCCTCCCGGGTTCAAGTGATTCTCTTGCCTCAGCCTCCATTGTAGCTGGGATTATAGGCACCCACCAGCACGCCTGGCTAATTTTTTTTTTTTTTTTGTATTTTTAGTACAGATGGGATTTCACCATGTTGGCCAGGTTGGTCTCAAGCTCTTGACCTCAAGTGATCCACCTGCCTTGACCTCCCACAGTGCTGGGATTATAGGTGTGAGCCACTGCGCCCGGCCCGTAAATTTAAAGAGAGAAAACTAGACTATCTTAAGAAAGAGGTGGGATGTGTGTCTTTCAGATGACCCTATGTAATTATCTTTTTCAATGGGCATTTGCTGCTGATTGAGCCACACTGTAATCATTTCTGGTAAATTCTTAAAATTTTAACCACTAGAATGTAAGCAGAGAGTGTGTTTTACTTTGTTTACTGCTGTATCTCCAGTACCTAGAAGATCACCTAGTACACTTGATATTCTGTGAATACTTGTGGTTTTCTTTCAGATTTATCCTACACTCTCAGATACTGAACATATTTTACTTTTTACCCTCAGCTCAAAGCTTTGCTCTTCTGAGATATACCTTTCTTTGACCGTGGTTTTTTTTGTTTGTTTTTTGTGTTTTGGAGTCTCACTTTTTGCCCAGGGTGGAGTGCAGTGATGCGATCTTGGCTCACTGCAACCTCTGCCTCCCAGGTTCAAGCAATTCTCCTGCCTCAGCCTCCCGAGTAGGTGGGATTACAGGCGTGCGCCACCATGCCCAGCTAATTTTGTGTTTTTAGTAGAGACAGGGTTTCACCCTGTTGGCCAGGCTGGTCTCCAACTCCTGACCTCGGGTTATCTGCCCGCCTCACAAAGGCTGGGATTACAGGCGTGAGCCTCAGCACCCGGCCGACCATGTATTTTTATCTGCCAGCTTCTATATATCTCCAGTTTCTTCCTCAGGCACACTCAGTTAATTTTCAAAATGAACATACCTGTGTAACACAGCGCACACACTCAGTGAAGAAATACAGAATTACCCTAGCACTCTAGGATACCTTTTCTATACTTCCTAGTCATCACCCCCACCCCAGGAGTGTTCAACTTTTATCACCATAAATTGTTTCTTCCTGTCTTTTAACTTTATATAATCTGTGTATTCTGTGTCTGGCTTTTGTTTAATATTATGTTTGTGAGATTCATCCATGTTAAATTGGTGCATCTAGTTGTAGTTCAGTTAATCTCATTGCTGAATATTATTATATTCTCTGATCAACATTTCCATGGATCTTATAATCCATGTCACTTCATTTCTTACCTGGAACTACTCTGGCAACTGCCTACTAATCTCCCTGTATCCACTCCTGACCATCTATAGTCCATTCTCCATAGAACAACCAAAGTGATAATTTAAACCTAAGGTTTTATTATGACTTCTCTGCTTAATACCATCTAGTGTCTTTCCTTTACATGTGGAATAACGTCCCTTACAAAGCCCCTCTTGGTATGCCTTCTGCCCATGTCTTCACCATTATCTTGTGCTACATTCTCCCTCATTCACTGTGTTTCACCCTCACTAACCTTTCCCCGCTTTGAGCAGACCAACTTTGTCTTGCCCCAAGAACTCTGAACATGCTTTTAAATGTTCCTACCCTAGATATTTATATGACTGGTTCTTTCTCATCATTCAGGTTTCTGCTGAAATGTCATCTTCCTCAAGGTTGTCTTTGGTTACTAAATTCAAAGTAGAGTTTCTGATTCATTCCATAACCCATTACCTTTATTGCATTTTCTTAACTTATCAATATCACATTTTATCTCACTTATTCACTTGCTTATGTTTTCATTTCCCTGTCCCCAAAGTAGAATCTAAGCTCCAAGAGGCCCAGAGTGTTTCTAAACTCACTCTGCTATCCCCTGTGAGTTCTGATTGATAAAATGAAAAAACTAATTTTAATGCAGTCTGATTCAAAACTTAGTTCAATCAGCAAATTGTTCTCTTGACAATTATTTAGTCATTCAGATTCTACTTTGTATCCCTGTTCTCTGTTAAAGTGGTGTTTGAGATAACAGGGAAGATCTTCATAGCTTGGGTATATGCTGGATGATTTAGCTAGCTCCTTTTTCAGGACATTCAGTGGCTGATGAATTTATGGTGTATTTCACAGCTCAGTGATGGTCCAAGGACCTCTCTTTATCAACTGGCCTCCTTTGGTTCTTGCTATCTCTGTAGATCTCTCTGAATCTGTCATTCTCTAGATGCTTCCTGGGTCCCCTAAACCCCACAGCATGCATGTAGGAGCATCTTGCCTTCTTTTTTTTTTTTTGAAACAGGGTCTTACTCTGTCACCCAGGCTGGCGTGGCACAATCTCAGCTCGCTGCAACCTCTGCCTGCTGGGCTCAAGCAATCCTCCCGCCTTCAGCTACCCAAGTAGCTGGGAGTACAGGCACGTGCCCCCATGCCTGGCTAATTTAAAAAAACAATTTGTAGAGACAAGGTCCCACTATGTTGCCCAGGCTGATCTCGAACTCCTGGGCTCAGGCAATCCTCCTGCCTCTCGGCCTCCCAAAGTGTTGGGATTACAGGCATGAGCCACTATGCCCAGCCTCACCTTGCCTTCTGAAATGACCCTACTTCATCCTACTCAGGGTCTGTGCTACATGGGAACTGAAAGCTACTTAGAAGTTATTCTCTCAGTTTGACATGACACTTTTCCCACTTAACTCACTGCTTCTCTTGCATTTCACACTCATGCCTTAGAGTGTGGGGAGTTCTAGGCACATATTACCTCCCTACCTTCAAGGCCTTTGTTTCCTCTATTCCAGGCCTGTAAGAGGAAGGAGAGGATTTTCCCCTTTCATCTTCTCCTCTGTCTTTCCTTTTTCAATAAAGTTAAGTGGAGAAAATGTATGAGGCATAAGGAAACATAGATTAAAATGTACTTCAAAACTAGTATACTGGTTAAACGTGTTTGGAGCCAGTGAGTGCTGAGTAGAGGCCAAGGTAGTATAAAATAAGGCCATGGAAGGTCTCAAGATATTCTTGGTGATAAAGCGCATTGATAAAGAAGAAAATTAGCCCATAGAGGAAGGATATCACATTTATTTGTTCTTTTGTTGCCATATTAAGTCTTCATCTACAAATAAAAGGTTCACTTCTCCAGAAATGTAGGGCAGAGTACCTAAGAAAATGAAATTAGTTCAGCTGATATATACTTATCATTGTGTGCTCTGCATTCTGCTTAGTGCTTTATTGGAGCTCTTCATTTTTTCATGTGGATTTTAATTGTTTTTTGTTACTTCCTTTCAGTCTGAATAACTTCCTTCCGTGTTTCTTATGAGGCTAGTCTGCTAGCATTGAATTCTTTGTTTTTACTTATTTCACCTTATTTTTTTACCTGAAATTCACATACATATTTAAAATTAATCATTCTACGATTCAGTGGTCTTTAGTACATTCACAGTGTTGTATAGCCACCACCTCTATCTGGTTCTGTAACATTTTTATCACCTCAAAATAAAACCCCATACCCATTAAGCATCTGTTCCCCTATCCCTCTCTCACTCCTAGCCCCTGGCAAACACCATTCTGCATTCTGTCTCTGTGGATTTACCTATTCTGGCTATATTATCTATTCTGAATATTTCATATATATACAATAATAAAATATGTGACCTTTTGTGTCTGGCTTCTTTCACCTAACATAATCACCTTCATTTTTGAAAGATAAGTTTCCTAAATATAGGATTCTTTGTTGTTAGTTTTTTTAATTTTTAGTTTTTGTGGATACGTAGTAGGTGTATACATGTATGAGGTATACATTTATGAGGTACATGAGGTATTTTGATACAGGCATACAATGAGTAATAATCACATCAGGGTAAATAGGGTATCTATCCAAGCATTTATCCTTTGTGTTACAAACAATCCAATTTACTCTTTTGGTTATTTTTAAATGTACAAATTATTGTTGACTATAGTTGTCCTGTTGCACTATCAAATATTAGATCTTATTCATTCTAACTATATTTGTACCCATTAACCATCCCCATTTCCCCCACCCACTATCCTTCCTAGCTGCTGGTAACCATCATTCTGTGCTCTATTTCCATGAGTTCCGTTGTTTTAATTTTTAGCTCTCATAAATAAGTGAGAACATGTGAGCTTTGTCGTTCTGTGTCTAGCTTATTTCACTTAACGTAATGATCTCCAGTTGCATCCATGTTGTTGCAAATGATAGGCTCTTCTTTTTTATGGCTGAATAGTACTCCAAGGTGTGTATGTATCACATTTTCTTTATCCATGCATTTCCTGATGGGCACTTAGCTTGATTCCAAATCTTGGCTATTGTGAATAAACAAGGAAGCAATAAATAAGGGAGTACAGATATCTCTTTAATACACTGATTTCCTTTCTTTTGGGTATATACTTAGCAGTGGGATTGCTGGATTATATCATAGTTCTATTTTACTTTTTTGATGAACTTCCAAACTGTTTTCCATCAGGTTGTACTAATTTACATTCCCACCAACAGTGTATGAGGGTTCCCTTTTCTCCACATCCTGGCCAGTATTTGTTAGTACCTGTCTTTTGGATGAAAGCCATTCTAAGGCCGGGCATGGTGACTCATGCCTGTAATCCCACCACTTTGGGAGGCCAAGGCGGGTGGATCATCTGAGGTCAGGAGTTCAAGACCAGCCTGGTCAACATGGTGAAACCCCGTCTCTACTAAGAATACGAAAATGAGCCAGGCATGGTGGTGCACACCTCAAATCCCAGCTACTCAGGAGGCTGAGGCAGGAGAATCGCTTGAACCCGGGAGGCGGAGGTTTCAGTGAGCCAAGATCGCACCACTGCACTCCAGCCTGGGCAACAAGAGCGAAACTCCATCACAAACAAACAAAAAAAACCATTTTAATTGGGGTGAGATGATATCTCACTGTAGTTTTGATTTGCATTTATCTGATGATCAGTGATGTTGAACACCTTTTCATATACCTCTTTGCCATTTGTATGTCCTTTGAGAAATGTCTTCAGATCTTTCCCCCTTTTTAAATCAAGTTATTAGACTTTTTTCATATACAGTTATTTGAGCTCCTTATATATTCTAGTTATTAATCCCCTGTCTGATGGATAGTTTACATATATTTTCTCCCATTTTGTGGGTTGCCTCTTCACTTTGTTGATTGTTTCCCTTGCTGTACAGAAGCTTTTTAACTTGATATGATCCCATTTGTCCATTTTTGCTTTGGCTACCTGTGCTTACGGGATATTACTCAAGGAACCTTTGCCCAGTCCATTATCCTAGAGAATTTCCTCTGTTTTCTTTTAGTCGTTTCATAGTTTGAGGTCTTAGATTTAAGTCTTTAATCCATTTTGATTTGATTTTTGTGTATGGCAAGAGATAGGGGTCTGGTTTCATTTTTCTGCATATGGATATCCAGTTATTGAAGACACTGTTCTTTCCCCAATATATTTCTCGGCACCGCTGTTGAAAATGAGTTCGCTGGAGATGTATGGATTTGTTTCTGGGTTCTCTGTTCTGTTCCATTGGTCTTTGTGTCTGCTTGTTGTTATTCTTTGTTGTCGCTGTTTGTGACAGGATCTTGCTCTCTTGCTCAGGCTGGAGTGCAGAGGTGTGAACATGGCTTGCTGTAGCCTTGACCTCCTGGGCTTAGGTAATCCTCTTGCCTCAGCTTCCCAAGTACCACAGGTGCACACCACCATGCCTAATTTTTTATTTTTTTGTAGAGACAAGGTCTCACTATGTTGCCCAGGACTCAAACTCCCAGGCTCAAGCAGTTCTCCCACCTCAGCCTCCCAAAGTGCTGGGATTACAGGCACAAGCCACCCTTCCTGGCCTATGTGTCTACTTTTATGTCAGTACCATGCTATTTTGGTTACTGTAGTTTTGTAGTATAATTTGAAGTCAGGCTCCTCCAGTTTTTTCTGTTTGCTCAGGATGGCTTTGCCTATTCTGGGTCTTTTGTGGTTGCATATAAATTTTAGCATTTTTTCCTATTTCTGTGAAGAATGTCATTGGTATTTTGATAACAATTGCATTGAATCTATAGATTGCTTTAGGTAGTATGAACATTTTAACAATATTGATCCTTCCAACCCATGAGCATGGACTATCTTTCCATTTTTTTGTGTGTGTCCTCTTCAATTTTTTTCATCAGTGCTTTATAATTTTCATTGTAGAGATCTTTCAATTCTTTGGTTAACTCCTAGGGATTTTACTTTTAGCTACTGAAAATATTAATTTCTTGATTTCTTTTGTCAGATTGTTTGCTGTTGGCATATAGAAATGCTATTGATTTTTCTATGTTGATTTTGTATCCTGCAACTTTACTGAATTTGTTTATCAGTTCTGGTACTTTTTTTGCTGGAGTCTTCAGGTTTTTTCAAACAGAAGATCATATCACATGCAAACAAGGATAATTTGACTTCTTTTTTAATTTGGATGCCCTTTACTTCTTTCTCTTATCTGATTTCTCTTGCTAGGATTTCCAGTACTATGTTGAATAACAGTGGTGAAAGTGGGCACCCTTGTCATATTCCAGATCTTAAAGGAAAGGCTTTCTGTTTTTCCCCATTCGGTATGATACTAGCTGTGAGTCTGTCATATATGGCTTTTATTGTATTGAGGTATGTTCCTTCTGTACTCAGTTTTTGAGGGTTTTTATCATGGAAGGGATGTTGAATTTTATCAAATGCTTTTTCAGCACCAGTTGAAATGATCATATGGTTTTTGTCCTTCATTCTCTTGATCTGATATATCACATTGATTCATTTGCGCATGTTTAACCGTCCTTGCATTTCTAAGATAAATCCCACTTGGTCATGATGTATTGTCTTTTTAATGTGTTGCTGAAATCAGTTTGCTAGTATTTTGTTGAGGATTTTTGCATCAATGTTCAGCAAGGATATTGGCCTGTAGCTTTCTTTTTTTTTTTTTTTTTGATGTGTCTTGGTCTGGTTTTCGTATCAGGGTAATATTGCCCTCCTGGAATGAGTTTGGAAGTATTCCCTCTTCCTCTATTATTTGGAATAGTTTAATTAGGATTGGTATTAGTTCTTCTTTAATTGTTCAGTAAAATTCAGCAGTGAAGCCATTGGGTTCTGAGCTTTTCTTTGCTCGGAGACTTTTTATTACAGCTTCAATCTCATTACCTGCTATTAGTCTGTTCAGGTTTTGGATTTCTTCATGGTTCAATCTTGGTAGGTTGTATTTTCTAGGAATTTATCTATTTCTTCTAGGTTTTCTAATTTATTGGCATATAGTTGCTCACAGTAGCTTCTAATGATCCTTTGAATTTCTCCAGTATTGGTTATAATGTCTCTTTTTTCATCTCTGATTTTACTTATTTGGGTCTTCTCTTTTTTTCTTAGTCTAGCTAAAAGTTTGCTGATTTCATTTTTTTAAAAAACTGATTTTTTTATTTTGTTAATCTTTTGTATCATTTTCTTCATTTCATTTATTTCTGCTCTGATCTTTATTATTTATTTTCTTCTAATAATTTTGAGTTTGGTTTGCTCTTTTCTAGTTCTTTTAAGATGCATCATTAAATTGTTTATTTGAAGTTTTTCTTCTTGTTTGATGTAGGTGCTTATAGCTATAAACTTTCCTTTTAGTACTGCTTTTGCCATATCCCATGGGCTTTGATGTGTTGTGTTTCCATTATCATTTATTTCAAGAAACTTTTAAATTTTCTTCTTAATTTCTTCATTGACCTAGTGATCATTCAGGAGCATGTTGTTTTATTTCTGTGTTTGTATAGTTTCCAAAATTCCTCCTTATTGATTTCTAGTTTTATTCCATTGTGGTTAGAGAAGATATCTTATATAATTTTAATTTTTTGAATGTTTTAAGACTGGTTTATGGCCTAACATGGTCTATGCTTGAGAGTGATCTATGTGCTGAGGAAAAGAATGCGCATTCTGCAGCCATTGGATGAAATGGTCTGTATATATCTATTATGTCCATTTGATCTGTAGTGCAGATTAAGTCTGATAGTTCTTTGTTGATTTCTATCTGGATAGTCTGTCCAGTGCTGAAAGTAGAATGTTGAAATCTCCAGCAATTATTCTATTGGGTCTATCTCTCTCTTTTACTGTAATAATATTTGCTTTATGTATCTGGGTGCTCCAACATTGGGTGCATACATGTTGACAATTATTATATCCTCTTGCTGAATTGACCCCTTTATCATCATGTAATGACCTTGTTTGTCTCTTTTTATAGTTTTTGTCTTGAAGTCTATTTTGTCTATAGCTAGTCCAGCTCTTTTTTGGTTTCCATTTGCATGAATATATTTTTCCATCTATTTTCAGTCTATGTGTGTCTTTATAGATGAAGTGTGTTTCTTGTAGGCAATGGATTTTTGGGTCTTGTTTTTTTGTTTGTTTGTTTGCTTGTTTTTATAATATATTCAGCCACTCTGTCTTTTGATTGGAGAGCTTTACATTCAAATGTTAGTCCATTTACATTCAATGTTATTATTGATAAGTAAGGACTTAGTCCTGCTATTTTGTTATTTCCAGGTTGTTTTGTGGTCTTCTTTTCCTCCTTTCCTGCCTTCCTGTCTTCCTTTTTGGGAAGGTGGTTGTCTCTAGTGGTATGTTTTAATTTCTTGCATTTTACTTTTTATGTATCTGTTGTATGTTTTTTGATTTGAGGTTGCCATGAGGCTTGCAAATAATATAACATATTACTTTAAGCTGATGACAAATTAACACTGATTGCATAAACAAACAGGCCAAGAGAAAGTTAGTACTCTACACTTTAACTTTGTCCCCCTGCTTTTTTAACTTTTTGCTGTTTTTACTTTTTAATTTATTTATTTATTTATTTTTGAGATGGAGTCTCGCTGTCACCAGGCTGGAGCGTAGTGGCGTGATCTCAGCTCACTGCAACCTCCGCCTCCCAGGTTCAAGCGATTCTCCTGCCTCAGCTTCCCAAGTGTCACACGCGCACGTGTGAAGAGACCACCAAACAGGCTTTGTGTGAGCAGCAAGGCTGTTTATTTCACCTGGGTGCAGGCGGGCTGAGTCCAAAAAGAGTCAGCAAAGGGTGGTGGGATTATCATTAGTTCTTGTAAGTTTTGGGATAGGTGGTGGAGTTAGGAGCAATGTTTTGCGGGCAGGGGGTGGATTTCACAAAGTACATTCTCAAGGGTGGGGAGAATTACAAAGAACCTTCTTAAGAGTAGGGGAGATTACAAAGTACATTGATCAGTTAGGGTGGGGCAGAAACAAATCACAATGGTGGAATGTCGTCAGTTAAGGCTATTTTCACTTCTTTTGTGGATCTTCAATTGCTTTAGGCCATCTGGATGTATACATGCAGGTCACGGGATATGATGGCTTAGCTTGGGCTCAGAGGCTTGACACCGAGTAGCTGGGACTACAGGCTTGCGCCACTCCACGCCCAGCTAATTTTTTTGTATTTTTAGTAGAGACAGGGTTTCACCATGTTGGCCATGATGGTCTGGATCTCCTGACCTTGTGATCTGCCCGCCTCGGCCTCCCAAGGGGTTGGGATTACAGGCGTGAGCCACTGTGCCCAACCTGCTGTTTTTATTTATATTTTATTGTACTGTGTCTTGAAACATTGTTTTAGTTATTGATGTATTTATATTGATTCATCTTCTCATCTTTCCTTTTTTTTTTTTTTTTGAGACAGAGTCTCGCTCTTGTCACCAGGCTGGAGTGCAGTGGCACAATCTCGGCTCACTGCAACCTCTGCCTCCCGGGTTCAAGCGATTCTCCTGCCTCAGCCTCCTGAGTAGCTGAGACTACAGGCATGTGCCACCATGCCTAGCTAATTTTTGTATTTTTAGTAGAGATGGCGTTTCACAGTGTTGGCCAGAATGGTCTCATCTGTTGACCTCGTGATCTGCCCACCTCAGCCTCCCAAAGTGGTAGGATTACAGGTGTGAGCCACTGCACCCAGCCCTTCTTCTCGTCTTTCTATTCAAGATATGAGTAGTTTACACACCACAATTACAGTGTTATAACATTCTGCATTTTCTGTGTACTTTCTATTACCAGTGAATTTTGTACTTTCACATGATTTCTTATTGTTCATTAACGTCCTTTTTTCAGGTTGAAGGACTCTCTTTAGCATTTTTTTGTAGGACAGGTCTGGTGTTGATGAAATCTCTCAGCTGTTGTTTGTCTGGGAAAGCCTTTATTTCTCCTTCATGTTTGAAGGTTATTTTCACCAGATATACTATTCTAGCATAAAAGTTTTTTTCCTTCAGCACTGTAAATATGTCGTGCCACTCTTTCCTGGCATGTAAAATTTCCACTGAAAAGTCTGCTGCCAGACATATTGGAGCTTCCATTGGTATGTTGTTTCTTTTCTCTTGCTGTGTTTAAATGGATCCTTTCTTTATCATTGACCTTTAGGAGTTTGATTATTAAGTGTCTTGAAGTAGTCTTATTTGGTTTAAATCTACTTGGTGTTCTATAACCTTCTTGTACTTGAATATCAATATCTTTCTCTAGGTTTGGGAAGTTCTCTATTGTTATCCCATCGAATAAACTTTCTACCCCTGTCTCTCTACCTCCTCTTTAAGGCCAATAAGTGTTAGATTTGCCCATTTGAAGCTATTTTCTAGATCTTACAGGCATGCTTCATTCTTTCTTACTCATTTTTCTTTTGTCTCCTCTTACTGTGTGTTTTCAAATAGCCTATCTTCAGGCTCACTAATTCTTTCCTCTGCTTGATCAATTCTGTTGTTCAGTGACTGAACAGACTGGGGGTGGTGGCTCATGCCTACAATCCTAGCATTTTGGGAGGCCAAAGCATGAGGATCACTTGAGCCCAGGAGTTTGAGACCAGTTTGAGACCAGCTTGGGCAACGTAGTGAGACTACCATCTCTACAAAAACATTAAAAACTTAGTTAGGTATGGTGGCATGCACCTGTGGTCCCTGCTCTTTGGGAGGCTGAGGTAGGAGGATCACTTGAGCCTGGCAGGTCGAGGCTGCAGTGAGCCATGATCACACCACTGCATTCCAGCCTGGATTACAGAGACTCTGTCTCAAAAAAAAAAAAAAAAAAAAAGACTGATGCATTCTTTAGTTTGTCCGTTGCATTTTTCAGCTCCAGAATTTCGGCTCTATTCTTTTGAATTATTTCAGTCTCTTTGTTAAATTTATCTGATAGCATTCTAAATTCTTTCTCTGTGTTATCTTGAATTTCATTGAGTTTCCTGAAAACAGCTATTCTGAATTCTCTATCTGAAAGGTCACAGATTTCTGTGTCTCCAGGATTGGTCCCTGGTACTGAGTTCAATTTGGTGAAGTCATGTTTTCCTAGATGGTCTTAATGCCTGTGAATGTTTGTTGATGTCTAGGCAGTGAAGAGTTAGGTATTTATTGCAGTCTTAGCAGTCTGAGCTTGTTTATACCTGCCCTTTTTGGCAAGACTTTCCAGGTATTTGAAGGGACTTGGGTGTTGTGATCTAAGTTTTTGGTCACTGCAACCATATCTGCATCAGGGGGCATGCCAAGCCCAGTTAACACTGTGGCTCTTACAGAATCATAGAGGTACCACCTTGATGGTCCTAGATAAGATCCAGAAGAATTCTCTGGATTACCAGGTAGAGACTCTTGTTGTCTTACTTTCTCCCAGAGTCTTTCTGTGCTGAGTTGCCTGGAGCTAGGGGAGGGGTGACACAAGCACCCCTGTGGCTACCACCACTGGGACTGCGCTGGGTCAGACGAAGCCAGCACAGCACTGAGTCTCACCCAAGGCCCACAGTAACCACTGCCTGGCTATCACCTGTGTTCACTGAAGGCCCTATCACTCTACAGTCAGCAGGTGGCAAAGCCAGCCAGTCTTGTTTCCTTCCCTTTAGAGTAGCAAGTTCCCCCCAGCCACGGGCAGGTCCAGAGATGCCATCCAGGAACCAGGGCCTAGAGTCAGAAACCTTAGGAATGTACTTGGTATTCTACGGTGGCTGGACTGGCACCCAAGCCACATGGCAAAGTCCTTCCCACTCTTCCCTCCCCTTTCCACAGGCAGAGGAATTTCTCCCCGTGGCTACCACTGACCCAGGCCCATGGCAAGTATGGCCTGGCTACCGCCAGTGTTCATTCCAGGCCCAAGGGCTCTTCAGTCAGCTTGTGGTGAATGTTGCCAGGCCTGGGATTCTCCCTTCAGGCAGCAAGCTCCCCTTCGGCCCAGGGCAGGTCCAGA
Organism: Homo sapiens; assembly: GCF_000001405.40. Taxonomy (NCBI): domain Eukaryota; kingdom Metazoa; phylum Chordata; class Mammalia; order Primates; family Hominidae; genus Homo; species Homo sapiens. Next base: position 37,431,767 of record NC_000019.10, on the reverse strand, counting down.
AATACCATGCAAGAGGCAAGGCCTGGAATTGGGGACCCCAAGAACCCACTTGGTGCTGTACCCCATTGTGGCCAAGTTGGTACCAAAGTTCCCTATACTTTGCCCTCTCCTTTTCTCAAGCAGGAGTCTCTCCTTGTAGCCACCACACGGGAAATGTGCTGGGTCACACCTGAAGCCAGCATGTCTCTGAGTCTCACCCAAGGCCCATGGTGAGTACTACCTGGCTACCACTGCTGACTGTTCAGGGCTCAAGGGCTCTTTAGTCAGTAGGTGATAAATGCTGCGAAGACTGAGTTCTTCCTCTCAAGGCAACAGGTTCCCTTCTGGTCCAGGGTGTGTGTAGAAGTTGCATCCAGGAGCTAGCGCATGGAATGGGGGCCTCTGCCTGGTGCCCTATCATACTGTGGCTGAGCTGGTATCCAAGGTGCAAGACAAAGTCCTCTTTACTCTTCCTTCTCCTCTTCTCAAGTGGAAGGAAGGGGTCTCTCCTGGAGCTGCGAGCTGCACTACCTCGGGTTAGGGAAAGGGTGGCACAAGCACTCCCTTGGCTACCCTGGCTGGTGTCTCACTGGGTCCCATGACCCCCTAGTCCACTGGCTCCAAGCCCAGCACAGCACCAGGACTTGCCCAGGAATTGCAATTCCTGTGGCCTAGACTGCCTTTCAAGTTCACTTAGGATCCTAGAGCCCTTTAGCCCATGGTGGTGAGGCTTGCCAGAATTCAGGTTCCTACTGCTACAATGGACAATTCCCCTAGACTGGCTGGGGCTGGTCCAAATACTTCTGGTGTGGGCACCAACTGGGTTCTCCCTGGTGTTGCCTTCTGCTGTGACAGGGCACCACTGAGTTCCAATGAAAAGTCCTGCAATCACTCTGGTCTCCCTCCTGCGGGTGCACAGATTCTCTCTCAGAACCATATGGCCACTGCCGGAGAATAGGGGAGGGATGGCGTTAGCAATTCACGATCAGCAATTCACGACTGTCTTTCCTACCCTCCTCAGTGCCTCTTTCAGTGATGTGAAGTTAAAACCAGATACTGTGACTGCTGACCTGATTTTTGGTTATGATGAAGGTGCTTTTTTGTGTGGATAGTTGTTCAATTTGGTGTTCCTGTGGGGAGTATGATCGGTGGAGGCTTCTATTGGGCCCTCTTTCCCTACTTCCTCTCTGATAGTTTTTTTTTTCTTTCAGAACTTTGAATATGTTGTCCCATTGCTATTTGTCCTCCATTGTGTTTGATGAGAAGTCAGCTATTAGTTTTATTGTGGTTGGTGAAGATAATGAATTATTTTCCCTTGCTGTTTTCAAGATTTTCTCTTTATATTTATTTTCAACATTTTGACTATGATGTGTTTAGGTGTGTACCTTGTTGCGTTTATCCTACTTGGAATTCATTGAGCTTGAATATGTACATTAATGTTTTTCATCAAATGTGGGAAGTTTTCAGCCATTATTTCTTTGATTTTTTCTGTCCTTTTCTCTCTCCTCTCTAACTTATACTTAAATTATGCATATGTTAATGCACTTATTGCTCTAGCTCACATTTCTGAGTCTATATTCTTTTTTTTTTTTTTGAGATAGGGTCTCACTCTGTCACCCAGGCTGGAGTGCAGTGGCACAATTATAACTCACTGTAACCTTGAACTCTTGGGCTAAATCAATCCTCCCACCAATGTCTCCTGAGTGGCTAGGACTATAGGCATGTGCCACCACACCTAGCTGATTTCTTAAATTTTTTGGTAGAGATAGGGTCTCATCATCTTGCCCAGGCTGATCTTGAACTCCTAGCCTCAAGTGATCCTCCCACCTTGGCCTCCCAAAGCACTGGGATTACAGGCGTGAGCCACTGTGTCCAGCCTGTATTCATTTTTCTACATCCTTTTTTCTGTCTCTTCTTCAAATTGCATCATTTTTAGTGATCTGTCTTCAAGTTTACTAATACTTTTTTCTGCCAACTCAGACCATCCTGAAGTTGTGAGAAAGTCTCAGCCAGGCCAAAGGGGAGTTGCTGACCAAAGCTTTCCCACTAGAGGAAAACCATATCAAGTGTAATAGTCCAGACTTTAATAGCCTCACTATGCTGAGCCTGTGGCTGGAAGCAGTGTTGGGGTGTCATGACCTCAGCATGAAAGTGGAGCAGCTGGAGGCTGTTTGCCAACTATGCTTCTCACAGTGGATTCCCTTAAAGAGGATTCGAGCACCATCCCTTCATAGCTGCCAAAGGATGGCCAGATCTGGCATGAACATATTAATCTGTTAGTATTACACTTGACTGCCTGTGATAGAAAGCCCAGATAACCTTTGCTTAAACAAGACATAAGTTTATTTGTCTCTCATATTGAAGTTCAAGGCTGGTCCTGTAGCTCCAAAGGGCAGAGAACGAAACTCTTTCTCCTTCATTGCTCTGCCATTCTTGGTTGTTGGCTTCTGCCTTATTATCTCAAATGGCTCTGTTTGCTCTCGACTCTGGTAAGTCGCATTGACTTACCAGTCTACAGGAAGGTAGAAGCTTAGGAGAAATGGTATACCTCGTGCCTTTATGTTCACTTATCAGCAGTTGCATGCAGTCCTTTCATCTCACTGTCCAGAACATTATCATATAAACATATTAATACTTATTTCAGCAGACCATGTGCCTGGCCAGAAATTGGGAAGACAGAATAAATATTGGAATAGAAGAATAACAGTGGGTGCTATAGTATTGCACTGTTGGGATTTTCTTCTTTTTTTTAAGATCAGTCTTAGGCTTATGTTTCCCTTTAACCTATTCATTTCATTATGAATTTAAAAATTTCAGGCTGGGTGTGGTGGCTCACACCTGTAATCCCAGCACTTTGGGAGGCCGAGGCAGGCAGATCATTTGAGGTTAGGAGTTAGAGACCAGCTTGGCCAACATGGGAACACCGTCTCTACTGAAAATACAAAAATTAGCTGGGTGTGGTGGCGCACGCCTGTAGTTCTAGCTATTTGGGAGACTGAGGCAGGAGAATCACTTGAATCCAGGAGACGGAGGTTGTAGAGAGCCAACATCACGCCACACTGCACTCCAGCCTGGGCAACAGGGCGAGACTCTATCTCAAAAAAAAAAAAAAAAATTCAACCACAGATATATACTACTTTAAATATCAATTAGTTTTAATGTTTTTTCCTAATTTGGGATGTTTATTTTTCTTCCTTAAACTTACTAAACATTTGCCTAATTCATTCTTCTTAAACTATCAGCTTTTTTTTTTTTTTTTTTTTTAAGAGACAGGGTCTTGTTCTATTGCCCAGGCTGCTCTAATGCAGTGGTGAGATCATGGCTCACTGCAGTCAAACTCCCAGGCTTAAGCAGTCTTCCCACCTCAGCCTCCCAAGTAGCTGGGACTATAGCCACGCACCACCATACACGGCATTCATTCATTCATTCATTCATTCATTCATTTATTGTAGAGATGAGGTTTTGCTATGTTGCCCAGACTGGCCTTGAACTAGCCTCAAGCAGTTCTCCCACCTCGGCTTCCCAAAGTGGTAGAATTACAGGCGTGAGCCACCGCGCCTAGCTCCAGCTTTTAAATATGGAGATTTGTGTATATGTAAGTTCTAAATTTTTCACTTTAAATTGTTTCTGTTTTTGCATTTACTAAATTCTTTTTCCCAAGTATTTTCTTCAAATGTATTTTAATGATTTCTTTTGGGATTCTCTCACTCTTGAGCTAGGGGCAATTAGGATTTTCTTGTAAAATCTTTGGTGCTGATTTTTAAAATTTATTTACTAGTTTAATGATCTGACCTCCTGAAGAAAATACAACTTCCTGAGGAAAAAGTCTGCAGCTGAGGTAGTCCCAGCAAGAGTGTGTTTCTTATGTGCTCATGTTCTTCCCTGTAATTGGTGAAACTATTATACCAGGGCCAGATTTCCACATCATGCTTTCTCCTCAGTCCCACTTCCTCACCAAATGCTTTATCCAGGCTTATTTGGATCTTCCTCCCAGATGAGGGGAAATATTAAAAACCCCTGGATTTCAGGGTTTTTTTCCTCTGACACTTTGCCTTTTGCTTCTTGAACATGTTTATTGCAAGCATCATGATTTTCAGCAGGAAGGGCTTTCAGGAGCTGATCTCCCATCAGTACCACAGCTTTCTCTGAGCCCTTAGTGTTAATGGATGTTCATGCTCATAAGTTCCTTTTAGGACCTAGAAACAAATTCTTAGATACATTGTGAACGAGCTATTGGAGACTTTCTTTTTTCTCACCTAGTTTCTGGTAGAAATTCCTGAAACAGTAGGAAATATGGATTGCTCCCTTTTTTCCAGGCTGAGTGCTATTTAAGATTTTTTCTTATGTTCATATACGTTTGGGCATTTCTGTTTTGAACTAGGAAGAGTGCATTAGATTTCTATATTCAAATCACATTGCCTTTAAGAAGTTCACCAGTTTTTTTGAAATTCATTCAATAGCTTTTTTTTTTTGAGACAGGGCCTTGCTCTGCCACCCAGGCTGGAGTGTAGTGGTGCAATCACGACTCACTGCAACCTCCACCTCCCGGGCTCAAGCAATCCTCCTACCTCAGCCTCCTGACTAGCTGGGACTACAGATGCACACCACCACACCTGGCTAATTTTTGTATTTTTTGTACAGACGGTTTCGCCACATTGCCCAGGCCCGTCTCAAAACTCCTGGGCTCAAGGGATTTTCACGTCTCAGTCTCCTAAAGTGCTGGGATTACAGGCATGAGCCATGTAATACCCAGCCATTCTACAGCTTTTTAAATACACAGTTTCAGTTATAATTCTATTTCTGACCATTAAAAAACAAATTGTCATCAGGGCATGTGTTTTTTCATGGTTGTCTCTGAGATTCTATCTGTGGCCCCTTTTCCAGTACATGTAAACTATTTGAACAATCAGATCCCATTTTCATGGCTGCAGACACATACTACAGGCTGATGACCCATAAATCTTCATTTCCAATGTGGATTTCTCCTGATCTCATGAACAATACATCCAACTGCTAAATCAGTGGCTATCTCCAGTTGCATGTCCCACCATACCACAGATTTCACCTATCATTCTGTCCCCTGCTTCTGCTTCCATCTAAGCCTTGCTTTCATTTTTTCCTGCCTTTGGTATCTTGTGAGATCTCAAACCACTTAACTTGGTTAAAGTTTTATTTTTATGTTTCTTTCACACTCAATATAAATTGGTACCTAAAATCTCCCCTTTAACTCATGGTAGATATTAAAGACATGTGCTTGCTAATCAGTGAATGAACATAAATGACAGGATGCTGCTAATATGATGGGCTTTTTTAATAACCTCTGATTAATATCAGAACAAGGTTCAATATATTTTGTTTACAATCACCCAAGATGGATGACTTCAGATTGAGTGGGAGTGTGTTGTTACAGGGAACAGTAACATTCAAAGATGTGGCTATCGACTTCACTCAGGAGGAGTGGAAGAGATTGGATCCTGCTCAGAGAAAACTGTACCGGAATGTGATGCTAGAAAACTATAACAACTTAATCACAGTAGGTAAGAGTAATTTACTATATAATTCAAACTCTGGAAAGAAAGTACCTTTTTTTTCCTCCCAGTGTTTCTGAAATACATGGACCTTTTAAATATTAGAGTGAGCTTGGCCTTGGGATGCTTTTGCTCATGTGAATGTCCATGCTGCAGTTTTCAGAGCAAAAGGGGACAGAACCCCCGAAGCCACATTTTCTTGTCCTTTAGCCTGGTTTTCCTGGGCCAGCCTCAATTTTTGGGTGGTTCTTTGTTCCTAGTATGTATGCCCAAATCTATGTAACTTCCCTTTGACAGGCTATCCGTTCACCAAACCTGATGTGATTTTCAAATTGGAGCAAGAAGAAGAACCATGGGTGATGGAGGAAGAAGTATTAAGGAGACACTGGCAAGGTTAGTGGAAGGGAACCAGACAGGTGAGGAGAGGTCAGGGCCTATTAATGATTAATCAGTGAATGGTTGATCCCTCTAAAATATTCTTCAAAGATATTTTCAGAGGTTGGCACAGTGGTTCATACCTATAGTCCCAGCACTTTGGGAAGCCAAGGTGGAAGGATTGCTTGAGTCCAGGAGTTTGGGACCAGCCTGGGCAACATAGTGAGACCTCATCTCTTAAAAAAAAAAGAGAAAAGAAAAATTGGGCCTGGCACAGTGGCTTGCGCCTGTAATCCCTGCACTTTAGGAGGCCGAGGTGGGCGGATCATGAGGTCAGGAGATCACAACCATCCTGGCTAACACGGTGAAACCCCATCTCTACTAAAAATACAAAAAATTAGCTTGGCGTGGTGACACGCGCCTGTAGTCCCAGCTACTTGGGAGGCTGAGGCAGGAGAATCGCTTGAACCCGGGAGGCAGAGGTTGCAGTGAGCCAAGATTGCGCCACTGCACTCCAGCCTGGGCGACAGAGCAAGACTCTGTCAAAAAAAAAAAAAAAAAAAAAAATTAGCCACGTGTGGTGGCATACGCTTATGATCCCAGCTGCTTGGAAGGCTGAGGTGGGAGGATCACTTGAGCCTAGGAGGTTGAGGCTACAGTAAGCCATGATCACAGCACTGCACTCTAGCCTAGGCAACGGAGTGAGACCCTGTCTCAAAAAATATATATATATTTTCAGAAAGCATGTAGACCTTTTGTGTGTGTATGTGTGTGACAGAGTGAGACTCTGTCACTGTGGAGTACAGTGGCGCGATCTCGGCTCACTGCAACCCCCACCTCCCAGGTTCAAGTGATTTTCCTGCCTCAGCCTCCTGATAGCTGGGACTACAGGCACGTGCCACCACACCCTGCTAATTTTTTGTATTTTTAGTAAAGACAGGGTTTCACCATGTTAGCCAGGATGGTCTTGATCTCCTGACCTCGTGATCTGCCTGCCTTGGCCTCCCAAAGTGTTGGGATTACAGGCATGAGCCACCATGCCCGGCTTTTTTTTTTTTTTTTTTTTTTTTGAGACAGAGTCTCACTCTGTCACCCAGGCTGGAGTGCAGTGGTGCAATCTTGGCTCACTGCAACCTCTGGCTCCTGGGTTCAAACGATTCTCATGCCTCAGCCTCCCGAGTAGCTGGGACTATAGGCATGCACCACCATGCCTGGCTAACTTTTTGGTATTTTTAGTAGGGATGGGGTTTCACTATGTTGGCCAGGCTGGTCTTGAACTCCTGACCTCAAGTGATCCGCCCACCTCAGCCTCCCAAAGTGCTGAGATTACAGGCGTGAGCCACCGCGCCTGGCCTGATGTACACTTTTGTAGTACAAAAGTGACCATTGATGCAAACTCTTTTATAAACCTAAGATGTCATTTCTAGATACCATTCTTAATTTCTTTCCTCAGAACTTAGAGATCTGGTTGGCTTTCTTACCTGTGTGCTAGATACCAACCTTTCCTAATAAGTTTCCAGGCTTACTTTGATATTCATTCTATTATTAGCATCTTCGGGAGTACCATCCACCCTCATATACAGGATCCTTTCTTTTTGCATACATTCACTAATTTGCAGTTGTTAAATCAAACCTACTGACATTTATAGTCCCTTACTTTCTCTTCTTTCTTCCATTGTAAATGTCTGAAATGTCGTACAGTCATACTTCCCACTGTATTTTTAGGTTTTACTCTCATACTTCAATAATCACTACCACCCTTTATTTCAATAAAAGTTTTAAGTCAGTGCTGATTTTTTGGTAGCTCCCATTTTCTGATATATTTGTCATGTACATATGCAAGTGTATGTAATGTAGGTGTGCATCTATATATACCCACATATACATATATACATATACATATATATGTCCATATACACGTATTTTGAATTTTATAAAGTCATTTTTGCCCTCCAAAGAGACTGTAATAATTTATATTTCCACCAGTAACTTCAACCAGTGTAGTCTGTTAGCATTTAAAAAAATCGTTGCCAAACTGAGGTGAAAAATGGTAGCTAATTATAGCTTGAATTTACATTTCCTTTATGATGAGTGAAGGCAAGCATCTTTTCATGTTTCCAATCTATATTTCTTTGTTTTAATAAACAGTTGGTATCCTTTGCCCTTGTTTCTGTCAAGTTCTTAATTTGTATGAACTCTTAACATATTGAGCTGATTGGCACATCATCTGTCATATGTTTTTCTTGTGTTTTTTTCCCAAAGAGATTATTCCTCGTTGAAGTACTTTTTTGCCACCTCGACTTTTTAAAATAATTCATGTAGTTAAAACAATCTGTTCCTATAGGAGATTATCACAATTTTTAAAATGTATATGGTTCAATTATGTTTAGATATTTCTCAATAATGACTCATCCTCTTATGTTTGCTATGAATTTAAATAATTGTTTATACTTTTAAAGTTTTTAATGTCAATGTTAGACTGGTTTTATAAATAGAATTTGGAAGCTTTCCTTCATGCTCTAGAGCATTTATATAGCATTAGTGTTAAAACTCCCTAGAAAATTTGGTAGATGTTACCTGTTGAACTATTTCGACCTTGTGTATTTCTGAGGGAAGTTTCCTTGACAACTCTTTTCATTTTTCCTTTTATAACTATCCTATGTGTATGTAAATATATTTTTGTCTTTTGGCATTAGTTTTTGATAATAGGTTGTATTTTTCCATGAAATTACCCACTTAATTCTAGTCTTCAAATTTTCAGAGTTGACAAAGTAACTTCCATAAATATTAAAATTTCCTCTGTATCTGTAAAAAGTTACCACACATTGATATTCCAGGATCATCTATTATATTTGAAAATTTGTTTCATCTGTATTTTCAAATGTTTTGGTATGAAATTATTTGTAGTGTTCTCTGATTTTAGCTAACAGTTGCTTGTTTTCCTATTGTTTATTTTTTGTGTGGGATAGGTGGGTAGAGAGGTATTCTTGGAGGTTTGTGCTATGTCCTGTAGACCCAGTGATGCATCAGAATGTCTGTCTTATCCATTACCTTGTTTTGCAGTGTGACATTGCTGTACCGTAATTCTAATGGTGAAAGTTCTATTCCCCCCGCACCATAATATTCTTCATTTCAATGGTGGTTTTCTTTTTCTCTTCCAATTATTTCCTTGGTTCTGCTGGTAAAATTTTATACCCTTTCTGTTTTCTCAATGATTCTTCCTCATGCATTTATACAGGCATATCTCATGTTATTATGCTTTATTTTATTGTGCTTGGCAAATGTTGCATTTTTTTATAAATTGAAGGCTTGTGGCAGCCCTGCATCGAACAAGCCCATTGGCACCATTTTTCCAAAAGCATGTGCTCACTGTGTGTGTCTGTGTCACATTCTTGCAATATTTCAAACCTTTTCATTATATTATTATCTGTTATGGGGATCTGTGATCAGTGATCTTTGATGTTACTGTTGTCATTGTTTTGGGGTGCCACAAACTTCATCCATGTAAGATGGCAGACTTAATTGATGTTAAATGTTGTATGTGTTCTGACTATTCTACTGACCACCCATTCCCGTCTCTCTCCCTTTTTCTGGGTCTCTCTCTTCCCTGAAACACAACAATATTGAAATTAGGGCAATTAATAACCCTACAATGACCTCTAAGTGTTCAAGTGAAAGGAAGAGTCGCACATCTCTCACTTTAAATTAAAAGCTAGGAATGATTAAGCTTAGTGAAGAAAGCATGTTAAAAGCCAAGATAGACCAAAAGCAAAGCCTTTTGTGTTTGCCAAGTTGTGAATGCAAAGGAAAAGTTCTTGAAGTAAATTTAAAGTGCTGGCCAGGTGTGGTGGCTCACGCCTGTAATCCTAACACTTTGGCAGGCTGAGGCCGGTGGATTGCTTGGGCCCAGGAGTTCAAGACCAGACTGGGCAACATGGTGAAACCCTGTCTCTACTAAAAATACAGAAATTAGCCGGATGTAATGGTGCATGCCTGTAGTCCCAGCTGCTTGGGAGGCTGAGACGAGAGGATTGATTGAGTCTAAGAGGTGGAGGTTGCAATGAGCTGAGATCACACTACTGCATCCCAGCCTAGGTGACAGAGCAAGACCCTGTCTCAAAAAAAAAAAAAAAAAAAAAAAAGTGCCACTACAGTATACACACAAATGATAAGATGATAAGAAAGCAAAATAGCCTTATTGTTGATAGGGAGAAAGTTTTAGTTGTCTGGGTAGAAGATCAAACCAGCCACAGCATTCCCTTAAGCCAAAGCATAATCCAGGACAAGCCCCTAATTATCTTCAATTCTATGAAGGCTTAGAGGTGAGGAAGCTGCAGAAGAAAAGTTTGAAGCTAGCAGAGGTAGGTTCATAAGGTTTAAGGAAAGAGCCATCTCCATAACATAAAAATACAAGGTAAAGCAGTAAGAGCCGATGGAAGCTGCAGTAAATTATCCAGAAGATCTAGCTAAGATTATTGATGAGGGTGGCTAACTAAACAATAGCGTTCCGATGTAGATGCAACAGCCTTCTATTGGAAGAAGATGCCATCTAGGACTTTCACAGCTAGAGAGGTGAAGTCAGTGGCTGGCTTCAAAGTTTCAAATGACAGACTGACCCTCCTGTTATGGGCTAATGCAGGTGGTGACTTTAAGTTGGAGCCAGTATTCATTTCCCATTCTGAAAATCCTAGGGCCCTTAGGAATTATGCTAAATACACCCTGCTCGTGCTCTATAAATGGAATAACAAAGCCTGGACGACAGCACATCTGTTTACAGCATTGATTTGCTAAATATTTTAAGCCCACTGTTGATACCTACTGCTCACGAGAAAAAAAAGTTCCTTTGAAAATAGTATTGCTCATTGACAGTGCACTTGGTCACCCAGGAGCTCTAATGGAGATGTACAAGGAGATCAGTGTTGGTTTTCATGCCTGCTAATACAACATCCATTCTGCAGCTCATGGATCAAGCAGTAATTTTGACTTTCAAGTCTTATTATTTACGAAATACATTCTGTAATGTAATAGCTTCCATAGGTAATGATTCCTCTGATGGATCTGGGTAAAGTAAATTAAAAAGTGTAAAAACTGGCTGGAAAGGATTTATGTTTCCAGGTGCTATTATGAATATTCATGACTCAGGAGAGGAGATCAGAATATCAACAGGAGTTTGAAAGAGGTTCATTCGACACTCATGGATGACTTTGAAGGATTCAAGGCTTCAGTGGAGGAAGTAATTGTAGATGTGCAACTAGCAAGAGAAGTAGAATTAGAAGTAGAGCCGGAAGATGTGACTGAATTGCTGCAGTCTCGTGATTGCAGGGATAAGGATTACTTCTTATGGGTGAACAAAGAAAGTCATTTCTTTAGGATCTACTCCTGGTGAAGATGCTGTGCAAATTGTGGAAATCAATGATTTAGAATATTCCATAAATATAATTGATAAAGCAGTGGTAGGATTTGAGAGGAGTGACTACAGTTTTGAAAGAAGTCCTACTGTGGGTAAAGTACTATCAAACAACATCACATGCCACAGAGAAACTTTTTGTGAAAGAAAAGTCAATCAATGTGACTCTTCATTGTTATCTTAAGAAATTGGGGCCGGCGCAGTGGCTCACACCTGTAATCCGAGCACTTTGGGAGGCCGAGGTGGGCAGATCACGAGGTCAGGAGTTCGAGACTAGCCTGGCCAACATAGTGAAACCCCGTCTCTACTAAAAACACAAAAAAAATTAGCCTGGCGTGGTGGCGCACACCTGTAATCCCAGCTACTCAGGAGGCTGAGGCAGGAGAATCGCTTGAACCTGGGAGGCAGAGGTTGCAGTGAGCAGAGATCGAGCCACTGCACTCTAGCCTCTGCACTCTTGCCTGGGCGACAGAGGGAGACTCTGTCTCAAAAAAAAAAAAAAAAAAAAAGAAAGAAAAGAAAAAAGAAATTGCTACAGCCACCCCAACTTTCTGTAATCCCCCCTTGATTAGTCAGCAGCCATCAACATTGAGATTGAGGAAGACACCTATCAGCAAAAAGATTATGACTCACTGAAGGTTCAGATGATTGTTAGCATTTTTAAGCAATATTTTAAAATTAAGGTGTACATTTTTTAGACATGATGCTGTTATATACGTAATAGACTAAGTATATAGTATTAAATTTTTTTTTTTTGAGACGTAGTCTCTCTTAGTTACCCAGGCTGGAGTGCAGTGGCATGATCTCGGCTCACTGCAACCTCCACCTCCCAGGTTCAAACGATTCTCCTGCCTCAGCCTCCCAGTAGCTGGGATTACAGGCGCCTGCCACCACGCCCGGCTAATTTTTTTGAATTTTTAGTAGAGACAGGGTTTCACCATATTGGCCAGGCTGGTCTTGAACCCCTGACCTCAAATGATTCACCCACCTCGGCCTCCCAAAGTGCTGGGATTACAGTCGTGAGCCACCGCACCCAGCCAACATAACTTTTATATGCACTGGGAAACCAAAAATGTTGTGTGACATGCTTTATTGTGGTGGTGTGGAACTGAACCCACAGTATCTCTGAAGTATGCCTGTGTTTCTATTTTGAATTATTGATTTGTAGATTTTAATTTATTATCTTTTTGTATATTCGTTGTAATATATTTAGTCAAGATTATCATTTATGTAAACTATCAGTAAACATACAACCTACAGAATGGGAGAAAATATTTGCAAACTATGCATCTGACACAGTCCTAATATCCAGCATCTATAAGGAACTTAAATTTACAAGAAAAAAACAGCCCTATTAAACGGACATGAACAGACACTTTTCAAGACATAAATATGGCCAAGAAGCTTATGAAAGAAAGTTCAATATCACTGATTGTTAGAGAAATCCAAATCACCATAATGAGATACCATCTCACAACAGTCATAATGGCCATTATTAAAAAGTCAAAAAATAACAGATGCTGGCAGAGAGGAGAAAAATTTCCATTTTCCTATTGGAAGTAAGCAGCAATAGGGAACTGAACATCTCAGCCTTATTAAGTACGTAAACTTTTGCTTGATATCCTTGTTTGAGCCAGTTTAGGTTCCCTGTAGTCTTCTGCCTGGTGTCCCTGACTCTAGAGTCTATCTGGTTCCATTTCTCCAGAAGCAGAGAGTAGTCTTCCCATCTTCTCTTGGGAGTGATAGGTACCTCATTGCACAGTGCAGGCAATTGTTTGCCTTACAGACTTCCATTCAATTTTGTTATTTTTTAGGGCCCCTGTTCATTCCCACCTTTCATGGTGCATGACTTCTCTAATTTCTCAGCCTTTCTTTAGTTATATAGTAGGAACTTGCTTTTTGACATCTTCGTCTGCAGGCACATGGGTTTTAGCGTTCTCGGTTCTTCTGTTAGATAATAGTCCTTTCATCTTCTTCCATCTGCTAAAATTATGTTTACATCTATCATCCATTGTTGTCTGTTATGGTCTTTGTCTTCGTTGGTTTATGCCTTTTAAATGATACCATATTTGTGCACTTTTGGATAGAATCTGAGCTAAACTCATGTATTTATTATACCATATTTAACCTCAACTTCTTACTATTTCTTTTCCCTATGGTCACTATATTTGCCCCTATACAATTAACCTAGGTGGGCCTCTCCAGTTTTATGTTCCAATTCCGTCATCCAGTTTTTAACCTTCCTATTGGTTCTTCTCATTTTATTGATTATTGCAGTGTTCAGAACAATTTTATTTGTTTAGACTGGATATAAACACATACTCATAGAACAGAACTTTATTTTATTATTATTATTATTATTATTATTATTATTATTTGAGATGGAGTCTCACTCTGTTACCCAGGCTGGAGTACAGTGGCGCGATCTTGGCTCACTGCAACCTCCGCCTCCCAGGTTCAAGCGATTCTCCTGCCTCAGCCTCCCGAGTAGCTGGGACTACAGGCACGTGCCACCATGCCTGGCTAATTTTTGTATTTTTAGTAGAGACCGGGTTGCACTATGTTGGCCAGGCTAGTCTCTTAACTCCTGACTTCATGATCCACATGCCTCAACCTGCTGGGATTACAGGCGTGTGCCATCGCACCCGGCCAGAACAGAACTTTTAAAGTACAAAAGGATATATGTTGAAAAGTAATTCTTCTCTTACACATTTTTCCCTTCTATGGTGGCAACCCCCAGTATCATTTTCCTTTGAGCTATTTTCAAACATTTTTATTGAAACCGCTTTAAACTGATATATTAACTTACGAATGTCATCTTTATGCCATTGAATTTTCTTGTCTAAAATGCTTTAATGCCTTTTTCTTAGTTTCCTAGGGCTGCTGAAACAAAGTACCACAAGCTGGGTAACTTAGAAATAACAGGAATTGGCCAGGTGTGGTGGCCCACGCCTGTAATCCCAGCACTTTGAGAGGCCGAGGCGGGTGGATCATCTGAGCTCAGGAGTTTAAGACCACCCAGGGCAACATGGTGAAACCCCATCTCTACTAAAAATACAAAAAAATTAACCACGCCTCTAGTCCCAGCTACTTGGGAGGTTGAGGTAGGAGAATCTTTTGAACCCCAGCGTCGAAGGTTGCAGTGAGCCTAGATCACACCACTGCACTCCAGCTTGGGTTACAGAGTGAGACTCTGTCTCTAAAAAATAAAAAAAATAACTATTCTCACAGTTCTGGAGGCCAGAAATCTAAAATCAAGGTGTCAGTGGGGCCATACTCCCTCTGAAACCTGTAGGGAAGGATTCTTCCTTGCCTCTTTCAGCTTCTGGTATCCCCAGACATTCCTTGGTTTGTGGCAGCATAACTCTACTCTGTCTCTCCATCTTCACATGGCATTTCTTCCATGTCTCTTGTCTCTTCATGTAGCATTCTTCTTCTAAGAACACGAGTCGTATCGCATGGGGGCTTCTCTTATTCCAGTTTGACCTCATCTTAACTAATTTCATCTTCAATGACCCTATTTCTAAATGAAGCCTCATTCTGAGGCACTAGGAGTTAGGACTTCAGTTCAATCCATAACACAATTCAATCCATAACACCATTCTATTTGTTCAAGTCTGTGTGTTCATTTTAAACTTTTCTTCATATGGTTTTTGGACATTTTTTATTTTTGTATATTTTTCATACTTTTTGTTGTCATTGTAAATGTAGTTTTTAATTCTATAATTTCTAAATATAGTCAGCCCTTTCTATCCATGCTTTCTGCAACTACAAATTGAAAATATTCAGGGGAAAAAAGCAACAAAAAATAACAATACAACAATAAAAAATAATACAAATTTTAAATTATAGTATAACAATGATTTACATAGCATTTATATTGTATTCAGTATTATAAGTAATCTGGAGATTATTTAAAGTATACAGAAAGATACACATAAGTTATAAGAAAATACTTTTATCATTTTATGTAAGGCATTGAGCATCCATGGATTTTGGTATCCACGGGAGGTCCTGGAACCAGTCCCCAATAGATAATGAGGGATGACTGTAGTTGTTTGTATATGAAGGTTTTTAAAAATAAATATCAATTCATATGTAGTGAATTTCTTACTTTTCACAATTGTTCAGATGACTTGATTTTTCAGGTAAACAGTTTTGTTTCTGACAAATAATGTTAATTTTCATTTTCTTTTCCTGTTTTTTTTTTTTGTTTTTTTGTTTTTTTGTTTGTTTGTTTTGTGTTTTGACACACAGTCTTAATCTTTCCCCCAGGCTAGAGAGCAGTGGTGATCTCTGCTCACTGCAACCTTAACCTCCCAGGCTTAGGTGATCCTCCCATCTCAGCCTCCCTAGTAGCTGGGACTATAGGCTTGCACCACTACACCCAGCTAATTTTTGTATCTTTTGTAGAAATGGGGTTTTGCCATGTTGCTCAGTCTGGTCTTGAACTCCTGAGCTCAAGAGATCTGTTTGCCTCAGCCTCCCAAAGTGCTAGGATTACAGGCGTGAGCCACTGCACTCACGCCTTTTAATTAAGAAAAGAGGGGCAACTCTTTTCTTAATATTCTTTTTTTTTTTCTTTTTCTTTTTTCTTTTGAGACAGAGTCTCACTCTGTCGCCCAGGCTGGAGTGCAGTGGCGTGATCTTGGCTCACCGCAACCTCTACCTCACAGGTTCACGCCATTCTCCTGCCTCAGCCTCCCAAGTAGCTGAGACTAGAGGTGCCCGCCACCATGCCCAGCTAATTTTTTTTTTTTTTTTGTATTTTTAGTAGAGATGGGGTTTCACTGTGTTAGCCAGGATGGTCTCAATCTCCTGACCTCGCGATCCGCCCGCCTTGGCCTCCCAAAGTGCTGGGATTATAGGCATGAGCCACCGCGCCCGGCCTCTTAATTTTCATACCTCTGATTTATTTCTCTTATTTAATTGTACTACCTAGTACTGCAATGAGTGGTGACA
Source organism: Homo sapiens (assembly GCF_000001405.40). Taxonomy (NCBI): domain Eukaryota; kingdom Metazoa; phylum Chordata; class Mammalia; order Primates; family Hominidae; genus Homo; species Homo sapiens. The sequence continues at coordinate 37,415,516 of NC_000019.10, read as the reverse complement.
ACTCATCTTTTCTTATTTCTGACTTTAATGTGAATGCTTCTGGATGTTTTCCATTAAGTAAAGTGCTGGTGTTTGGGCTGTACTGTACTTTATTCTCAAATTAAATGTTATTTGTTCCTATTTTATATAAAGGATTTTTAAATGAAAAATAGATGTTGAGTTTTATTATCTTAATATCTACAGAAATGATTACTTGATTTTTTCATTTTTTCAAATGTCATTACTTGACATTTTTCATTAATTTATTTATAGTAATATACTTTCTATTATCGAAACGTATCCCTGGAAAAAATGTACTCAACTCAAATATGATATATTTTATATTTAATGTGCTTCTGGGTCACTTTTTTCCTTTTGGGTCATTTTGATGTTTTACATAGAATTTTTACAATGGTTTTCATAAATGAAATCGGATAGTTTGCTTTTTTGGTGTGTCATCTTTGTCAGGTTTTGGTATTAATATATGTTTCATACACAAAAACATCAGGAATTTTTGTCTTTTTTCTTTCACAACATTTTAGACAGCATAGGAGTTGTCCTTTAAAATCTGTTAGAATTTTCATGTGGATCTCTGGGTTTTTCCTTTTTGTTTTAGGGAATTACTTTTCATATTTCTTTTCATTTTATGGAAATTGGTTTAGATAAGTTTTTTGCATCTTGTAGTGTCAGTTTTAGTAATTTACAATCCAGAAAAGTGTTTAGATTATAAAAATGTATTTTAATAGAGTCCCGCAAAATGATCTTATACTTTTTAGCTTCCTGTTTTTGTTTTTTCTCTATCATTATTTCTTCTTACTTCATTTGTACATTCTGCATTTCCTATTTATTTACCTATTTGTTTTCTATCAGATCATTTTTTAAAGCAATCAAAGCTATTTGTATTTATAAATATATGCCTCTACTCATATTTCCTTTCCTGAATTTCCTTCTCAGAACTTCAGAGATAAGAGATATATGCAGTTGAAAATGTTTTAATAGTGGGAGAGTAGGGCTTAAACCAATAATCAGTCCCATAATTGCATATTTTTCAAAATGTTCTTCATATTACAATATTGGAAAAAAATTTGTAAGTGATATTTATTTGCAATCTGTTTTAGGAGAAATATGGGGAGTTGATGAGCATCAGAAAAACCAGGACAGACTTTTGAGACAAGTTGAAGTTAAATTCCAGAAAACACTGACTGAAGAAAAAGGCAATGAATGTCAAAAGAAATTTGCAAATGTATTTCCTCTGAACTCTGATTTTTTCCCTTCCAGACACAATCTCTATGAGTATGACTTATTTGGAAAGTGTTTAGAACATAATTTTGACTGTCATAATAATGTGAAATGCCTTATGAGAAAGGAGCATTGTGAATATAATGAACCTGTGAAATCATATGGTAATAGCTCATCCCATTTTGTCATTACCCCCTTTAAGTGTAATCATTGTGGAAAAGGCTTCAATCAGACTTTGGACCTCATCAGACATCTGAGAATTCATACTGGAGAGAAGCCCTATGAATGTAGTAACTGTAGAAAAGCCTTCAGTCACAAGGAAAAACTTATTAAACATTATAAAATTCACAGTAGGGAGCAGTCTTACAAATGTAATGAATGTGGTAAAGCTTTCATTAAAATGTCAAATCTCATTAGACATCAAAGAATTCATACTGGAGAGAAGCCCTATGCATGTAAGGAATGTGAGAAGTCCTTCAGCCAGAAATCAAATCTTATTGATCATGAAAAAATTCATACTGGAGAGAAACCTTATGAATGTAATGAGTGTGGAAAAGCATTCAGCCAGAAGCAAAGCCTCATTGCACATCAGAAAGTTCATACTGGGGAGAAACCTTATGCATGTAATGAATGTGGTAAAGCCTTCCCTCGAATTGCATCCCTTGCTCTTCATATGAGAAGTCATACAGGAGAAAAACCTTATAAATGTGATAAATGTGGTAAAGCCTTCTCTCAGTTTTCCATGCTTATTATACATGTTAGAATTCATACAGGTGAAAAACCCTATGAATGTAATGAGTGTGGAAAAGCCTTCTCTCAAAGCTCAGCCCTTACTGTACATATGAGAAGTCACACTGGTGAGAAACCCTATGAATGTAAGGAATGCAGAAAAGCCTTCAGCCACAAGAAAAACTTCATTACACACCAGAAAATTCATACTAGAGAGAAACCTTATGAGTGTAATGAATGTGGGAAAGCTTTTATACAGATGTCAAATCTTGTTAGACACCAGAGAATTCATACTGGGGAAAAACCCTATATATGTAAGGAATGTGGGAAAGCCTTTAGCCAGAAATCAAATCTCATTGCTCATGAAAAAATTCATTCTGGAGAGAAACCCTATGAATGCAATGAATGTGGTAAAGCCTTCAGCCAAAAGCAAAACTTCATTACACATCAAAAAGTTCATACTGGAGAGAAACCTTATGATTGTAATGAATGTGGTAAAGCCTTCTCTCAAATTGCATCCCTTACCCTTCATTTGAGAAGTCATACAGGGGAAAAGCCTTATGAATGTGATAAATGTGGTAAAGCCTTCTCTCAGTGCTCACTGCTTAATTTACATATGAGAAGTCACACAGGTGAGAAGCCCTATGTATGTAATGAATGTGGGAAAGCCTTCTCTCAAAGAACTTCCCTTATTGTGCACATGAGAGGCCATACAGGTGAAAAACCCTATGAATGTAATAAATGTGGAAAAGCCTTCTCCCAAAGCTCATCCCTTACTATACATATACGAGGACATACAGGTGAGAAACCCTTCGACTGTAGTAAATGTGGAAAAGCCTTCTCTCAAATCTCATCTCTTACCCTTCATATGAGAAAACATACAGGTGAGAAGCCCTATCACTGTATTGAGTGTGGCAAGGCTTTCAGCCAAAAGTCGCACCTTGTTAGACACCAGAGAATTCATACTCATTAGAAACCCTATGAATATTGTGAATATGGCAAGGCCATCTGAAGGAATTAACACCTCATTGCACATTACATGATCACTTCCAGAGTAGAAAACTATGAATGTGGGATAGCCTTCTGAAAAAGCCACAAATTTATGAAACATTAGAGAATTCTTCCAAGGTGACAAATTATATAATGAAAAAGCTGTTACCAGAAACTTTCAGCAGACATCTTATTGATAATATTTAATCAGCATTCTCATTGAAATCTGAAACAAGGTATCTTCCATCAGCATAACAACACAACACTTGAGCTCCTAGCCAATGTATTAAGTAAGGAAAACAAGTATCAACGAAGAACTATAAAAATAACTTTTATACAAGAAATAATTAGAAAATGTGTTGATAGAAAACCTAAGAATAAACACAACAATGAGTTAGGTCTTTATCAAGTTATAAAATATGTTGAAAGGCACAAAAGAACACCTGAAAAATGATATTTTGTCTGAAAAGACTTGACATTGTAAAAATATAATTTCTCTCCCAAATCACTAAGTTTAATATACTTCTGAAGTTTACATCAGTTTTATTTTAAGGAACTTCACAAACTTATCCAAAAATTTTATGTGGAAAAGTAAAGAAACACAAATAGCTGAAACAAACTTGACAAAGCAAGTAGAGAAGACACACTCTATTATTAGATATATCATGTACTTATTTAAAGCTGCTGTCATTTAAACAATGTATTACCAAGTGAATAAATCAAGCAGTAGTAAGATAGTGAGCATTCATACAAAAATCCAAGAAGATACAGGAATTCTGTGTATGACAGTGCTATTGAAATCACTGGGGAATGAATGGCTTATTTAATAAATGGAAGGTTCATAGGAGAAAAATTTTAGCTTTCTACTTTATATCATATACAAAAATAAAATCCAACTAAAGACCAGAATATAAAAAGCAAAATTTTAAAACTATGATGAAAGTAGAATCCGTTACTTTAGGGTAACAAGATTTCTTTAAAAAACATGTAAACATGGAATAGTCTGTTGAATTTTGGTGTATTGGCCTCACAGGCACCCACAAATGTACACAAAGAGATATATATCACTGTGTTCCTGAATCATGGTTTGTATTGCCCAAAATTGGATATAACAAATTTTTATCAATTGTGGAATAGATGAATAAGTGTGATCATTTCTGTGATAAAATACAGAATTTAGAAACAAAATCTACCTATAGTTATATGGATAGATTACAATATATAATATTGAGAGAAAAAATTAAAATGCACAAAGGAACACAGTATAACATTTGTATAATTTAATAAGATCTTGCAAAGAACAGTACTGTGTATTGGTCATGGATCCATATATGACTTGGTTGCCTTTTGGGATGTGGGAAAGGTTTGGTGGGAGTTGTTATATTTATCTGTAATATTTCTTTAATAAAAGAGTGAAAGCAAATATGACAGTGGTGACAAATCTGGTTGTCCAAATTAATTATATGGGTTTTTAAAATTGTTTTTTCTTGCTTTTATTTTCCTAATTTCTCAAAAATAAGAATCAAATGGGTGGGGGAAACCTGGGCCTGGAGAAATAATTTTAAAATGGATTTTTATTCTTGATCAGATACTAACATTTATAGAAGATTGTCTTTACACAAAACATACCTGACAAGGTATTATTTTGTTTACTGTCTCTTCATGTTAATTGGAATAATAAAATCAGCAGTATTTTCGCATTTATTTGAGGCCAATTTTTAATTTTAAACTCAAATTTTTTTCTAGTTGAGTATAGAAACAAAACAATTATTTTATTATTGGGATAATTGGCTATCCATTTGGGGAAAGAAATCCACCTTCATTTGGGTTGGTTTTGGAGTGAAGGAAAGAGACCATTCATGCATACTGTAAAATATAGTTTACATTCTAATATATCAAGCCAAGAATAGTTATTGGTGTTAGAGTAGAAGCAATTTCTATATATCTCAACAAAGCTTTTCTTTGTTTCTGGATCAATAAATGGGGATGCAGATGCTGGTGATTTTATGTATGCCAGGTAAGGGCCCAGTGGATGTGAAAAATTCACTTCATTCTGTTCCACAGATGTTTTATATTCAGGCCTTTCAAATATTTATGTCGTGGCCAGGTGCAGTGGTGGCTCACACCTGTAATCCCAGCACTTTGGGAGGCTGAGGCAGGTGGATCACTTGAGGTCAGGAGTTTGTGAGCAGCCTGGCCAACATGGTGTAACCCCGTCTCAACTAAAAATACAAAAATTAGCTGGGTGTGGTTGTGTGTGCCTCTTATCCCAGCTACTTGGGAGGCTGAAGCACGAGAATTGCTTGAACCCAGGAGGCAGAGGTTGCAGTGAGCTGAGATCACGCCACTGCATTCCAGCCTGGGCAACAGAGTGAGACTCCATCTCAAAAAACAAACAAAAAAACAAATATGTTGCCTCCAATTTCATTTTCTGTGAATAGTCTATTCATATATTAAGTCTGTTTTTTTCTACTGGAACTTCAAAAATGTTTTTCTTGGAAACAATTATGGATTTATAGGAAGTTATACAGATAATGCTGTATAGTACTATTTAGTCCTTGTACCCCACACCTCGTTTCTCCTAATGGTAACACCTTATATAACAGTACAGAATCAAATTTGACATTGGTACAATCCACAAACATTACCAGTTTTATAGGCACTTGTGTATGTGTCTGTACAGTTCTATACAGTTTTATCTCATGCACAGATTAGTGTAACTGCCACTCCCCATAGTCAATCTATAAAACTGACAGCACCACAAAGGTCCCTTGTTCTATCCATTTATAGTCACACCCATCTTCCTGTCCTCCTCACTCCCCATCCCTAACCCCTGGCAATTACTAGTCTATTCTCTATCTCTATAGTTTTTTCATAATGGATTTTTTTCTTTTTTGTGTGTGTTACAATATATTCTGGACACAAATCCTTTGTCAGTTACTTGCATTCTAAAAATAGTTTTGTTTTCAGTTTATTGCAGACACAAAAATTTTAAAGCTGAATGTGAAAATTAGTCTATGATACATTTTGAGTTAACTTTTTATAAGGAATAAAATTTAGGTCAAGGTTCATTTTTTGGATGTCTACTTGTTACAGTGCTATTTGTTGAAAAAAAATATTGTTTCTCCATTGAATTGCTTGGCCTACTTCTGTGTTTCTGAATGCTCTTTTCCAAAAATCTATGCATCTATCCCTCTATCAATGCCACACTGTCTTGATTACTATAGCTGTATACTGATTGCTCTCATTTTTTTACTTTTTCTTTTTCTTTTTTTTTTTTGAGGCAGGGTCTCACTCCTGTCACCCAGGCTGGAGTGCAATGGTTCTAGTCATAGCTCACTGCAGAATCAGATGATTCTCCAAGCCAAGTAGCTGAGACTAGACGTGTGTGTCAGCACACTCAGCTAATTTTTGTATTTTGAGTAGAGATGGTTTTGCCATGTTGCCCAGGCTGGTCTCAAACTCTTGAGTTCAAGGAATCCTCTGGCCTTGGTCTCCCAAAATGCTGGAATTACAGGCGTGAGCCACCACACCTGACCTATTATTCATTTTCAAAATTTATTTATCTATTCCACTTTCTTTGCTCTTCCATATAAATTTTGGATCAGCCTGTCTGTGTTTTCAAAAGCCCTGCTTAAATTTTCATAGAAATTGCATTAAGCCTTTATTTCATTGTGGAAGAATGGAAGTCTTTACTATACTAAGCCTTCCACTCCATAAACACAGTATGTGTCTTATGTAGGTCTTCTTTGAGTTCATCAGTTTTAATCATTGTTTTGTAATTTTTAGCTCCGGTAAATGTATTAGATTTAAACTTAACTGCTTCACTGGATGTGTGTGTGTGATATTCTTGTTTGTAAATTCCTTTAGATTTTCTATGTAGAAATAATATCATCTGCAAATGGGGCCAGTTATGTTTTGTTCTTTCCAATCTATATGCTTGCTTTTTACTTTTCTGGCCTTATAAATTGTCAGTAAGCTTCTGGAATGGGATTTTAAAGCTGACTTCTGGGAGAAAATCAGTTAAGCAATCTTCAAAGACCAAAACATAAGAGTCAATGAAAACATAAAAGGGGGCAAGGATTGAAAAAGTAACCAGTGGGTATCGTGCTCAGTACGTGGGTGGCAGGGTCATTTATACCCCAGACCTCAGCATCACACAATATACCCAGGTAACCTGCACATGTACCCCCAACTCTAAAAATTTTTAAAAAAGAGATGATATTTAAAGGAGAAATGGGATTGCCCTATACTAGAGTAACAGTCACTTGTACAGATAGAATTCCATTGTTTTTATCCCTAACGTGGCCTGAGTTTCAAAGAACCTAATTGAGATAGGTAATCTGGGTGGAGCTTTGCTCCCATCAGTCAACAGCAGGAAGGATCAGTTGTGAATACTGTGGGATCTAACCAGAGATTCCTTCCTGGAATCCCAGTTGAAAAAACAGCGACCAGGTAATTAAGGTCTCTATCAGTTCTCAAACTCCCGACCTCAAGTGATTAACCCGCCTTCGCCCTCCCAAAGTGCTGGGATTACAGGCATGAGCTACCGGCCTGGCAGGGTCTCTATCAGTTCTAACCATTTTCTCTTGAGCCATGTACACGAATCCAAGAAAGTGCCTTTCTCATGTGTAAGCTCCACAACACAGTTAATAAGGGTACTACATGGGTACACATGGACATAAAGATGGGAACAATAGACAATGGGGACTACTGGGGGGAGGGATGGAGTGGGGTAAGGGCTAAAAAACTACCTAGTGGGTACCATGCTCACCATCTGGGTGACAGGATCATTTGTACCCCAAACCTCAGTATCATGCAATATATCCATGTAACAAACCTGTACATGTACTCCCTGAATCTAAAATAAAAGTTAAAAAAAATTTTAAGGTACAACAGCGAAGATCAAAACTGATTCCTGAAGTCAGCCTTGTGATTTTTGCAGGTGTGGCCCACTGTATGTGCAGGGAAACAGGAATCAAAGCAGCAGTAGGGGGTGAAGTGGGAATCCATTTTAGGTCTAATCTATGGTATGAAAAGAACACAGGTAATTTTAATAAAATTCTGACAGTAGAATAGGGTGGTAGAATATATGTTCTTTATAAAATTAAATGAGTCCCAGCGCGGTGGCTCACACTCGTATTCCCAGCACTTTGAAAGGCCAAGGTGGGAAGATTGCTTGAGCTCAGGAGTTTAAGACCAGCCTGAACAACAAGTCACAACCCTGTCTCTACAAGTTAAAAAAAAAAAAAAATAGCTGGACATGGTGGTGCAGCTACTTGGGAGGCTGAGGTGGAAGGATCAGTAGAGGCTGGGAGTTCTTTGAGTTCGAGGCTGCAGTGAGCTATGGTCATGCCACTGTGCTCCAGCCTGGACAAGAGAGTGAGACCCTGTTTCTATTTAAAAGAGAGGGAGAAGATGGATTAAAGACTTAAATGTTAGACCTAAAACCATAAAAACCCTAGAAGAAAACCTAGTCAATACCATTCAGGACATAGGCATGGGCAAGGACTTCATGTCTAAAACACCACAAGCAATGGCAACAAAAGCCAAAATTGACAAATGGGATCTAATTAAACTAAAGAGCTTCTGCACAGCAAAAGAAACTACCACCAGAGTGAACAGACAACCTACAGAATGGGAGAAAATTTTTGCAATCTACTCATCTGACAAAGGGCTAATATCCAGAATCTACAACGAACTCAAACAAATTTACAAGAAAAAAACAACCCCATCAAAAAGTGGGCAAAGGATATGAACAGACACTTCTCCAAAGAAGACATTTATGCAGCGAACAGACACATGAAAAAATGCTCATCATCACTGGCCATCAGAGAAATGCAAATCAAAACCACAATGAGATATCATCTCACACCAGTTAGAATGGCAATCATTAAAAAGTCAGGAAACAACAGGTGCTGGAGAAGATGTAGAGAAATTGGAACACTTTTACACTCTTTGTGGGACTGTAAACTAGTTCAACCATTGTAGAAGACAGTGTGGCGATTCCTCAGGGATCTAGAACTAGAAATACCATTTGACCCAGCCATCCCATTACTGGGTATATACCCAAAGGAATATAAATCATGCTGGTATAAAGACACATGCACACATATGTTTATTGCGGCACTACTCACAATAGCAAAGACTTGGAAGCAACCCAAATGTCCAACAATGATAGACTGGATTAAGAAAATGTGGCACATATACACCATGGAATACTATGCAGCCATTAAAAATGAGTTCATGTCCTTTGTAGGGACATGGATGAAGCTGAAAACCATCATTCTCAGCAAACTATCGCAAGGACAAAAAACCAAACACTGCATGTTCTCACTCATAGGTGAGACTTGAACGACGAGAACACTTGGACACAGGCAGGGGAACATCACACACTGGGGCCTGTTGTGGGGTGGGGGGATGGGGGAGGGATAGCATTGGGAGATATACCTAATATAAATGATGAGTTAATGGGTGCAGCACACCAACATGGCACATGTATACATATGTAACATACACAGGAAGGGGAACATCACACACCGGGGACTGTTGTGGGGTGGGGGGAGAGGGGAGGGATAGCATTAGGAGGTATACCTAATGCTAAATGATGAGTTAATGGGTGCAGCACACCAACATGGCACATGTATACATATGTAACAAACCTGCACGTTGTGCACATGTACCCTAAAACTTAAAGTATAATAAAAATATGTATACATATATATATAAAATAAAAGAGAGGGAGAGACCTTGTCTCTATTTAAGAGAGACAGAATATAAAAATTAAAATGACCAGGGCCACAACCAGGCTGAGTTGTGTTTAGGATTTGAATCTCTTCAACAGACTCAGAGACCTGTGCTTCCTTTGACTAAAAGATTGGAAATCATACTGTAGAGCAAGTGGTGAGTCTCATGAATTGACCCTGCATAGTTTTGTGTAGATGAAAGTACAATTTGGGGAAAGGATTATCTTAAAAACACTGAGTGATAGGGATTATGACAGGTTCAGTTTTTTCTTCCCTCTCCCACTTCACCCTTTGACTTGTGGTTCGCCCCAGGGAGCATGCCAAAACTTCTATGCTACAGGTTTATGCTGTATGGACTGTACAACACCAACAGTGAACCCTATGGACTTTGAGTGATAACAATGTATCAATGTAGATTCATCAGTTATAACAAATATACCACACTGATGGGAGGTGTTGAGAATGGGGGAGGCCATCCAGGTTTTGGGGGAAGGCATATGGAAAATCTCTGTACTTTCTGCCTAATTTTGTTGTGAACCTAAAATTGCTCTAAAAAAATTAGTCTTTGGAAAAAACACCTGACAATAGGGATTGGTGAAGGAAAGAATCAAATGGAAAAATGAACTCATACATTAATAGTGGGAATGTTAACTAACAATATTAGTGAGGCTGAGGACAACTATACCGCCAACTCCCAAAAAATTCACTTCTAGGTATGAACCAATAAAACCTCTTTCACACATTAACAGCAGTGTTATAGCGACACTGTAGTATCTACCAACAGGAGAATGAAAATAGATTATTTATAAAACAATTACCATTGTTTTATAAACAAAGCTATAAATATCAAGCACAAATAAATTGCACAAATATGTTGAAGGTAAAAAGCAAGCTGTAGAAGAATATATATTATATAATACTTAAATACATTTCAAAATCAGGCAAAACAGTAATACTATATTTCAAGGATGCTAAGATGTTATCAATTATTGACACACTATTATTTCATGTGCAAGTAAGAAATACATCATTAAAATACGACACTTTAGCAACCGTAAGATGTATTCTGATATCCGAATGTTAAAATTTACACTTCGGCATTAATGAAATCCAGAAAATATTGTTTAGGGATATATGCACTAAAATTCTAAGGAAATATACGGGAAGGATACTTTTCTAATCCATTATAGTAGTTACCTCTGCAGGAAGAGAGGAACAGAGGGAGTGATGCTATGAGGGAGAGGTTAAAAATAATACAAGGTGGCCTATTGTAAAAAGAAATAATACTTATGTATGTGTTACTTACATACAAATTATCTCCAAAAAGGTAGATAAGACATGTGATCCAGCAAAAGTAATACCACATCCCTTGTTGGAAGACGTTACCTTTTTTTTTTCTTTTTTTCCGGGACAGAGTCTTGCTCTGTCCCCCAGGCTGGAGTGCAGTGGCGCGATCTCGGCTCACTGCAAGCTCCGCCTCCTGGGTTCACGCCATTCTCCTGCCTCAGCCTCCCAAGTAGCTGGGACTACAGGCGCCCGACACCACGCCCGGCTAATTTTTGTATTCTTAGTAGAGACGGGGTTTCAGCATGTTGGCCATGCTGGTCTCAAACTCTTGACCTCGTGATCCGCCTGCCTCGGCCTCCTAAAGTGATGGGATTACAGGCGTGAGCCACCGCGCCTGGCCCAGACGTTACCCTTTTAATCCATGACCCTGTGCAAGCAGTGCTTTATACCACTTTGTCACAATTTAACAGCCGGGCGTGGCTGGCCAAAAAAGCCTCCCAGGCATGGAAGCTGACCAAAGACTATCACAGGCTGAATATCAAGATAGATGGTGGAGGAACATACAGGAGACTGATAGGCAGCACGCGGTCACGCCATCTCACCAACCTGATGATGGCGTCACAGTCACACGGCCCGTCACTATCCTGCCTGAGACACACACAGTAACGCACACACAGGTCACGCGCGGGCCCCCACAAACAAGCTATTCCAGCCACACAGATGCAAACCTCATAGCAACACGAGACAGAAGACACACACACGCTCTCGTGAGTAGGCTCGGACCGCGCACCGGCAGACGCACGCGAATACCCATAAGCAGCCCCAGACACAGACCGTCCTACAGCTCCCGGTCGGCACAGGCTGGCCTCTATGAAGCATGCAGCCGCCCTACCTGGTTATCCCGGATACAAGCACCACCGCCTCGCACGTGCTCGTTCACCCTGGGAACACGGGGGCCGCAGCTCCACGGACAGGCAGGAACGGCCCGCAGTGGCCTCTGGGCAATGACTTGAGACAGGGGAAAGGCGGGAAACGCTCGGCGCGAAGGGCTCTGGGCCTCGTAGTTCGGAGGGCGAGGCCTGTGCTCCCAATGATGTAAACCGCGTGCAGGCCAAGATACTTCCCAGAGCCACAGCCCCGCACCATCCCAGGGTCCAGCTGGAAGAACTAAGGCTGAGGCCCCAATCGCTGCCCCTGCACAGGGAAGGGGCGATGCCGGGAGAGGAGGAGCAGAGGACACCGAAGTCAGAGGTGGAAAGGAACAAGCTCTTCGGATGGAGGAAGGGAGGGTTCCAAGGAGCTCCTGCCCACCACCTCAGCTCGAAGGTGCTGCTGTGAGGAAGCCCCAGGGGTGGGAGGCTCCTCCTGGGAGAGGAGCGCTCTGAGGATGCATGTCCAAGGGGACCGACAAGCAAAGAAGTTAGATCTGCAGTTCACCTTAATTTTGGCAGCTCACTGTATCATAACGGAGCTCAGAGGCTGGAAGATAAACTGGGAGGTTCAGTTTTGTCCCAAGCCAGCCAGAGCAGGAGAAAGTGACCGTGAGGACTTGAGGGAACAACAATGAAAATGTCTGTCTTTGGAGGAGGTGGAACTCCTGACTCCCAGCTAGGAAGGGAGAGGGAACTCTATGTCAGGACAACCCATGATGCAAGTACAGTCTTTCATGGGTGTCGGGCCCCTGGAAGGGGCCATATTTGGGGATTTCCAGCACCAGGGCTCACCAACCTTTATCCCAGGTGCTACCCAAGGCAAGGCAATGGCTTCCTATGGCCAACATATGCTCAAATTTTCTGCAAGAGCTGGGGTATTCGACCTTTATCTTTGGGACCACTATAAGCTAATTACCTGGATGGTGTGGAGGAAAGGATTGCCCTCTTGATGGCAGTGAGAAGGAAGGGTCAGCAAAAGGGACCAAGAACAAATGGTCCAGGTCATAGTGCTTCCCAGCCTTCATCATGGCACAACCAGAAAATGGTACTATTTGTATGGCACACTGGAGTTGTAAAATTAGAGTATAGGTTAAGCTGATATAGTAAAGACCCCAAAATACATATTCAATGACCTGAATACCATATATTTATTTGTACCTCGTGTAAGAATCTAGGGCTGAGCAGTCCAGGGCTGGTGGGATAGCTCTGCCTTCCATAGTGAGTAGTATCCATCTTTGGGGCAAAGGGGGATGTTAAAACTCTCAGCATCTCCCAGCCAATAGGGCAGGAGAGGGCAGAGGAAGCAGGCACAGTGCTTTCTAGGGTTGCAGTCCAGAAATTACACTCATCCCTTTTGCTCACATCTCATTTGTTAAACTGCACTTCATAAACATTAGAAACTGTGATGCATCACAGGACATTATGAAGACAGTAAAAAGATAGCCTAAAGATGGAGGAAAATATTTGCAAATTAGGTATAGGATAAAGGTCTATTATCTAATACATATTAAGATCTCTTTATGACTCAACAATGAAAAGACAAACAACAAAATTAGACTTTGGGTAAAAGACATGAGTAGACATCTAGCCAAAGAAGATATACAAATGACCAGTAAGCATATGAAAAGATGTTTGACCTTATTAGTCATTAGTGAAATGTAAATGAAAACCACAATAAGGTACCACTTCACATCTACTAGAATGGCAATAATCAAAAAAAGGAAACTGGGTGTTAGTGAGGATGTGAAGATATTGGAAAACTGATACATTGCTGGTGGGAATGTAAAATAGTTCAGCCACTGTAGAAAACAATTTGGCAGTTCCTCAGAAAGCTAAACATTGAATTACCGTATGACTTAATAATTCTACCCCTAGGTATATACCCAAAAGAACTGAATACAAGACCATGCACACACATGTTCATAGCAGCACTATTTACAATAGCCACAAGGTGGAAATAACCCAGATGTCCATCAACAGATGAATAAAGTTACCAGGTTACCAAATAGATGAAAGTTACCAAATAGACAAAATTACCAGTGTGGTAATTCATGCAATGGAATATTATTCAGCCATAAAAAAGAATGGAGTATGCATAACGCCACAACATGGATGAAGCTGCAAAACATTATGCTAAAGAAAGTAGATACAAAAGGTTACATATTGCATGATTCAATTTATATGAAATACCTAAAATAAATAAATCCATAGAGAAAGAACACAGATTAGTGGTTACTAGGGAATAGAGGAAGGGGAGAATGGGGGAGAAAGTGCTTAATTGGTAAGAGGTTTTCCTTTGGAATGATCGAAGTGTTTTGGAATTAGAAGTGGCTATTGCACAACACTGTGAATGTACTAAATGCCACTGAATTGTTCACTTTAAAATGATTACTTTCATATTATGTGATTTTTACTCAATAAATTATATAAAATGTGTAAATGGTCTAAACATCCCAATAAACAGAGATCTTCAGGCTGAATTAAAAAAACACCCAACTATATGATGCCCATTTTAACTATAAAGGTTATATTTAAATTACAAAGGTCATATTTAAATTATAATAAATAAGGTTATATTAAAATATAAATAGGTTAAAAGCAAAACAAAAAAAAAGAAAAAGATATACCATGCTAATGCTAATTTTAAAAAGCTGAAGTAGACCAGGTGCTGTGGCTCACGCCTGTAAACCTAACACTTTGGGAGGCTGAGGCAGGAGCCCAGTTTAAGACCAGCCTGGCAACACAGGGAGACCTCGTCTTTATAAAAAATCAAAAAATTAGCCAGGCATGGTGGTGTGTGCCTGTGGTTCCAGCTACTCCGAAGGGTGAGGTGAGAGGATCACTTGAGCCCAGAGGTCGAGGCTGCAGTGAGCTGTGATTGCACCACTGGGCTCGAGCCTGGGTGACAGAGCAAGACCCAGTCTGAAAAATTAAAAAATACTAAGCTGGAGTAGATATACCACTATCAAAGTAGATTTGAGAGCTAAGAATATTAACAGGGACAAAGAATGTCATTTTGTAACAATAGGATCAATTAACAGTACATAACAATCCCAAACGTTTATGCATTTAGTCAAAAAAACTCCAAAATACATGAAGCAAAAACTGATGGAACAAAAAAAGAGAAATGGACAAATTCATAATTATAGCAGAGATTTCAAAACTCTTCTCTCAAGAAACAAGCAGACAGTAGACTTGAACAAATTATTGCAACAGAATAGGAAATACATGAATGTACCCAAATACATGTAGTAATTAGGTATATGTTAAAGGTGACATTTCAAATATGTGGCAAATGTTGAATTATTTGTAAATGATCATTGGAAACTAGGTAACTGTAGAGGGGTAAAGTTGGATTTGTACACACAAAAAAAATTAAAGGAAAAAAATGAAAGCAAAAACATAACAGGAGGAAATCATGGGAAAATTTTAAAATTATCTCAGGGATATGGTTTGAATGTTTGTGTTCCCTCCAAAATTCCTAGGTTAAAACCTAATCCCTAATGTGACAATATTAAGAGGTGAGGCCATGTATGGGATTAGGACCCTTATAAAAGTACTTGAGGTTGGCTGGGCACGGTGGCTCACGCCTGGAATCCCAGCACTTTGGGAGGCTGAGGCAGGCAGATCACGAGGTCAGGAGTTCGGGACCAGCCTGGCCAACATGGCAAAACCCCATCTCTACTGAAAACACAAAAATTAGCCTGGCGTGGTGGTGGGCACCTGTAATCCCAGCTACTCAGGAGGCTGAGGCAGGAGAATTGCTTGAACCCAGGAAGTGGAAGTTGCAGTGAGCCAAGATCGTGCCATTGCACTCCAACCTGGGCAACAAGAGCAAGACTCTGTCTCAAAAAAAGAAAAAAAAAGAAAATGAGTTGAGGTTAAAGGAAGCTCTGTTTTGCTTTCTTACCCCTTTTGCCTTCTGCCATGTGAGGACGGAGCAAGAAGGCTCTCACTAGATGCCAGGACCTTGATATTGAATTTCCCAGACTCCAGAACTGTAAGAAATAAATTTCTGTTCTTTATTATTTACCTAGTCTGTGGTATTCTGTTAAGGAGGCAAAAAAGACTAAAATAGAGAAGTGGGGTGTACTATTAAAAATACCTAAAAATGTGGAAGGGGCGTTGGAATTGTGTAATGGGCAGAGGCGGGAAGAATTTGGAGAAGCAGGCTAGGAAAAGCCTATATTGCCATAAATGAAGCATTAAGAATGATACTGGTGAGGGCTCAGAAGACGAGAGCTGTAGAGAGAGCCTACATATTAGAGATTATTTAAGTGGTCATGAACAGAATGTCGGTAGAAATATGGACCATAAAGGCTATTCTGATGAGGTATCGATGGAAATGAGGAATATCTTATTGGAAATTGAAGGAAAGGCCATCTTTGTTACAAAATAGCAAAAGACTTGGCTGAATTCTGTCCATCCCTGAGGGCTCTATCAAGGAAGAAGTTAATAGCAATGAACTAGGTAGAATATTTGGCAGAAGAAAAGTATTGAAGGAGCTGCATGGCTTCTCTTAATTGCTTTTAGTAAAATGTGAGAAAAGAGAAAAAAATTGAAGACACAATTTATAATTAAAAGTGAAGCAGAATATAAAGATTTGAAAAATGTTCAGCTTGGCCATGTAAAGAATAAAAAAGGGTATTTAGATGAAAACCAAGGGTGTGGCCAAGTGGCTATTCAGTAAGATTAGCATGGCTAGACGGAAGCCAGGTTCTGTTCATCAGAATAGTGGGAGGATGACCCCAAAGACATTTTTGAGATCTCTGAGGTTGCCATGCCCACCAAAGGCCCAGAATAGCAGGGTTTTGAGGGCAGAACGGTTTTGAGAGAGAGGCCAGGGTGCCCATGGTACCTTGAGGCTCACTGCCCAGGGCTGCCTCGGGTCTCTGCTCCCTGCATTCCAGCACAGCACTCCGCTGCCTCTGCTGTGGCTCAAGCTGGCCCAGGATGTTGCTCAGGTTGCTGCCCCAGAGGGCACAAGTGGTGAGCTTTGGTAATGGCCACATGGTGCTAATTCTGCAGGTGTGCAGCGCAAGAGCTGTGGAGGCATGGCTTCCTCCACTTAGATTTTAAAGAATATCTTGGACAGCCTCAGGGCCACTACAGAGAGTCGCCACTATGGCAACTCCTAGTGGAGCCATGCAGATGGGGGGCAGCCTTCAAGACCCCAAACTGTAGAGCCACCCGTGTGCATCACCAGCCTGCGAAAGTTGCAAGCACGCAACTTCAACATGTGACAGCTGAAGAATGGGCTGCACTCAGCAAAGCTGTGGGGGTGGGGCTGCTCAGGGATTTGGGAGCCCAACTGCTTCCCTAGTGTGTGGAAAGTAGGACATGAAGTCAAAGATTATTCTCAAGCCTAAAGATTCAATACTGTTTGCCCTTTTGTGTTTTGGACTTCATTGAGACCTGTTACATCTTTCTTCTTTCCTATTTCTCCTTTGGAATCAAAATGTCTACTCTATGTCATTGTATTTTGAAAGCACAAAACTTGTTTGATTTCATAGGCTTACACTGGAGGTAGATTTCCCTCAAAATGCACCATGCCTTGAGTCTCACCTAGATCTGATTTGGATGAGACTCTGGACCTTAGACTTTTGAGATGATGCTGGAATAAGATTTGGGGGCTATTAAGATAGAATTAATGTATTTTTCATGTGAGAAAAACAAAATTTTGGGAGGTGGGGGGTGCTACAGGTGGAATGCTATGGTTTGAATGTGTATGTCCCCTCCAAAATTCATAGGTTAAAATCTTATCTCCAATGTTACAGTATTAAGAGGTGGGGCCTTTAAGAGGTAATTAAGTCATAAGGGCAAAGTCCTCATGGATGGGATTAGGGGCCTTATAAGAGGGTTTGAGGTTGAAGGGAGCTCTCTCTTGCTTTCTTGCCCCTTCTGCCTTCTGCCATGTGAGGATGCAACAAGAAGGCCCTCATCAGATGCCAGCATCCTGATCTTGGACGTCCCAGACTCCAGACTTATGAGAAAATAAATTTATATTCCTTTTAAATTACTCATCTCAGGTATTCTGTTATAGCAGCACCAAATGAACTAACACACCCAAGATGCAGAGGGCCTTTTTTTAAACGTGAATCAAAACTAAGAAGACTTAAAGGAACAAACTGGCAAATTAGATAATATTATCAATTTTTCATGGCAAAAGGACCATAAACAAATTCAAAAGACAAATAGCAAACTGGAAGAAAATATTTGCAACTCACATAAAGTGCTAATTTCCCTGCTATACAAGAAAAACGCTAGAGTCCAGTTGAAAATTGGGCAAAAATATCATGAGAGTTCACAGAAAAGAAGTGCAAACTCATTCATAATAAGAAAAAAACAAATTAAAACTACACTGGGAAATCATGTTCTACCTATCAAATTGAGAAAAATCCAATAGTTGGTTGGCTTGAGCTAACAGACGGGGAATTTACACCCCAAAAGCCTGTAATACCTATACTTTATTTATTTATTTAGAGATGGAGCCTTGCTCTGTCGCCCAGGCTGGAGTGCAGTGGATCAGTCTCGGCTCACTGCAACTTCCACCTCCCAGGTTCAAGCGATTCTCCTCCTCAGCCTCCCGAGTAGCTGGGACTACACGTGCACACCACCACACCTAGCTAATTTTTGTTCTTTTGGTAGAGACGGGGTTTTACTATGTTGGCCAGGATGGTCTCGATCTCTTGACCTCATGATCCACCCACCTCGTCCTCCCAAAGTGCTGGGATTACAGGCGTGAGCCACCATGCCCGAGCTGTCACATTTATTTTTAAAGTATATGGAGGCCAGGCACAGTGGCTCACGCCTGTAATCCCAGCACTTTGGGAGGACAAGGTGGGTGGATCATGAGGTCAAGAGATGGAGACCATCCTGGCCAACATAGTGAAACCCCGTCTCTACCAAAAGTACAAAAATTAGCTGGGTGTGGTGGCGTACGCCTGTAGTCCCAGCTACTCGGGAGGCTGAGGCAGGAGAATCGCTTGAACCTGGGAGGTGGAAGTTGCAATAAGCTGAGATCGTGCCACTGCACTGCAGCCTGGGTAGCACAGCAAGATTCCATCTCAAAAATAAATAAATAAATAAATAATAATTTTAAAAAGTGACAGTTATGAAAATTGATCACATATGAGGCAGTAAGCGAAGCCTCATTCAGTTCCAAAGAACAAATGTAAACATCTGACTATCCTGCAATAGCATTAGAAAAAGATAGCCAAGCCTTTTGAATTAAAAAAGAATACATAAATTACAAAACATGTGAAAATGAATAACAATGAAAACATTAAACGCCAAAATTGTGAGACATAGCTTATGTAGTACTTAGAGGAAAATTACAGCTTTAAATACATTTATCAAAAATAAAAATCAAATTGTCAATTTACAAGTGTGGAATAAGAGGAACACAGCACACTAAAAGAAACAAAAAAGAAATTATAAAGATAAAGAAATCAATAAAATAGAGAATTAGAAAAAAGTAAGAGAAAAGGATAACAAAACTGAGACAGGGTTTTGAAAAGATCAATGATCAATAAGTTATATAAACCTCTTTTAAGGCTGATATTCAAAAAATGAGCAAAGATTCAAATAAGAAAACGAAAAAGATGCAAATAAGAAACATGAAGTTAAAATAATAAAAATATTATAAAGGACTATTTGTAAGAAAAGTTGATAACCTAACAAAATGAATACACTTGAATAAACCTAATAAACTGAAGTCATATATAGAGACATTCCTTCAGGGGAAAAAAAAAGTCTCAAGGCCAGATGGATTTTCAACTAAATCTTAACTTTTATGAATGGAGTTGATAAATTATTTGATAAGGGATAAACAGGGTAAGAATAAACACTTCATAGAGTGTCCAAGTGAGTGGCAAGTATACAGAGATGTGCTCTAATTCACCAGTAGTCCTTAATAATGCAAATGAACACATTAAAGAACGAGTGTTTGCAAGGATGTAGAAAGAGGTGCTGCTGGTGAGAATGTAAACAGTTGCAGCCATTCTAGAAAGCAATCTGGTTGTTCCTGGTAACATTGAGTGTACGAAAAACTCTTTATCCCACTAGGCAATTGCCAGGCAAATAGTCTAACCTAGTTCCAGTCTGCAAGAATATTCTTTGTGGTAGCCAGGAGTTGCATCCATCACTACAGGAATAGATAAGTAAAATGTAGTAAATATACACAAGGAATTACTACACAAATGTTAGAAGGGATGAACAGCATTAGAGCACTGTGCACAGAGAAACATGAAAAATCTAAAAATCAGTTCTCACTAGAAAAAAATGAATTTGTAGCATAGTACCATTCGTATTATGGGAATGCACATTCATTTAAGAATGTATATCAAACATACCTGTGTGTGTGCCTATGAAGAATAGGAATTGGGAATGATGGGGGGGGAACAAATCAAGAAATTAGTGTGACAGTAAATTATTTTGATAATGTGCTATGAAGTCTAAAAAAAAATGCAAAATGAAAAAAAACAAAACCAAGAGCTATGCCTATTTTTTTCTTTTCCTGGCCTCTGTTAATAAAAGTCAGCATCCTGGCTGGGTGCCTGTAATCCCAGTCCTTTGGGAGGCTGAGGCGGGTGGATCACCCGAGGTCAGGAGTTTGAGACCAACCTGGACAACATAGTGAAACCCTGTCTCTGCTAAAAATATAAAAATTAGCCAGGCATGGTGGCAGGTGACTGTAATACCAGCTACTCGGGAGGCTGAGGCAGGAGAATCGCTTGAACCCAGGAGGTGGAGATTGCAGTGAGCCAAGATCGCACCACTGCACTCCAGCCTGGGAGACAGAGCGAGACTCTGACTCAAAAAAAAAGAACAAAGTCAGAGTCCTAACAGTCTCAAATATCAAGGCCGGACGTGGTGGCTCACGCCTATAATCCCAGCACTTTGGGAGGCCGAGGCGGGCGGATCACCTGAGGTCAGGAGTTCAAGACCAGCCTGGCCAACATGGCGAAACCTTGTCTCTACTAAAAACACACAGACAAAAAATTAGCCTTGCATGGTAGCAGGCACCTGTAATCCCAGCTACTCGGGAGGCTGAGGCAGGAGAATCGCTTGAACCCAGGAGGGGGAGGTTGCAGTGAGCCGAGATTGTGCCATTGCACTCGGGCCTGGGCAACAAGAGCAAAACTCCGTCTTGAAAAGAAATACGTATATATAGAGGGAGCTCTGGGAGACTCTAGAGCTGCAGGTACCACTCCAGGATCAGAAAGATGGGCTGGGGC
The DNA here is from genome assembly GCF_000001405.40 of Homo sapiens. Lineage (NCBI taxonomy): Eukaryota > Metazoa > Chordata > Mammalia > Primates > Hominidae > Homo > Homo sapiens. The sequence goes on along the minus strand of NC_000019.10, from coordinate 37,394,375 downwards.
CACTGCTGTTTGGGACTCAACCCATGTACGTAGAGGAAGGACGTGGGCTAAATTCACAATTCCGTCCCCCATGAGTAGCTGGCTTTCAGGGACACAGTCCAACTCTTTGTGATTGATTTTATCATTAATAATAACCCCATTGTTAACTGTTTACAAATTACATTCTTTCAATTAATCCTCACAAAAAATCAAAAGGCTAGAATTATTATTCCAGTGTTACAGATGACTAAACTGAGCCTGAATCACTTATTCAAGCTCTCCTGACAAAGAGTTGACATCCATATGTAGGTCTAACTCCAAAGTCCATACTTGTCCCAATATCCAAAGAGCTGATACTTTCACTACTCTTTCTCAAAGAATATGTGAGAAATTGCTGTGTAAATACCTGTCTAAGAAAGCTGTCCAGGAAGGCGACTTATTCCTCTGTTAGTGAAGTATCGCCACCTCATGGCTTCCAGCAATCTACTTTTCTCCACCATCCAATCTATTACCTCCCTGTCTCGAGTTTTGTGAATAAAGTTGAAAATCTTAGTAGGGTATAACAAAATATATTGAGACAGAACCAGAAATCAGCATGAAACCATGTTCTAAAAAGGAAACATTTTTTTCCCCAGCGATCTCTAAAACGGGCTCAATCATAATGGCAGCAATTTTGTCCAAAATTCATGTACTGGAGGGAGCAAGGAGTTTTCTTAAATTAATCCCCAGTGGCTACATTCTGACAATTAAGCACCAACATTAAATACACTATAATTAAGTGAAATTTGTTTAGATTGTAAAAGGCCATAATTCATCTGAGTCAAGTGTTAAAATGTAACACACAAATATGTAGACATGATAAAATGAGAATAAATTAGTAAGTATAAAGTGTAAATGTATATATACCACTAAAGATTTCCTTCCCATTAGCTATAAAGGCATATAAATGTGTCTATAGGTGGGTATATATATGTAGTTTGGATAGATGGATGGATGAGTAGATAGATAGATAGATAGATAGATAGATAGATAGATAGATAGATAGATAGATAGATAGATAGAGATAGGTAGATAGACAGATAGATAGATATTTCTCTTTTAGGTCTTCACTCAAAAGTTAACTTCAGAAGGGCCTTCCCTGGCTCCCCATCCCTTTTTTCATCTTTTTCACCTTGGAATTTACTTTCTTACATATTATATATTTTACTTACATATCTTTTTCATTGTCTTCCTTATTAGAAATTAGCTCTCTGAAGGCAGGAATTCTTGTCTGTTTGGTTCACTGCTGTATCTCCATTGCTTAGATTAGAACAAAGCCTGGCACACAGTAGGCACTTAATACAAAAAATTTAAATAAAATACACATCTTCAGATGCACATACACACACATAAACAGAAATCTCTAGATGGTCCTAATAACAATCAAATATTAATAAAGCATAAATTTTCACTAATCCTAAGAGATCAGGTCAATATATCACAAGACAATGGGTTGTACAGTTGAAAAGAAACAAAATTTAGTACTTCATTGTGAGGAGAAACATCAGATTGTAAAATACACTGAAGCTAAACACATGGGTACAAAAGATTTTATCAACATTACAAGTGAAGTTTAACTATATAAACAGAGAATGAACCAGTAGCTTAGGTTTACGTCACTCTCGAGGATGAAATCAGGTGCCATACATAGATCAAAAATCAATTAGTAGCTGTGCACAGTGACTCATCCCTATAATCTCAGCACTTTGGGAAGCCGAGATGGGCAAATCACTTCAGGCCAAGAGTTGGAGACCAGCCTGGGCAACTCGCGAAACCCCATCTCTACAGAAAAACGCGAAACTTAGCCAGGTGTGGTAGAGCACACCTGTAGTCCCAGCTACTCAGGAGGCTGAGGTGGGAGGGTCGCTTGAGCCTGGGAAGTTGAGGCTGCAGTGAGCCATGATTGTGTCACCGCATTCCAGCCTGGATAACAGAGTGAGACCCTGTCTCAAAAAAAATAAATAAATAAAATAAAAATCAATTAGTGAGTAACTCAGACTCTTCTTACTGATCTGAGTCATTCTTCTTCAAGTTTGGTAAAGTTTACTGTAACCTTCTGAAACTTTCTGAAATAAATTATTACTCAGTGCTTGGAAATTATAAAAATAAATATCCTTATACCTCCAGGAAATATAATAAAAAATAAAGAAATGATGACATGAATTAAGCTTATAATATTAATATGTTTCAGATTAGATGTAACATAAGTTTGGAAATATTTTATAATCATATTTGTTTCTATTCAAGGTTTGAAGTACTGAGTCACTAAATCTGTATTTTAAGCTGTTTAAAGGGAATTTGAATATTTATGAAAAATAATTTTCAGATTTTATTAGAAATAAGTATAAGTTGAATATTTCACTCTATGCACACATATATTCACTCTATGCACACATATAAATCCTTCATTCTTTCCTCTTTCATTTGTTCTGATATGTTTTTACAGATGCTCTTCAGGCAATACCCAATATTCTTACTGGTTCTCACTATTCAAGATGGCCCAGCTGCCATATCACCAGTTTATTTCCCTATATCCACTCAGATAAAAAAGAAACGTATTGCCCTACACCTTCATCTTCCTCATTACTCCCAATAATGGAAATGATTTAGTCTCTAAAAATTTTAGGCATTAACTGCTTTACTTTTACCATTTGTTAAAAATGACTCATTCTTTCTGCCAGCAATATCTTTGTTTGATATCTCTAGCTGCAAAGAAGTTATCCATACACTTCTTAAACCAAATTTATTTATTTATTTATTTATTTATTTTTTTTTTTTTTTTTTTTTTGAGAAGGAGTTTCGCTCTTGTTGCCCAGGCTGGAGTACAATGGCGCGATCTTCGCTCACTGTAACCTCCACTTCCCAGGTTCAAGTGATTCTCCTGCCTCACCCTCCTGAGTAGCTGGGATTACAAGCACGCACCACCACACCCGGCTAATTTTGTATTTTTAGTAGAGACGGGGTTTCTCCATGTTGGTCAGGCTGGTCTCGAACTCCTGACCTCAGGTGATCTGCCCACCTCGGCCTCCCAAAGTGCTCGGATTACAGGCGTGAGCCACCGCACTGGGTCTTAAACCAAATTTAGAGCCCACCCACAAAAGACCTCATTTACAATTTAATTGTTATTATATTCTGCCACAGAATATGTTTAGACCCATACTGAAAGAAGAAAATCAAGTAATTCCTTGAAGATGAAGAGCCATTCATTAAACAAATGAAAGTATTATTCTCTTAGCTTTCCATTCTCTCTTTACAGGCAAATGGTGAGTCACTGTGACAAATGATTTTAACTCCTTAAGGGGAAGCCTGTTAAAGAATTTTACTTGGTGAATTTTAAAATATTCAGCCATAATGTGAAAAAAACTAAGAAACACTAAAATAGTTTTATCGACAAATAAAATGTAACAATTATCTCAGTTTTATGAAGGCTGTGTATTCAACTTTCATAAACTTGTTATATCAGAAGGTTGCTCCTCAGGATAAATAATTATGCCACGTAAAAAATTAAGGCTTTCTTTTATGTATAGCAAACATAGAATGTGTGAATCAGCACTCTAATTCCATGAGGCAAAAATATAATCCAAATTAAGCAAAAAAAGGAAATTTATTGGATCACAAAAAATGAAAAAGGATGGTGATGGTGTAGCTGTCAGGAATGACTGGATCCAGGAGATCAAGCTGTATCATCATATTTCTGTCTCTCATCTCCATTTTCCTCTGTTAGATTTCTCTTTGGGAAAGCTTTCCTCATGAGTGGCAAAAAGGCTACTGGTGAGTTTTTAATCTTATTAAATCCTTGAAACTTGCAGTTCCAGAATAAAACCTCTCTTACTGCCCATAGGAATACCCGCAAAGGACTTCATTGATCCAGACAGGGCCATTTGCCAATCCCTTATCACTAGGTTGGGGGAAATAATTGGCCAGCCTGTGACCAGTCCACTGCTGTCCCTGATTAACAGTTTCATCTGAATCATATGCATTGAGGGTGGGCTAAGCCAGGTATAGAACAGATCAAAAAGTAACAGATGTGGCCAGGCGCGGTGGCTCACGCCCATAATCCCAGCACTTTGGGAGTCTGAGGCGTGTGGATCACCTAAAGTCAGGAGTTCGAGATCAGCCTGACCAATGTGGTGAAACCCCGTCTCTACTAAAAATACAAAAATTAGCCAGGTATGGTGGCAGGCACCTGTAATCCCAGCTACTCAGGAGGCTGAGGCAGGAGGATTGCTTGAACCCAGGAGGCAGAGGCTGCAGTGAGCCAAGATTACACCACTGCACTCCAGCCTGGGCAACAGAGCGAGACTCTGTCTGAAAAAAAAAAAAGTAACAGATGTCTACTACTGAGCTACTTCAAATAACGGATACTCATGAACTGAAATATGAACTACATTCAAAGAATTACTAACCAAAAAGAACTCACTAATATTTAATAAGGATTGAGTGGTAACCACATGTTTTCTTTCCTATACTTGTTATAATCAGAGCGTTTCTCTATTATGAATTCTCTGATGTCGTCTAAGGGCTGAGACACAGCTAAAATTATTCCCACATTCGTTACATTTATAAGGTTTTTCTCCAGCGTGAATTCTCTGGTGTAGTCTTAGGGACAAGATCTGATGAAAAGCCTTCCCACATTCACTACATTCATAGGGTTTCTCTCCAGTATGAATTCTTTGATGTTGATTAAGATATGAGCCACAACTGAAGGCCTTTCCACATTTGTTACATTCATAGGGTTTCTCTCCTGCATGACTTCTCTTATGGTGAATTAGAACTAAAGCATCACTGAAGGCTTTCCCACATTTACTGCATTCAAATGGTCTCTCTCCAGTGTGAATTCTATGATGTCGATTAAGTTGTGAGTCAGTCCTAAAAAACTTCCCACATTTGATGCATTCATAGGGCTTTTCTCCGGTATGAATTCTCTGATGTTGATTCAGGTGTGAGCGATAGCCAAAGGTCTTCCCACATTCACTACATTTGAAGGGTTTCTCTCCTGTGTGAATTCTTTGATGTAGAGTAAGGGCTATGCGTCTGCTGAAGGCTTTTCCACACTGATTACATTCATAGGGTTTCTCTCCAGTGTGAATCCTCTGATGTTGATTAAGGTGAGCACTCTGTCTGAAGGCTTTATTACATTCTTTACATTCATATGGTTTCTCACCTGTGTGAATTCTCTGATGTTCAACAAGGAAGGCATAACGGCTAAAGGCCTTCCCACATTCATTGCACGCAAACGGTTTCTCTCCAGTGTGGATCCTCTGATGTTGAGCAAGGTGAGCACTCTGTCTGAAAGCTTTGTTACATTCCTTACATTCATAAGGTTTCTCCCCAATATGAGTTCTTTGATGTTCACTGAGAAAGAAGTCGTGGCTAAAGGCTTTTCCACAGTCATTGCATGCATATGGTTTTTCTCCACTGTGAATTCTCTGAGGTTGAGTAAAGAATGAGTAACAGCTAAAGGCATCACCACATTCATCGTATCCATGGGGTAATTTTCCAAAATGAGTGGTCTGATGTTGAGTAAATAATGAGTGGAAACTTAAGAGCTTTGAAAAATCATGACTTTCATAAGGTTTCTCCCCAGGAGGAATTCCTATATCTTTACTAAGGTACGTACTCTGGTTGAATTCTTCACATTCATTACCTATCAAAGATTCCTTCTCAGCATGGAGTCTTTTATATTCAATTATGACTGAATTTTGGGGGAAGAGTTTATCATAAATATCAAATTTATGTACTTGCTGTATGGTAGGAACTTTCTGTTGTGTTAAAAATACTGATTTCAGGGGTATGCTTCTCCCAGAATTACTAAATTCATTGTCTCTTTTCCCAGTAGAGATTTCCTTAACAGCTGTCACTTGCATGAAATGCCTCTCCGCATTTCCCTGATGTAGCTCAAATTCACCCTTATATTTCCAGGCTTCTCTGAAACTGGAGCATTCAAGGCCATGACTTGCTAGCCTTTCCATTACCATCTCCTGGGATATTTCATCTTCATCAATGAACCATTTTGGAGATAATTCCTCAATTTCACACCAAGACTCCCAGTCTGAAAAATATCAAGAAAGCAAATGTCTCCTTTGTTCTTTTGCTATGAGGAAGAAAATTGTTAGAGAAGAAATGGAAGAATTTAACTGGGGGGAAGGAGGGTAGAAAGTCTGTGGTTCTAATAGCTCCCAAATATGGCCATGCAATATGAACAAAAGACAATGGAAGCACAAAGAATAAAGAGAGCTGAGAAGGGAAGGTATATGTGTTGACGATAGGGAGGTGGTAGTTGGGGACACAGGTAAAATGCAGGTCATCAAAAGGCAGGCAAAGCTAAATGCTAACAAGATAAGGAGTTGAGGATGTCTGATTAGATCACAGCCAGTTTCCCTGCCTCTAGTCTTTAAGCCCTCCTGTCCATTCTGCACTGGTATTCATAAGACTGAAAGCTCCATGAGGGCAGGGATGGATGTTCACCCCTTTTTCTTCTACTATTGCATCCAATGCCTCAGACAATGTCAGCATGTTGTTAAATGGATGACTGCTGCCAGATTAATCTCATAGCAACTTTTTCCACTAATGCTGTTCAACAACTTCTAAGATTTTTATCAGGGTCCAGGAAAAATTTATATATATTTTTTCTCAGTGACTAAAAGAAACCTAGTGGTCAGCTTTTCTCACCATTAAGGGAAAATGATGCCTATTGAGAAGATACGTGATACTTTCAGGAGAGGATATTGGTTGGGTAAGGTAGAAATAAAACTATTTTTTAGAAGATGATCTCAAAAAATGAGAAAGTCCTTTCACACCACAATAATCAGCCAATATATTCAAATACATAGAACCTATTAGTAGGTCTGAAGTACCTAGTAGAGGGGGGAAAGCCTGACACAAGGTCTTTCTACCTTTTGTAAATTCTGAGAGCTCAAGCCTGTGCAGGTGATAATTCCATATGGCACATAATGAAGGATAAGCTAATATGATATAGATTATTACAGGTATAAATGTCAGGAAAAAAGAGATCAAAACTCACTAGCTTAGTTAAGGAATAATTCTCGGAGAATATGAGCTTGGTGTTCAAGGCTATAATCAGGATTCCAAAATATAGTGACTATTTCAGTGACAGAGACATTTTCATGTTTAGATGTGGTTACGGATTATTTTAGAACTACGTATTTTGGCATTTGGGGGTTAAATAGATACAGTCTTTGCCATAACAGTTTCTCATCTGTTGAAAAGTAAAGCTGTCTCCAGTATAGGTCAGAACAAAATTGAAAAGGAAATATTATTCATCTGTATCTTTCTTCTTTCCAATACACCCTTCACCCAAGGAAAGCCTCATCCCTACCAGTCCGTCCTATATACCGCCTTGGATTTTCTTACTTGTCTACACCCAGGCCTGAGAGGCCTTGTTCGCCTGTCCTTTGTCAGGTCCATACCATTCATTCTTTCCCTAGAAATACAACTACTTCTGTTCCCTCACTCACTTGCCTGGATCTCATCTCTTGTAGGCATCACCTGAAGCCACTATACTCCATCTTACCAAAAATAAGTCTTTACTCCAGGCAAATAGCAGATTTATACAATAACTAACTTAATGCTGAATAAAAGAAGCCTGATGGGAGAAGACTACAGTTATTTTCCAACATGGGAGACTCTGAGGTGCCTGGAGCTCCAACCACTATCTTTACATATAGACTTACAGATTGGATCCCCTTGATTAAAAGACTGTATAGAGCTGTGCTATCCAATACGGTAGCCACTAAGTATAAGCAGCAATTTAAATTTAAATAACATTTTAAAAAGTCAGTTCCTTACTCACACTAGCCACATTTTATGCACTCAAAGCTAAATGTGGCTAGTGGCTACTGTATTAGAAAGCACACATATAGATTATTTCCATCATCAGAGAAATTTCTACTAGAGGCCAAGCATGGGGGTTCCCGCCTGTAATCCCAACACTTTGGGAGGCCGAGGCTGGTGGATCACTTGAGGCCAGGAGTTCAAGGCCAGCCTGGCCAACACAGTGAAACCTCGTCTCTACTGAAAATACAAAAATTAGCTGGGCGCAGTGGCTCACATCTATAATCCCAGCTACCCAGGTGGCTGAGGCACGAGAATTGCTTGAACTGGCAGGTGGAGGTTGCAGTGAGCCAAGATCACGCCACAGCATTCCAGCCTGGGTGACAAAGCTAGACTGTCTCAAAAAAAAAAAAAAAAAAAAAAGGAAAAGAAGAGAAAAGAAAGTTCTACTACACAGAACTGGACAGAGATCCACATTAATACAACAAAGATCTTATGGTAAACGAGGAAACAACAGAAAAACAGGGGAAAGAGTCCATTAAAGGGAGAACAGAGCTCTGAAAAGAGAAAATGGATAGTGGTAAGAACTATCTTATACATCTCAATAAGCTGAAGGATATGAAAATGAAGAAGGGTACCTGGATGTAGCTAAACTAGAAGGGCAGAAGCCAGATTACAAGTGATAAGACAGTGGAAGAGAACCTGAGGTGAAGGCAGTGAGTTGAGATTACAACTGCTATGTAAGTAATTGGAAGAGAGAAGGGAGTAAGGTTGGCAAGAACACAAAAAAAGTCCTACAAAATGTTACGAAATTCTTCTAAGGAAGATTTAAATGAACCCATGTAATATATAATTGCAACAAAGCAAAAAAATAATATATGCATATGTTTTTACCACAGGTTAATTTACATCAGATCAGTTTCAACCAGAATTCCATAAGGATTTTATTTCAGAACTTAAGAAAATTATTTTAAATAAACTTGGACAAAAGTAATCAATAATATAAAAGAAAATTATGAACAAAAAAAGAACATTCCAAAACCAATAATAGGACCTAAGCCCTTGCATTTTATACCTTTCTTCCACCAAAATCTCTGTGAAAGAACTCAACCAGGGTTGACTTGTAAAATTCCCTATCATTGTGGAAAAGGTCATGAAAAAAATATCAAGAGAAACACACTTACAGCATTAAAAACCTGCAAGACACAGAGAACACAGTGAAGGGGAGCATGACCTCCTCACTACCATCCTGACGACATCTGGTTGAAAGGAATGAATTTGACATTAACCTTGAAAACTTGTGTGCGGGAGAAAACACAAAGTCAAAAGGCAAGGGACAATCTGAGAAAAAACAACTAAAACATATATCATAGAAAAATGAATAATGCCCAGAATTTAGTTCTACTACAAATCAGTAAGAAAAAGAAAAATAATCTAATTCTCCAAAAGTGGAAGTATGCCAGTAATCCCAACAGTTTGGGATGCCAAGATGGGAGGATCGCTTGAGCCCAGGAGTGCTAGACCAGCCTGGGCAACACAGTGAGACCTCGTCTCTACAAGAAAAATAAACAAAAAAATTAACCAGGTGCAGTGGTGTGCATGCTGAGGTGAGAAGATTGCTTGAGTTCCGTAGGTATAGGCTGCAGTGAGCCAAGATCATGCCACTGCACTCCAGCCTGGGCAACAGAGTGAGAACCTGTCTCAAAAAACAAAACAAAAAAATGTATGAGCAGGTAATTCACAGAAGAGAAAAACTTTATAGACAATGCATTCCTGGAAAGATGCTCAATAATATCACTAGTAAATTAAAACCATAACAGCATTTCCCTTCCTCATATCAGCAGAAATTTCACTTAGACAATATTAAGGACAATATCAAAAGCTTAAGTTGAAGAATATCAAGAGAGGAAGGAAATGCCATTCTCAGACACTGTCATTGTTAGTACGAGCATAAACTGATACAATCACTTCCCAGAACAAGTTGAGTATCTTGTAAATTAAAACATGCACTTCCATGTTCCAGCAATTTTACTTCAAGGTACACATTTTGTTTTTTTTTTTGAGACAGGGTCTTGCTCTGTCACCTAGCCTAGGCTGGAGTCCAGTGGCACTATCACAGCTCATTGCAGCCTTGACCTCCGAGGCTTAAGTGACCCTCCTACCTCAGTCTCCTAAGTAGTTGGAATAATAAGTGCACAGCACCATGTCAGGCTAATTTATTTATTTTTACTTTTTAATTTTTTTCCGAGATGGAGTCTTGCTCTGTCGCCCAAGCTGAAGTGCCGTGGCGCGATCCCAGCTCACTGCGACCTCCACCTCCCAGGTTCAAGCAATTTTCCTACCTCAGCCTTCTGAGTAGCTGGGATTACAGGAACACACCACCACGCCCAGCTAATTTTTGTATTTTTAGTAGAGACGGGGTTGCACCATGTTGGCCAGGCTGGTCTTGAATTCTTGACCTCGTGATCCACCCACCTCAGCCTCCCAGACTGCTGGGATTACAGGCATGAGCCACCACACCCAGCCTGAAAGTGCTTTTTAAAAACTATAAAACCCAGAAAATATAACATAAGACAATATATAGGATTAAGCCCAAATTTACCAAAAATGTAATTAGACTTTCACTTATTAAAATGAAAAGAAAATCAGATTGGTTTATATAGTAAAACTCAAATCTGTATTGTATATAAGCCCTACACTTAAAGTTATTTTAAAAAGTGGAAAATAGGCTGGGCACGGTGGCTCATGCCTGTACTCCCAGCACTTTGGGAGGCCGAAGCAGGTGGATCACAAGGTCAGGAGTTCGAGACCAGCCTGGCCAATATGGTGAAACCCGGTCTCTACTAAAAATACAACAATTAACTGGGTGTGGTGGTACGCACCTGTAGTCCCAGCTACTTGGGAGGCTGATACAGGAGAATCGCTTGAACCCAGGAGGTGGAGATTGCAGTGAGCCAAGATTGCGCCACTGCACTCCAGCCTGGACAACAAGAGAAAAACTCTGTCTCAAAAAAAAAAAAAAAATCAGCTGGGTGTGGTAGCTCACACCTGTATAATCCCAGCACATTGGGAGGCCAAGAAGGGTGGATCACCTGAGGTCAGGAGTTTGAGATCAACCTGGCCAACATGGCGAAACCCTGTCTCTACTAAAATTACAAAAATTATCTGGGCATGATGGTGAGCACCTGTAATCCCAGCTACTCGGGAGGCTGAGGCAGGAAAATCCCTTGTACCTGGAAGGCAGAGGTTGCAGTGAGCCAAGATCGTGCCATTGCACTCCAGCCTGGGTGACAGAGCAAGGCTCCATCTCAAAAAAAAAGCATAAAAAATCAAGGAAACGCATTCTCCCATACAGTTTTAGGAAGGAATATAGGCTGCTGACATCTTGATTTTAGCTCTGTAAGGCCTACTTTTTACTTCTGACCTCCAGAGCTACAATAAATTTGTGTTGGATTAAGCCACTAAATGTGTGCTAATTTGTTACAGCAGGAAAAAAACTAAGCAGACAACTTTTCTGGAGGGGAATGTAGCAATTCCTTATAAAACTACGTATATACGGCCGGGCATGGTGGCTCATAACTGTAATCCCAGCACTTTGGGAGGCCAAGGCTGGCACGGATCACGAGGTCAAGAGATTGAGACCATCCTGGCCAACATGGTGAAACCCTGTCTCTACTAAAAATACAAAAATTAGCCAGGCGTGGTGGCATGCGCCTGTAGTCACAGCTACCCGGGAGGCTGAGGCAGGAGAATCACTTGAACCCGGGAGGCGGAGCTTGCAGTGAGCCGAGATTGCCCACTGCACTCCAGCCTGGTGACAGAGCGAGACTCCATCTCAAACAAAAACAGTAACAAATGGACCTGAAATAACCAACCTAAGTAATTTTGGAAATAGTATTTTGACTGGACACTATAAGACTAAAACAAAAAGTACTATATACAAATACCTAAATCTAGTTGGTAAATTTGTTTCTCACAGAGAAGTAAGTTAGAAATTCTGAAACTACTTTATGTGTATACTAAAATTGAACAAATAGGTAAATATATTTTTTCTCATTATCAGAAAAAGAAATTACAAATAAGTCAAGGAGGAAGGCTACAATAAACCCTGTAAAGCAGGACTAGAAATCAAGTTATTAATATAAACTGATAGTTTTAGTATATAAAAAGATAGAGGTAATAAAAAATGGGAAAAAAAGAGGCAGAAATAAATATAGGGGTGTGTGTGTAAATATCTATCTATCTATCTATCTATCTATCTATCTATCTATCTATCTACCTATCTATCTATCTGTTTCCTAGCTTTAGCTGCTGTCAGGGCCAGAAAGAGTGATATCCCAGTAGCCTAGAGCATACCTAGCTTGGTTTCTAAACACCATTTCCCAATAAAGCAATGAGGGCTCCTTGGAGAAGTGGTTGATTCAAGGCTGGGGCAAGGAAAATAAGAGAACCTGGAATACCTTGTGCCAGAAGGAAGGACGTGCCCAAAAAATGCATGGGGGCATGTCAGAAGGTCAAAGGAACCAATGTGAAGGAGATTCCAACATTCAAAGCTGGAACGATTTGAGAAACATAATGATTCATTGGATTTACTTCATAGAAATAAAAATCCATAAATCCAAAAATAAATCCATTTAAATTTTATGAAGTCATTAAATTTTATGAGGTAAATTAGATTTACCTCATAGGAAAAAAATCCATAAATATAATTGAATATATAAGTAAATGGAGGAGAAAGAGCAGCTCTTCCTTCAGAACAATCCCAATTAATATACACAAAGAAAAGAGGGAAATGGAACAAATCAACATTAGGTTAATACCACAGTAATAATAGTTGAAGAGATCCAGCAATAAATGCTAAAATAAATGGGCAAAAATTACAGAAGAAACTGAATAATCTCAAAGTATCTCCCCCAAGATATTTATTAACTACAAATAGAAAAATAAGAACTTTATAATGGAGAAACCAAGCAGACACTACCTTCACTAAGTGTGCAAAGTTAACATCACCGATAATAAGACATATCGATATTATACATCCTTTGGAATGATGCACTGAGAGAGATACAACATTATTTCTGTGACATTCTTTGCAAAAATGCACTACCTCAATCTAATTATGAGAAAATATCAGATAAATCAGATAGATCCAAATTGAGTGCATGCAAATATAATGAGCCATTTGTGTAGAGTGAAGCGTATCTGAGGATTCCAGGAGAGATTTCTCCAAGAAGATGAAGTGGATAGATCACCTAATATGTCCAAGTATCTTGAAAGACTCAGACAATTGATGGTAAGTCGGGAACTGGATTAGGGTTATGTATATATAAACTGAGCAAAAACAAACAAACAAACAAACAAAATTCCCAAGTCATTATTAACTCCAGGAAAAATAAAAAGGAGTAGAGAAAAAGTAACTTGCCATATGCACAGCACAGCTATGACTAGCACTAAATGGCCATAATAAAATAAATGCTGAATAGTGACTTAATCAAAATGATGACATTGATAAGATAGGGGATGGGAAATGTGTGTATTTGTGTGTGTGCCTTATGTGTTGGATTCAGGAGAAGAAAGTGCTAACTCCTTATTTTCTTATAAGAAGATACCGAATAAGGGCTCACCCTGAAAAAAAATCAAGAGTAGCAACATTAACATATTTTTGGAGACATGAAGGGAACACCAAAATAAACTACAAAAGAAAAGAAAGTGGATCGCTCTAGGAAGAGGGAAACTGGGGAGCCGGGAACAAGAATTCCTTCTTTAAGGGAAAAAGCCTTGTATAGGCTTTTTGGTGCAAAGGTAATTGCGTTTTTTGGCAAAACTGCAATTATTTTTGCACCAACCTAATACTACTACTTGATTCTTTAAACACTGTGTGTACATATCTTTGATAATTCTGATAAAAATAAAAACTCTGAAAAAGAAATCTAGAAATGTAATACAATTCTAACCATAAAAGGAAAAGAAGAGCTGAGAAGGATTGAGATTCAAGGTATAGGTGGAAGACCGGAGAGTATAATTTGATGGAAAGAAAAAGAAAAAACCCCAGGGTGTGGTGAGGTTTCTAGGGAAGCACATACTATGGAGATTTCAGTTCTCATCCCACCTGAAGCTCAAAACAGTTTCCTACTTACTACTTGGTTGAGTACCTTACAATAGTCCTCCCTGCCTGGTGATCTGTCACTCACCTGCACAGTGACCCTGTGACATCTTTCTCTCCACCATCCACGGTTCCTTCCCTTGCTCCAGTAAGGAGATCATGTTGGGCTTAGAAATGGAGAGTCCTGTTCACAGGGGAAGAAAAATGAGAGCAAGAGACAGAAAGACATACAGACAAACAAATCAACATGCCACAGCTGTCTAGGACGCAGACCCAATATCTTGATCATCAGGCAAGAATGGACATTAGAGGAAGAGCTAGAGAATGGAATGACGCTTGTATGGATGAGGAGGAGGATGAAGCTTCTGCCGTGACAGTGGTTCTCAAAGTGCTACAGCAGCTGCAGCCATCACCTAGGAACTAATTAGAAATGCACATTCTCAGGCCGCAACCCAGAACTACTGCATCAGAAACTACAGTGGCTCTCAAACTTTAACAGACATCAGGATCATTTGGAGAGTTTATTAAAACCCAGACTACTGAGCCTACTCCCACAGTTTCTGATTTTGTAGGTCTAGAATGGGGCCTCATAATTTGCATTTTAACAAATTCCCAGGACATGCTGATGTTGCTGTTCCAAACCACCATTCTACGGCAAAGGGAACTACTCATTTCCAACTCTATGAAATTACTTCATATGCTGGGCGCGGTGGCTCACGCCTGTAATCCCAACACTTTGGGAGGTCAAGGTGGGTGGATCATCTGAGGTCAGGAGTTCGAGACCAGCTTGGCCAACATGGAGAAACCCCATCTCTAGTAAAAGTACAAAAATTAGCTGGGTGTGGTGGTGGGCGCCTGTAATCCCTGCTACTCAGGAGGCTGAGGCAGCAGAATCGCTTGAATCCAGGAGGCGGAGGTTGCAGTGAGCTGAGATCGCACCACTGCACTCCAGCCTGGGCGACAAGAGCAAGACTCTGTCTCAAAAAAAAAAAAAAAAAAAGAAATTACTTCATGTGTTCAGAATGTCTGCCAAAAGTAAATTAATTAATTAAAATTTAAGCAAATATATATTTCAAATCATTTCCTGGGAACAGGAAGTAGAAAGGCAAGTAAGTGCTTTTAAGATGTCTTAAGATGTCCTAGATATTCTCAACAGAGGAAGCAAAAACACCCCAGAGGAAGATTTTTAAATTATGGGGGAGAAACATCCTTACCAAGCCATACCAAGTTCCTGTAGTTCTCCAACATGACATCTCTGTATAAATCCTTCTGAGATGGCTTCAGCCATTCCCACTCTTCTTGGGAAAAGTCTAGCGCCACATCTCTGAAGGTCACCAACCCCTGAAATAAAAAAATTCTTGTTCACCAGGTGCCCAGACACCTATATGGTCCTAGCAAAAAAGATGAATTTGGCCAGAGTTCAAAGCTCTAAGTGATGCGAGGAAAATAATTATTGGAGAACAATTACATGCTGAGGTTTGTCAAATACTTTAAGAGAAGAGAAATATTAGAAACAGACTCACCATTTGAAAATTTTACATTTTTATAAAAAAGACATATATACACAAAATTAGCTTATAACAAGAAACAGCAAAGACTAAGTTGTATGTTACATATGCTAAGTATAAAGAAAATCTTATATGGGGGATTCCTTTATATTCCCCAAATTGAGACATCAGGTGGGGCAGAATAGGAGAAAGGCCTTGAATTGGGCTTTAACAAAAGGGTATGGCCTGAAAGTTAGACTTTATATGTAAGGAGAAACGTCCAGGAACATATCCTGAAGAAATAATGAGGTATATGTGAAGCAACTTAGATAGAATTTTCATTGGAAGGTTATGCAAAAAATCTGGAAAAAACTTACATGTTCAAAAATAGAGTTTAGGCTATAGCACTGAACTGTAGGCTGAGTGAAGGGAGAGAGATTTGTTTTATAAGCTGATATATATCCAGTATCTATTACAAAACTGATCACATTGTAAACTCTCAGTAAATATTTGCTACTCAGGGAATAAATGGTGAAGTTTCCTATAAAATATCCATATGAAGAAAGAGTATTCAGTGCTTAAAAATGATAGGGTTCCAGTATGTACAGTATGTTCTCTTTTTTTAATCAAAAATAATGAAATATCAGGCCAGGCGCAGTGGTTCACGCCTGTAATCCCAGCACTTTGGGAAGCCAAGGCAGGCAGATCACCTGAAGTCAGGAGTTCGAGACCAGTCTGGCCAAAATGGTGACACTCCGTCTCTACTAAAAATACAAAAATTAGCTGGACATGGTGGTATGTGCCTGTAGTCCCAACTACTCGGGAGGCTGAGGCAGGAGAATTGCTTGAACTCGGGAGGAGGCTGCAGGGAGCCAAGATTGTGCCACTGTACTTCCAGCCTGGGTGACAGAGCAAGACTCCGTCTCAAAAAAAAAAAAAGAAAAGAAATATCAAATATGGTTATTCTACATAGTGGAATTATGGCTATGGCTGAATGTGTCTAGGGAAAAATTTACACAACTCCATAGTGTTGTATAACTTCCATGTGCTCCTCTACTCTTTTCTGAGTCCTAGGAGGCTGACTGTATCAATAAACTCCGTTGTCCCATCCCATATTCTGTTGGGTTCAGCCACAAGCAAGAGATGAAAGGAAGGTAAGTAAGGCAGAATACTTATTCCCCTGGCTCCCTCCCTGGGTGGGAGTCCCACCCTGGGTGGTCTCTGTCTTTCAATCAAAGTTCAGAGCACCTGTCAGGGGCCCCTCCACCCAGCTCTCTGTCTCTGGATTCAAAGATCTAGGGTTAGTAAGAGAGCTATGCTGTTATGAGCCCCAGAGTACAGCATGATCCTTTATAGTTTCTCTATGTCCTGATAATATCTTTTAAATAGTTGCCTTTTGATTGCCTTGCTAGAACCCTGATTGATAAAACATGTTGACACAAAGTACTTCTTGCATATGGCCAGAATGTCCTCAAAAGCACTGCAAAACCACTCTACTATGCTTCCCTAATAAATTCACTCTCCTCCTCTCCTGATAACTATTTCATAACTCTCTCTCGAACCACCATCAACTCATCCCGATCTCACTTTTAACTTCCTCATCCTCCAGCCACCATATGTACTTACCCTTCTGTATCTGTACTCATACCTGTATATTCTGTCTGCCCTCTGTGACTATGAATAAAACTCTAGGCTTCAAAGACCAGTCCGTCCACTTGCCCACACGAAGACATTTTCGCCTCTCTCCCTTTTACTACCAACTATTCTCACTTTACTGGATCATTCCAATCAGCAAAAAAACTGATGCAATATCTTCCCTCTTGCAAATAAATACATAGATAAATAAATAAATAAGTTCCCTTCCATGATCTCCCTTTAGCTATTGTCCCATTTCTCTACTCCTCTTAATAACAAAACTCTTCCCGTAAGTTGTTTAGACCAGTGTTATCCACCAGAAATACTTGAGTCACATATGTAATTTGAAATTTTCCAGTAGTCACAAGAAAAAAATAAATAGAAAAAATATCATTTTTATTTAACCCAACATATCTAAAATGTTATCATTTCAACATGTAATCAATATAAAAAATTAATGAGACTTCTTACACTCTTTTTTGTACTGAATCTTCAAAATCTGGTATATACTTTGCACTTACAGTGTATCACAATTTAGAGTACTCATATGTGCCTGCTGGCTACACTACTGTAAGTCTAAATTCACTGTCTTTGTTCTCACCTTCCTCGTTTTCCATTCTCTTTTTCCTGCCTTTTTTTTTTTTTTTTTTTTTTTTGGAGATGGAGTTTCACTCGTGTCACCCAGGCCCCAGGCTGGAGTGCAATGGCGCGATCTTGGCTCACTGCAACCTCCACCTCCTGGGTTCAAGCGATTCTCCTGCCTCAGACTCCTGAGTAGCTGGGATTACAGGCATGCGCTACCACACCTGGCTGATTTTTGTATTATTAGTAGAGATGGGGTTTCACCATGTTGGCCAGGCTAGCCTTGAACTCCTGACCTCAGGTCATCCACCTGCCTTAGCCTCCCAAAGTGCTGGGATAATAGGCATGAGCATGAGCCACTGCACCTAGCCTTTTTATTTTTATTTTTTATTTTTTTTTAAGACAGGGTCTCACTCTGTTTCTGTTGCACAGGCTGTAATGTGTACCACATGAATCATAGCTCCCTGCTGCCTCAAACTCCTGGGCTCAAGCGATCCTCCCACCTCAGTCTCCCAAGCAGCTGGGACTATAGGCATCTGCCGCCATGCCTATGTTTTTGGATTTTAGTATTAAAAATTTTTTTAGAGATGGAGTCTCCCTGTGTTGCCCTGCATACATAACTGGTCTTGAACTCCTGGGCTCAGGCGATGGTCCCGCCATCTTGGCCTCCCAAAGTACTGGGATTACAGCCATAAGCCACCGCACCCGGCCTCCATTCTCTCTTAAACCCACCACAATGATGTCTTCATCCCAGTCATTCCATGAAGTAGCTCTTGTCAAGAATATTTCCATGTTACCAAATCCAACGGTGAGTTCTCAGTCTTCGTCTTCTTCAGTCCCTCTCAGAGGAACTTAGCTCAGTTGATCATCCCATCCTTGAAACACTTTCTCCTCTTGGCTTCCAGAACCCACACTCTTCTGGTTTTCCTTCTACATCAGTTCTTCTCAGTCTCTTTTGCTGGTTCCTCCTCTTCTTGTGTGGCTCTGAATGTTGAACATCCTAAAGCCAGTCCTTCGATCTCTTTCCTATCTACGTTCACCACAAAACTGCCCTCAAGATAATCTCATCCTGTCTCATGTTTTAAATACACTAAGGACAGCCGGGCACACTGGCTCACCCCTGTAATCCCAGCACTTTGGGAGGCCGAGGCAGGCAGATCACGAGGTCAGGAGATCAAGACCATCTTGGCCAACATCGTGAAATCCATCTCTACTAAAAATACAAAAATTAGCTGGGCGTGGTGGTGTGTGCCTATAGTCCCAGCTACCCGGAAAGCTGAGGCAGGAGAATCGCTTGAACCCAGGAGGCAGAGGCTGCAGTGAGCCGAGATTGCGCCATTGCACTCCAGCCTGAGCGACAGAGCAACACTCCATCTCAAAAAAAAAAAAGAAAAGAAAAGAAAGAAAGGAAAGAAAGGAAAGAAAGAAAGAAAGAAAGAAAGAAAAGAAAGAAAGAAAGAAAGAAAGAAAGAAAGAAAGAAAGAAAGAAAGAAAGAAAGAAAGAAAGAAAGAAAATACACTAAGGACTCCCAAATTCACATCTGTAGTCCTGAACTCCAGATGTATAATCAGCATTCCATTTGGATATCCAAAAGGTCTCTAAATATATCCAGAATTCAATTATTGATATCCATCCCACTTCACATTGTCTTTCCAGCTCAGTAAATGGGATGCCCATTCATGTAGCTGCCTAGCCAAAAATCTCTGTAGGCATCCTGACTTCTTCCTCTCACATGCCACAACGAATCCTTGATCAAATCGCATTTTCTATCTCCAGTCTATACCCAGAATCTCACTAGCTCCAATGCCACCACCATGATCCAGGCTGCTATCACCTCCTGTCTGGATTACTAAAAGAGTCTCCTGACTGGCCTCTCTGCTTCCACCTGTACTCCCCTGCTATCTGTTTTCACTTTAAGGCATAAATCAAATCAGATCACAAACGTTCCAATGGCTCTCCTTCACTTAGAACCAAATTCAAAGTTCAGATCATGACTTGAAAGGGCCTACGTAATTTGGTTCCCAGCTATACCTCTGACATCACAGTGCTCATTTCCCTCCAAGGACAGACTCATTGCTATTCCTGGAATACACCAAACATGTTCCCACCATAATAACTTTGTACTCCTTCTTTTAAAGCTCTTCCCCAGATCTCCACAAAACTTACTTGCTACTTTCACTGAAGTTTTGTTTTGCTAAATGTCACTTCCTCAGAGAGGCCATCCTTGACCTCCCTATTTAATAGATCACTCAGTAATCAAACTCTATCCCTTATTTCACTTGCACTCATTGCCGACTCAACAAATCATCATCCATCTAAAGAGGATAGCTCTGCTCCATCACACATTTGAGCATAACACTGACTAAAAAAGATATTAAATGTTTTGTAGAAGGATTATATGAACAAAAGGTGGAGAGAGAAGTGGAAGGGGTGCTCATTGGGCTATTTGTGATTTTCCCTGTGGTCCCAAAGTCCTGAAAAATGAGGTCAAATGTCTGAAAACAAAGTGAAAGAGCATGCTTACCTGGGACATGGCTTTACAAAGCCCCACAGCCATTCCTCCTTCTTCAGTTTTCTCTTCTGAAGAAGAACAAAGTCCTGAGAAGGGAGAGTTAATGAAGAAATGATGATGTGCCAGCCCTGTGTTTTTGGTCCAAGACCCACAAAAATACTACTGCCCCTTTCTTCTCCCTACATGGGCCAGCCTCACCTTTTCCAAGATCTGGCCAGGGTGGCGGGGTGGAATCCAATGCTGAACTTAACTCCCAAAGTCTTGACTTATATATTAAGGACGCATAGCCTGAACTCAACAAAATCCAAAGTCTGTCCTACGGCCAACAAGGTGGTTCATGATCTGGCCCCTGGCTGCACCTCTGACCTAATTTCCTACCCTTCCGCCCCTTACTCGCCACACTCCAGGCACATGTCTTCCTACTGTTACTCAAACACTGTACACCCCTTCTTCAGGGTTGTGGACTTTTCCTTCCGTCTGGAACCTTCTCCCAGACACCAGCATGGGCCACTCCTCTTTATTCCTATCTGCATTCAGGTGTCCCTTCATCAGAGGGACTTCCCTGAAAATTCTACCTCAAGGGAACCCCTGTTCCAGGTACTCCATTTTTCTTTACCCTGAATTATTTTTTTCTCAGCATTTATCACCACTGGACATGTTACATACTGCTTTGTTTCTTTATTGTTTCTCTTCCCATGCAAGATTGTAAGATCCAAGAGAACTAGGTTTTGTTTGGTTCACAGGTGTATTCTAATGACAGAACACCACCAGACCATTGTAGTCTCTCAAAAAATTAGATAAATGAATAAATAAATTTTACTGTGCCTTATGTAATATAAATATACAATGTTAACTCATGCTGTGTTGGGCAAGTAATTTTAATCTTCCTGTGCCTCACAATCAGACTAGGTCCGACATAATCCCGTGATCTCACATACACATAAAATTCTCACCCAATCACAAACATATACACATTTACACAATCGGTGGCATAATCTCTCTCTCTCACACACACAGCCGTATTAGCACAAAGATAGAGAGACTGTCACACATGGTTATCTCATTGTGTCATTATCTCATTTAATCCTCAGAACTACTACTGCTCCACAAAACTACAAAGATAGGTATTAATATCTCCACTTTACTGGTAGTAAAAGGGAGGTTCCAGAAGCTTAAACAACCAACTCAAAGTCCGGGGTCCAACTGAAATGTGACCTCAAAACCAGTCCTCTTTTGAGAGGCCACGATGTCTGAATGGGAAATATTCAACACAACCCGAGTAATCAATGCCATATATTCCTTAGAGAGGCATCTTTAGAGATGGCAGGTGTTACCTTTATTTCTCTACAGAAATGCAGCCTGAGGGAAACATCGCCAAATTTTAATACTAAAGCAACAACAAACTGGGCAATCTGAAGTAAGTTCCTTGTCCTCTTAGAGCCAACATTTCTTCATTGTAAAAATAGAGACAGGCTGGGCACAGTGGCTCACACCAGTAATCCCAGCACTTTGGGAGGTCAAGGTGGGCAAATCACTTGAGACTAGGAATTCAAGACCAGCCTGGGCAACATGGCAAAACCCCATCTCCTCAAAAAGTACAAGAATTAGTTGGGCGTGGTGGCATGTGTCTGTAGTCCCAGCTACTTGGGAGGCTGAGGTGGGAGGCTTGATTGAACCCAGGAGGTAGAGGGTGCTGTGAGCCGAGATTGCACCACTGCACTCTAGCCTACAGGACAGAGCAAGACTCTGTCTCAAAAAAAAAAAAAAAAAAAAAAAGAAAAGAAAAGAAAAGAAAAGAAAGGGACAACTGTGGTTGACCTAGAATTCAGTATACATCACCCCCTAATTTCACCCCCTAATTCTGGACTACTTTGCACTAGGCAACTCAGTCCCTAGCAGTTATTTCCTTAGTGTAGTGCAGCTTGAAATTGTCCATAAAAACTGCAGCAGGGCGCAGCGCCTCACGCCTGTAATCCCAGCACTGTGGGAGGCTCTGGTGGGCGGATCATGAGGTCAGGAGTTGGAGACCAGCCTGGCCAAACATGGTGAAACCTCGTCTCTACTAAAAATACAAAAACTAGCTGGGCGTGGTGGTGCGCGCCTGTAATCCCAGCTACTTGGGAGGCTGAGGCAGGAGAATCACTTGAACCTGGGAGGCGGAGGTTGCAGTGAGCCGAGATCGCATCATTGCACTCCAGCCTGGGCAATAGAGTGAGACTCCATCTCAAGAGAAAAAAAAAAAAAAAAGCGAGACCTCTAGAGCTAAACTGCTTGGGTTTGAGTTCTGGTGCTGTCACTTGTTAACTGTGTGAACTTGGGTAATTCTAATATTTCTGTGCTTCATACATCAATCCCACAATCTCATATATACACACAAATTCTCACCCAATCACAAATGTATAGAGTCACACAAACACACCCATAATCTCACACAATACACAGCCACATAAGCACAAAGATAGATGGTAACATACAACTACACCAACAGAGATAAACAATCACACACAATCACACACAAAGTAGCATACCACAGAAGTCACACATCTTGTCACAATTACTGATACAAAACTATACCTGCGGAGACAGATGGTCATAGTCGCACAATCACACTTGCTGTCACACACATTCAAACGCAATTGTATCCGCAGAAACAGGTGGTCACATAACCACACACATGCATTTACACAAACACACAATGTCACACCCCAGTCTCTCATAAACACATACACAGCTACACCTGCAGAGACAGTCACACACAAACACACATATTCACAGTTTCACCCCCAGACACAGATGGTTACAGTCACACACAAGCGGGCGCACGCGCACAAACACACACACACAGTGACACAAGATCACATTCTGTCACACCCGCAGCCTGTCACATAGTTGGTAATACAGTGAAACACACACGGCCTCCCCAGCGACTCCTGCCGGGTTCCCATCCCTGGCGCGGCCGGGCCACCCGGAGCCCGCCCTTGACTTCCCGCTCCCGCCCGGGGCCCGGCCCCACTCACCTCCCGGCGCCGCGGGCTCTGCAAACGGGCCCCGCGACCGAGACCCGCGACGTCACCTCCCAGAATCCTCCGCGAGGAGGAGCGAGGCGAGGACTGAGGCATGCAGGACTCTGAGCTCTGCGAGATCTGAACCAGCGACACCGCGTTCCCCATGGACCCCGCGAACCACGAGCCCCAGAACGCTTTGCGCCACGGCCGTCATCGTTGAACTACATCTCCCAGAGAACCCCGCGGCCCCCTCCACTGCGCGCCTGCGCCACGGGGGCAGGTACCGGAGAGGGCTGTGTGCGGTCGTAGGCTCTCCAGTGACCTTGAGCTGCTGTGTTGGGGAAAGCGGCCAGGCTGCGCGCGGGGCTGACTGGTTGAATGCTTGGGTGTGGTGGTTCGTGTGTGACTGTTGCTGCACACCTTTATGCTTGCCGACGAAAGGAGCGGCGGATTTTGTCAGTGCAGGGAGCTTCTGTATTTTAAATCACGTCCCGTGATTGTGGGTAGCTGAATGTGAAAGTGATTGTGGATGAAAGAGACTGTGGCTGACATTGGGGGTGACCGTTTCTGTTACTGTGAGGATACCACTGATCCGATGTGTATCTGACTGTCTCCTGGTCTTACTGTTCCTTCACCCCCATCTCCTGCCATGGGCGGGGTCTGTGGTATCTTTTATTGAGGCAATCTCGGCGCTCACTGCAACCTCCGCCTCCCGGGTTCAAGCGATTCTCTTGCCTCAGCCTCCTGAGGAGCTGGGATTACAGGCACCTGCCACCACGCCCAGCTAATTTTTGTATTTTTAGTAGGGATGGGGTTTCACCATGTTGGCCAGGATGGTCTTCATCTCCTGAACTTGTGATCCACCTGCCTCGGCCTCCCCAAGTGCTGGGGTTACAGGCATGAGCCATCGCACCCGGCCTATTTTATTATTATTATTATTTCTCAATTGGTCAAAATAATATATTTAACATTTTAATATTATTAAACATACAAAAGGCCACACTTTGGCCCTCCTCTAGTCAAGCAGTTTCCTTCCTGGTGAAAGTCCATAGGCAGAAACATGCCTGCAAAGATCTCACAACCTTCTTTCAGACCATGCTCTGGGTATCCAAATCCCCAGGATTTCCTGTTCAAATGGACTCCAGCCTGCTTCCAGAGCCTGTATCTCCTCTGTGTCCAAAGACCCTTCCCTTGATCTGTCTTCCAAAGGTGGAATGTGCTGCCTATCCACAAAATGTGGCCAAATGAGAGCAATTTGGTAAGGCTAGACAGAGCTTAGATATGCAAGCTGGAGTGTCCACATGTGGGAATAGAAGACCTCTTACGATGTGGGACAAGGATGGCAGTGGGAACAGAAGGGGACTGGCTGGGGACCTCCATCTGTACTGTTGACCCAGGTCTCTACATGTCAATGACAGGCTCATTTATGTATAAACTATTTTGGAGACCAATGGTCTTATGATGATGGTGGTTTGAATTAGGGTCATCACTGGAAGAGGCAATGAGAAATTGTCAGATTGGGATACAGTTTGAGTGTAGAACTAACAGAAGTTGCTGATGCTTGGTTGTGAATATAGGGAAAGAGAGAAGTTCAATATAATGCCTAAATGTCTTGAGCCCCTGGAAAAATGGTAGTGTTATTTACTAAGATAGGGGAAAATGAGTATGTGGCAGTTATCTAGGATGGGGTGGGTGGTGAGGTATCATGTTAAGTCGCAGATGCTTGTTGGATTTCAAAAGAGTGATATCAAGTAGGCATTTAGATATATGTGTGTGGAGCTCAGTGAAATGTTGGTACTAGAGATACGAATTTGGGAATTTCAATTAAGATGCTTTTAATAGGAAGTTATACAGTTATATGCTCAACTGAAAGTAGCTTATACAGTAAAGATATTTATTTCCCCACTTAGCAAGAAGTTCAGTTGGCTTAGCAGGTGACCAATTGTAGCAAGAATCCTTCCTCCTGCTCTGCAGTCCTCAATGTATTGGCAGTGTTGCTTTATGTGGTTGCAAGGTAGCTGCAGCAGCTCAGGTCCTCACACAATGTCTTCATTCTGTGTCTAGTTCCAGAATGAAATACTTTTGTTTTTCATTCTTTCGGGTCTCTTTTTTTTTTTTTTTTTTTTTTTTGAGACAGAGTCTTGCTTGCTCTGTTGCCCAGGCTGGAGTGCAGTGGTGCAATCTCGGCTCACCGCAACCTCCACCTCCCGGGTTCAAGTGACTCTCCTGCCTCAGCCCCCGAGTAGCTGGGGTTACAGGTGTGCGCCACCATGCCCGGCTAATTTTTGTATTTTTAGTAGAGACGAGGTTTTGTCATGTTGGCCAGACTGGTCTCGAACTCCTGACCCCAAGTGATCCGCCCGCCTCAGCCTCCCAAAGGGCTGGGATTACAAGCATGAGCCACTGTGCCTGGCCCCCAAACATTATCTGACCACACTTAGATAACCACTGTTACATAATAATTAGAATTAAATGAAATAGCTATTTAAAAACTTACTTAGATCAGGCGTGGTGGCTCAGGCCTGTAATCCCAGCACTCTGGGAGGCCGAGGCAGGTGGATCACCTGAAGTCAGGACTCGAGACCAGCCTAGCCAACATGGGGAAACCCTGTCTCTACTAAAAATACAAAAATTAGCTGGGCATGGTGGTATGCACCTGTAATTCTAGCTACTCAGGAGGCTGAGGCAGGAGAATCAGTTGAACCTGGAAGGCGGAAGTTGTGGTGAGCCAAGATCGCACCACTGCACTCCAGCCTGGGTGACAGAGTGCGACTCCATCTCAATAAAAATAAATAAAAATTTAAAAATAAATAAACAAATAAAAACTTACTATGACCTCTTTTAAAATTGAACATTTTAATGGTGACCCTAACAGACTTGTGGATTTGAGGTGATATTGTCTCATACTGTTTACCATCTGTTCTTCAAAATTTTCTTTGTGTAGTGTAGTCTACTACTTACCGTGAGAATGGTAGGATGGACAGTGGTTACTCTGGGACAGGTTTCTGTTGGTTTTAAACATCTAGAGCTGTCATCTCAGGATGGGAAAGATAAAGCACTAGTGAATGGCTTTCTAGACAGACTGGAAAATCATCAAAACACCAGACTCAGAAGAAGCCACATAACTGAATACTTTGTGGTGCTTGCCTCCTAATCAGGTTCCAAATTTGCACACAGATTTTAGTACCAGGCCAGGCCCAGGTGGACAGCTCAGGTTATCTGCCTCAATTTTCTCTCCTGAGAGGTTCTGAGCAGAGGGCCTAATGTGAGTTTAACAATCAACACGGTTGGGGCTGGGGCTGGGCCAAAGGATAGAATGTAGCCTTCTACCCCTTTCTTACAATTCCTGTTCTCTTTGCGTGGCTCCATAGAAACCATATCCTGGGGTTTGTATCTTTTTAAATATATTTAAGTCTTCAGGTAGCATCTGTTCTATTTTTTGCTAAGAATTTTTAACAATTTAAGACAAAATCTTAGTTATATGGATGAATTAAATTGAAAGCTGTATACTATCACACTGTTCTTTATTATTATTTTTGAGACAGTCTCACTCTGTCGCCCAGGCTGGAATGCAGTGGCCAATCTCAGCTCACTGCAATCTCCGCCTCCTGGGCTCAAGCGATTCTCCTCCTGAGTAGTGGGTATTACAGCCATGCACCATCACGGCCTGGCTAATTTCTGTATTTTTAGTAGAGATGGGGTTTCACCATGTTGTCCAGGCTGGTCTCGAACTCCTGGCCTCAAGTGATCCACACGCCCCAGTCTCCCAAAATGTTGGGATTACAGGTGTGATCTACCACACCCAGCCACACTGGTCTTTAAATAAAATAAAAATAAATTGAAAGCTGTGATATTCTTTCTAAAAGTTAAACACAAAAAGAACATGTTTAACTTTGAAATCGTTTTGTGACACAATTTTATGGAAGAGAATAATTAAATTCTAAGACTCTAGGGGATTAAAACTCAATAGTTTTTAAACTATTATAAAATAGTTTATCTCAAAAAGTTTTTTTTTTTTTTTTTTTGAGATGGAGTCTCGCTCTGTTACCCAAGCTGGAGTGCAGTGGTGTGATCTCAGCTCACAGTAACCCCCGCCTCCCAGGTTCAAGCGATTCTCCCGCCTCAGCCTCCTGAGTAGCTGGGACTAGAGGTACCCACCACCACGCTTGGCTAATTTTTGTATTTTTAGTAGAGATGGGGTTTCACCATATTGGCCAGGCTGGCCTCAAACTCCTGACCTTGTGATCTGCCTGCCTTGGCCTCCCAAAGTGCTGGGATTACAGGTGTGAGACACTGTACCCGGCCTCAAAGTATTTTTCTGTTAAGAAGTATGAAAGCCAGCCCATGAATTGCCATGGGGGAGGGCTGGGAAAAGCCAGCCATGCCAAGTACTCCACCTAGGATAATACTTCATAATTTTTTACCAGATCTTCTAACTCTACTCACTCACTTAGATGTTGAACAAAAATTAAGATCCTAACATCTCTTACCATTTTGGACAGTGATGCCCTAACTGTAACTCCTTTGGATAAACAAATAAATCTACATTTATTTTTTCCCTAAATTGATAGCCAACAACACAAACACTGAATCTTACGATTGCCATTTTCACGCTGATTTGAAATCCTGCTTTATCGCATTCAAAATGCTCATATATGGATGGGTTTGTTTTTCTGTTTTTTAAA
Organism: Homo sapiens; assembly: GCF_000001405.40. Classification (NCBI taxonomy): domain Eukaryota; kingdom Metazoa; phylum Chordata; class Mammalia; order Primates; family Hominidae; genus Homo; species Homo sapiens. Next base: position 37,366,553 of record NC_000019.10, on the reverse strand, counting down.
ATATGGTTCTAAAGAGCTATTCTAAAAACTTATATATGAACAAGACATGTTACTATATAGTTTCTATATTTTCCTAATGATTCTTGGAAATTTTATTTTCCAAATAAAATTCAGAATCATTCAGTCTAGTTCCATGAAAAAAAACAAAAAACAAACAAACTGGGACCTAACCTAGTATTTAAAGTTAATTTGTTGAACACTGCCATTAAAAAATATATGTTCCCAACCAGAAGAATGGTACATTTTACAATGGTTGGAAATATTTAAACTCAAGAATTACCTGTAGGATGTTGTTTGGTAATTCAAAGGAGAATAGAAATTAATTTCATTTTCTATTTCTGCATATTGTGTGTTTTATAAATAAAACAACAATACACTTCTAGTCTAAATACATCAGTCAATAAAAATATCTTCAATGTGGATTCAACCCAGAAACCAGACAAAACCCCAAAAGGCTTAAGCAAAGTTATTTTTAAAAATGGACCTCTTCCTAAAACCTAGAGCTAGGATACTTGCAGTCACCTAGATATAATAAAACCCTCTTCTACCCATGGACTATCCCTGTCTCCATGAATTAACCATTCCCCAAACTCTCCCCTGAGGCTGACTCTGTGGGGTCATGGTCTGGGGAACACATAGTAAATCAGCCACGGTGTCTTCCAAGTCTCTTGTTCCCAGTTAGGACAGATGGACATCAAAAGACAAGCTCTAGTATTGTTGTCTTGAGGCAGAAATTAGAGAAAGAAGAAAATAAAATTTAAAAAGAGAAAAATAAGCTTTCCATACTAGGCTGACTCATCCTAAAGGCGGTAGCAGGCAAAGCCTGGACCCAGGCGAGGTCTCGATAACATTATCAAAGAAGCAAAGGCTTGAAGGAATGTGCTCTGGAGACTCTCCCAGCACTCCCTCAACATAAGGATAAGAAAAAGTAAAGATCCCCCTCGAATCCCACCTCCCTCCGTGTGATTGTACCTTGCTCTGCAAGTTTTATGAGGTTATAGATTCCTGTTTTCTGTAACTAGTTAACTTCAAGTATTCTGTTTTATCTAAGCAGCACAGTGAAAGTTTTAAGACATGCCTGAGGCAGGCCTGGGCTGCAGCCATCTGGGCACCATAGCAAAGGTTATGAGATAAGCCCATGCAAGGCTCTTTTGAGCAAGCCTAGATAACAGCCATCTGGGCTGCATAAGCAAGGGTCATATGTAATCCTGAGTTATACACCTGTCACAATTTGATTAACTGCCTTTGCTCTGCCTCTGTATCCTGGCTTTTGCACCACTACGTTTTGCACCACTGTAAGCTTGTTTCAAGTTAGCCCACCCACTTTGAGAAGTGTGTATAAAAGTCAAATGCTGTCTTTGTTCTGGGCCCAGTTTTTGGATGTTAATCCTCTGGGTCTGAGTGCACTCAATAAATCCTCCTGTCGGCTGGGCGCGGTGGCTCATGCCTGTAATCCCAGCACTTTGGGAGGCTGAGGCGGGCGGATCATGAGGTCAGGAGATCGAGACCATCCTGGCTAACACAGTGAAACCCCATCTCTACTAAAAATACAAAAAATTAGCCGGGTGAGGTGGCAGGCACTTGTAGTCCCAGCTCCTCGGGAGGCTGAGGCAGAAGAATGGCGTGAACCTGGGGGGCGGAGCCTGCAGTGAGCCGAGATCGCGCCACTGCACTCCAGCCTGGGTGACAGAGCGAGACTCTGTCTCAAAAAAATAAATAAATAAATCCTCCTGTCTCACCCCATGGTCTCTCTGGTCCTCCTTCATTCCCGCAATAGTTTCTGTAACATCCAGGGTACAGTGGAAGGAATGTTCCAGTGTACCTGTAAAATGACACTGGAATAGTATTCATTTCCTAATTTCAACCCATTTAAAAGTACTTTCTCCGTCAAGTTACTGACACAGGAATTTTCTCAGCCACATTGCCAACTGAGGACCTCCACAGCCAGCGACAGCCCTCTGCCTGGATCTCACTTAGCCCTGGGCCTGCTGCTGGAGGTGCCCTGCCCTCTTGGCCTGCCTGTATTATAGCTTATACCCATGTTTAGTGGTTCTGAGCGCTTGTCCTGAGTCCAAAAAGAATGAGGATACACTGACAATTGAAGGGTGAGGATGGGTAGAAAAGAATTTTATTGAGCAAAAGAACAGCTCTCAGTGGAGAGGGGATGCAGGGAGTGGTCCCCAACCCCCACAGCAGGGTGATTTCTCTCCTCACTGCAGCTGAGTCTGGGTCTTTTATGGGCTCAGAATAGGGGAATACACGTTGACTGATTTGTAAGTATGCAAAGGCACCACTCAAAAGGTGGGCACAGCAGTGTAAAAACCAATTAGGAAAGGGCAGGTATACGTAAAATAGGTGAAGGGTTGGGATCAATCGGAGGAAAGCACACCAAATGGGAAGACAGGTTCTCAATTCAGTATGAGGATTTAGCCGGGACTGTCTTCAGCTTTAAGGTTGGGTTTCACCAGGTACCCACCCCTATCTGCCTGGGCATTTGACTGCCTCCTGCCACTATCATTACCTGACCGGGTTTCCACAACCCACCATCCACAGTGAGGAAGGGCAGGGCTCCTGAAAATGAGCCAGCAATTCTCCTTCAGGTGGATGGAGATACAAGTCTTACCAGTACAGTCTCATGCATAATCACACACAGAATGTCTCCACTTTGGTATCTAGCAATGGCTGAAAAAGCCACAGCACTGTGTGTGTCCTCTGGTGTCTGATGAAGTATGACTCCTGGCTAAAGGCTGTACCACATTCCCTATACACATAAAGTTTCTATCCTGAGTGTGTCCTCTGATGTCTGATAAGGTTGGACTTCCGACTAAAGCCCCGTCCACACTTTCTGCAAATATAAGGCTTCTCTCCTGAATGTGTCCTCTGGTGTCTAATGAGGTGTGACTGCCGGCTAAAGCCTTGCCCACACTCCCTGCACACATGAGGCTTCCCCCCTGCGTGTGCTCTCTGGTGTTTAATGAGAGTTAACTTAGCACAAAAGCCTTGCCCACACTCCCTGCACACAAAGGCACCTGAGTGTGCCCTCTTGTGCCTAAACAGGTTAGGCTTCTGCCGAAACCTTCTGCCACACTCCCTGCACATAAAAGGCTTTTCCCCTGAATGTGTCCTCTGGTGTGAAATGAGGGTGGACTTATCATTAAAGCCTCGTCCACACTCAGCACATACAAATGGCTTCTCCCCTGAGTGTGTCCTCTGGTGCGTGCTCAGGGTTGATTTCCGGGTAAAGCCTCGCCCACACTCCGTACATACAAATGGCTTCTCCCCCGTGTGTGACCTCTGGTGTTTGTTAAGGTTTGACTTCAGGCTAAAGCACTGCCCGCACTCCAGGCAGACATAAGGTTTAACCCCTGAGTGTGTCCTCTGGTGTGTTTTGAGGTTTGATTTCCAGCTAAAGTGACGCCCACATTCTGTGCATACATAAGGCTTCTCTCCTGTGTGTGTCCTTAAGTGTCTGATGAGGTGTGACTTCTGGCTAAAGCCTTGCTCACACTCCCTGCAAATGTAAGGCTTCTCTCCTGAATGTGTCCTCTTGTGTCTGACCAGGTGTGAATGCTGGCGAAAGCCACGCCCACATTCCCTGCAAACATAAGGCTTCTCCCCAGTGTGCGCCCTCTGGTGGGTAATGAGGTTTGACTTCAGGCTAAAGCTCTGCCCACATTCCTTGCACACATAAGGCTTGAGCCCTGAGTGTGTCCGCTGATGTGTAAAGAGGTTCGACTTCCAAGTAAAGCCTCGTCCACAATCCTTGCACACATAAGGTTTCTCCCCTGAGTGTGTCCTCTGATGTGTGATCAGGTTTGACTTCCACGTAAAGCCTCGCCCACATTCCCTGCACACATAAGGCTTTCCCCCAGAGTGTGTCCTTGGGTTTTTGATGAGGACTGACATACTGCCAAAGCTGTCTCCCCACTCAGTGTACATGTAAGGTGTCTCCCCAGTTTGTGTCTTCTGGAGGCTAAGGAGGTTTGACTCCTTGATAAAGCCTGGCCCAAACTCTTCATATTTGATTTCTCCAAATCCTGAGACTTCTAAACCATGCAATACTTTGTCTGTTTCCTCTAGATCTGCCCTCCGTTCAGGGCTGGACCCTATATCCACCACTGTGTTGTCTTCCTTGGACTGTGCTGGCTGTTGTTCTTCAGGTGGGCTGGAAAGTGCCTTTGAAGTGCCATTTTTGCTTACTCTCCCAAACAGGAGTCTGGAGTCTTCTCCCTCTTGAATCCATTCTGCTTTGCCACTAAAGCAGAATGGATCCTGCTGTTGTTTCTGATCTTCTGGATAGTGTTTTCCCAGGTGGAGAGGATTTCCTGCCCATAAACTTGAAAACAGCTGAGAGAGATGACTCAGCCACACATGTTGGCTGAGAGCTTGCTGACTGGAGAAAATCAGAGGGCAGGAGGGACTAAGTTGAATTTCTGGCTTCGATTCTGCTGAAGAAAGAACATTTTCAGAGGGGCCATAGGTAGGGCTGTGTAGGCAATTTTGCCTTGCCCACTGGTCATTCATAATATATTTACATATTTACATCACAAGCTATCTCCCAGTTAGACATCCTTCCCAGCATCTATTTTTCATTTCACTTCATGCATTACACTTTCTTTTGTTTTTTTGTTTTTTTTTTTAAACGGAGTCTTTCTTTCACCCAAGCTGGAGTGCAGTGGTGCGATCTCAGCTCACTGCAACCTCCGCCTCCAGGGTTCAAGCGATTCTCCTGCCTTAGCCTCCCGAGTAGCTGGGATTACAGGCGTCCAAGACTACGCCCAGCTAATTTTTGTATTTTTAGTAGAGACAGAGTTTTACCGTGTTTGCCAGGCTGGTCTTGAACTCCTGACCTCAGGTCAGCCTAAGCCTCCCAAAGTGCTGGGATTACAGGCATAAGCCACTGTGTCTAGCCCTATGCATTACATTTTCTATTGCAGGAGTTGGCAAACTCACCTGACAGGCCAAATCCAGCCTGAAACCTGTTTCTGTATGGCCTGCCAGCTAAAAATGGTTTTTACCTTTTTAAGGGGTTGAATTCAAAAGAGGGAGACACAGAAAAGAGAAAGAGAAAGGAAGGAAGAAGAAGGAGGAGGAGGAGGAGAAGGAAAAGGAGAAGAAGAAAGAAGAAGTGGCAAATATTGCACGTGTTCTCAAAAACTTATGACGCCTGTAGTCCCAACACTTTGGGAAGCCGAGGCGGGCAGATCACGAGGTCAAGAGATTGAGACCATCCTGGCCAACATGGCGAAACCCTGTCTCCACTAAAAATAGAAAAATTAGCTGGCTATGGTAGCACACACATGTAGTCTCGGCTACTTGGGAGGCTGAGGCAGGAGAATCGCTTGAACCCCGGAGGCGGACGTTGCAGTGAGCTGAGATCGTGCCACCACACTCCAGCCTGGTGACACAGTGAGACTCTGTCTCAAAAAAAAAAAAAAAAAAAAGGAGAAGACAAACAAAATGAGGAGAAAATAAATGAAAGGCATCTTAACTAGAAAGGAAGAAGTAAAAAAAATCTCTTGTTCACAGATTATATAATTTTGTAAGCATAAAATTTCAAAAAAGCAACTAGAAGTCATAATTGTACTTAGGTCATATAAGATAAATATATAAAAAATAATTATATTTCTATATACTAGCAATGACTATTCTAAAAATGAAACTGAGAAAACAATACTATTCACGATAGCATAAAAATAATAAAATGCTAAGGAATAAATGTGACAAAGTAGCACAAAGTTTGTAAACTGAAAATTAAGGCTGGGCACGGTGGCTCATGCCTGTAATCCCAACACTTAAGGAGGCTGAGGTGGGAGGATTGCTTGAGGCCAGAAGTTAGAGGCCAGTTTGGGCAACATAGTGGGATGAAAGAAAGAGAAGAGAAAGAGAAAAGGAAAGGAAAGGAGGAAAAGAAGAAAGATTTTTAAAAAGAAAATTAACAAACATTGTTGAATGAAGTTAAAGCTCCAAATAAATAGGGAGACAGTCATAGATTGGAAGGCTTACTATTATTAAGATGGTGATTCTCACCAAAATTTATCTGCAGATTCAACATAATCATGGTATCACAACCACAGCAGGCTTTTGGTTTTTTTCCCTTTTGGAAATTCACAATCTGATCCTAAAACTTACATTGAAATTCAAAGGACATAAAATAGACAAAACAATTTCTGAAAAAGAAAATAAAGTTGGGGAGTGTATACTTCTAACTTCAAAACTTAATATAAAGCTACAGTAATGAAGATAGTGTGCTACTGTCATAGGAGGAAGATGGAGATCATGGAACAAAATCAGGAGACTAGAAATGAACACTTAGATTCACAGTCAGCTGATTTTTGATAAAGGTGCCAAGGTAATTCAATGGGAGGAAGGATACTCTTTATATGAGATTGTAAGGACAACTGAATATTCATATGCAAGAAAATGAATTTAGATTTTCACCTCATTTGATACATAAAAATTAACTAAAATGGATTGTAGCTCTAAATGTAAGAGCTAAAACTGTAAAACTTCTAGAAGAAACCAGTGAAGAAAATCTTCATAACCTTGAGTTAAGAATAAAGTTCTTAGTTACAACACCAAAAGCACAACCCATTTTAAAAATTGGTAAGTTAAACTTAATCAGCATTTAAAACTTTTGTGCCTGAAATGACACCATTGAGAAAATGAAAAGATAAGCCACAGACAGGGAGAAATATCTGAAAATCCTATATTGATATAGGACTTGTGTCTAGAATATACTAAAAATTCTTACAATTCAATAAGAACACAATCTAATTTTAAAATAAAGAAAAGAATTGAATAGGCATTTTACTAAAAAAGATATGCAAATGGTTAATAAACAATGAAAAGGGCCAGGCATGGTGGCTCATGCCTGTAATCCCAGCACTTTGGGAGGCTGAGGCGGGTGGATCACAAGGTCAGGAGATTGAGACCATCCTGGCCAACATGGTGAAACCCCGTCTCTACTAAAATACAAAAAATTAGCCAGGTGTGGTGGTGTGCACCTGTAGTCCCAGCTACTCAGGAGGCTGAGGCAGGGGAATTGCTTGAACCCAGGAGGCAGAGGTTGCAGTGAGCCGATATAACACCACTGTATTCCAGCCTGGCAACAGAGCAAGGCTCCATCTAAAAAAAAAAAAAAGAAAAGACTATATATTTCACAATGCCATTCTTATACGTCTAGAAACAGCAAATCTATAGACAGTAAACAAATCAATGGTTTCCTCTGATGGGAGGACGGATGAATGCAAATGGGCACATGAGAACTTTCTGGTGTGACAGAAATGTTGAATAGAGGTGACAATCATATAACTCTATAAGTTTACTAAAAATTATTGAACTGTACACACACAGGCCAGGTGCGGCGGTTCACGCCTGTAATCCCAGCACTTTGGAAGGCTGAGGTGGCGGATCACCTGAGGTCGGAAGTTTGAGACCAGCCTGACCAACATGGAGAAACCCTGTCTTTACCAAAAATACAAAATTAGCCAGGCCTGGTGGTACATGCCTGTAATCCCAGCTACTCGGGAGGCTGAGGCAGGAGAATCACTTGAACCCAGGAGGCAGAGGTTGCAGTGAGCCGAGATTGTGCCACTGCACTCCAGCATGGGCTACAACAGTGAAACTCCATCTCAAAAAAAAAATATATATATATTGAACTGTATACATACAATAAGTAATTTTATGGCATGTAAATTATACCTCAGTAAAGCTATTTTAAAAAGTGAGAACTGGCCAGGCGCGGTAGCTCACGCCTGTAATCCCAGCACTTTGGGAGGCCAAGGTGGGTGGATCACCTGAGGGCAAGAGTTCAAGACAAGCCTGGCCAAGATGGTGAAATCCTGTCTCTACTAAAAATACAAAACTTAGCCAGGCATGGTGGCACGCACCTGTAGTCCCAGCTAATCGGGAGGCTGAGGCAGAGAACTGCTTGAAACCAGGAGGTGGAGGTTGCAGTGAGCCGAGATCGCGCCACTGCACTCCAGCCTAGGCAACAGAGTGAGACTTCATCTCAAAAAAGAAAAAAAAAAAAAGTGAGAACTGAGGAATTGTATTCTAAAATGTCAGTGTTCAATAAATGTGATTCATCACATAAACAGGATTAAAAACAAAAACCGGCCAGGTGTGGTGGCTCATGCTTGTAATCCTAGCACTTTGGGAGGCTGAGGCGGGCGGATCACGAGGTCAGGAGATTGAGACCACGGTGAAACCCCATCTCTACTAAAAAAATACAAAAATATAGCCAGGCTTGGTGGTGGGCGCCTGTAGTTCCAGCTACTCAGAGAGGCTGAGGCAGGAGAATAGTGTGAACCTGGGAGACGGAGCTTGCAGTGAGCCGAGATCGCGCCACTGCACTCCAGCCAGGGTGACAGAGCAAGACTCCGTCTCAAACAAAAAAAAAAAAAAAAAAAAAAAAAGATCATCTTAATAGATGTAAAAAAAGCATCGGATAAAATCCAACACCCCTTCATGATAAAAATCTTTAACAAACTAGGCATCAAAGGAACATACCTCAAAATAAGAAGAGTTATCTGTGACAGACCTACAGCCAACTTCATACTGAATGGGCGAAAGCTGAAACCATTCCCCCTAAGAAGTGGAACAAGAAAAGGATGTCTGCTCTCACCACTCGTATTCAACTTAGTACTGGAAGTCCTAGAGAAAGCAATCATGCAAGACAGAGAAATAAAAGGCATCCAAATAGGAAAAGAGGGAGTCAAATTATCTCTGTTCGCCAAGAATCCTTTACCTAGAAAATCCTATACCTAGAAAATAATCCTATACCTAGAAAACTCTAAAGGTCCCTCCAAAAGACTCCTAAACCTGATTAAAAAAAAAAATTCAGTAAAGTTCCAGGATACAAAATCAATGTACAAAAATCAATAGCATTTCTATACACCAGTAACATTCAAGCTTAGAGCCAAATAAAGAACAAGATCCCATTTACAATAGCCACACGAATGCAAACACACACAAAATGCCTAAGAATACATCAAACCAAAGAGGTGAAAGGTCTCTGCGAGGAGAACTACAAAACACTGATGAAAGAAATCACAGATGACACAAAGGGAAAAACATTCTATGCTCATAGATTGTTAAGAATCAATATAGTTAAAATGATGATACTGCCCAAAGCAATCTACAGATTCAATGCAATTCCTATCAAATTACCAACATCATTTGTCATTCTAACATTCTAACAGAACTAGAAAAAACAATTCTAAAATTCATATGGGACCAACAAAGCCTGACTAGCCAAAGCAATCCTAAACAAAAAGAACAAAGCTGGAAATATCACATTACCTGACTTTGACTATACTACAAGGCTATATTAACTGAAACAGCACGGTGTAAGTACAAAAATAGACATATAGATCTACGGAACAGAACAGAGAACCCAGAAATAAAACCACACACCTACTACCAACTGATCTACGAGAAAGCTGACAGAAATAAACAATGGGGAAAGGACACCCTATTCAATAAATGATGCTGGGAAAACTGTCCAGCCACATGCAAGAGAATGAAACTGGACCCTTCCCCCTCATATACACAAATCAACTCAAGATGGATGAAAGACTTAAATGTAAGACCTCAAACTATAAAATTCCTAAAGGAAAACTAGGAAAAACTTCTCTGGACATTGGCCAAGGCAAAGAACTTATGACTAAGTCCTCAAAAGCGATTGCAACAAAAACAAAAATGGACAAATATGATTTAATTAAGCAAAAGAGCTTCTGCACTGCAAAAGAAACAATCAACAGAGTAAAAAGACAACCTACAGAATGGGAGAAAGCATTTGCGAACCATGCATCTTACAAAGGACTAATATGCAGAAACATAAGGAACTTAAACAAATCAACAACAAAAACCCAAATAACCTCATTAAAAAGTGAGCAAAGGACATAAACAGATACTTCTCAAAAGAAGGTACACAAACAGGGAGCAAACATAAAAAATGCTCAAAATCACTAATCATCAGAGAAATACAAATTACAACCACAAAGAGATCTTGGTACCAGTGAAGGATGGGAAAAGAAAACCCACAAGAAGATAGGCCATCTCACACCAGTCAGAATGGCTATTATTAAAAAGTTAAACAAACAAACAAACAAACAAAAAAACAGATGTTAGTGAGGATGCACAGAACAGGGAATGCTTATATATTGTTGGTGGTCATGTAAATTAGTTCAACCTGTATGGCAAACAGTATGGAAATTTCTCAAGGAACTAAAAATAGAACTACCATTCAATCCAACAATCCCAAGACTGGGAAAATAAATTGTTCTACCAGAAGACACCTGCACTCGTATGCTTATCGCAGCACTATTCCCAACAGCAAAGTCATGGAATCTTCGTATAGGCCCATCAATAGTGGACTGGATAAATAAAATGTGGTACACACACACCATGAAATACTATGCAGCCATAAAAAAGAATGAAATCATGTCCTCTGCAGCAACATGGATGCAGCTAGAGGCCATCATCCTAAGTGAATCAATGCAGAAACAGAAAATCAAATAACCTATGTTCTCACAAGTAGGAGCTAAACAATGGGTACACACGGACATAAAGATGGAAATAATAGACACTGGGGACTCCAAAACAGGGGAAAAAGGATGGAGGTAAGGGCTGAAAAACTACCTATCAGGTACTATGTAAACTATTTGGGTGATAGGTTCAATAGAAGCCCCAAACCCCAGCATTACATAATATACCCATGTAACAAACCTGCACATGTACACTCTGAATCTAAAATTAAATAAACAAATGAAATGTCAATGTTATAAAAGACAGAGAAAGATTATTGAAATAATAATTCCCTTCCCTTAATAATAATTATAGACATGACATGAAAATGAACTAACTAACCTTGGACTAGATTATGTTCTGGAAAGTAAAAAACCATATTATTCTATATGTTGACAAAATTATAATACGAATGGTAGATAACAGGCAAAATGACTGTATCAAAGTTAAGTTTACTGAGGCTGATAACCACACTGTGGTTATATGAGACAATATCGACATTCTTAGAAAATTCACAGAAACAAACACTTACAGGCCGGGGGTGGTGGCTCACGCCTGTAATCCCAGCACTTTGGGAGACCGAGGTGAGCAGATCATGAGGTCAGGTGTTCAAGACCAGCCTGACTAACATGGTGAAACCCTGTCTCTACTAAAAACACAAAAATTAGCCAGGCATGGTGGCGTGCACCTGTAATCCCAGCTACTTGGGAGGCTGAGGCAGGAGAATCGCTTGAACCCAGGAGGCGGAGGTTGCAGTGAGCCGAGATCGTGCCACTGCACTCCAGCCTGGGTGACAGAGCGAGACTCTGTCTCAAAAAACAAAAACAAAAACAAAGACAAAAACAAAACAAACACATATGAACATACATATACATATACACATACATACATATGTACTGAGAAAGGGGAAGGAAGGAGGAAGGGTATGCATGCAAAAGAGCACATGAATAAATGATAAAGCAAACTAAGTAAAATAGTAGGTCATTTTATGATGCCATTTATATAATAACATATATGCCATATGTCTTAATCTGTTTTGTATTGCTATAACAGAATACCTGAGACTGGGTAATTTACAAAAAAGTTTATTTGGCTCACAATTCTGGAGGTTGGATGGTAGCCCATTTGGTGATGGTCTCATGCTGCTTCAAATCACAGCAGAAAGAGGAAGGGAAAGCAAGTGCATGCAAAGAGGCCAAACATCAGAGGAAGCCTTGTTTTATAACAACTTGATCTCACGAGAACCAACCCAGTCCAAAAGAACTAACCCAGTCTGCATAAGCCATTCGAGAGGGCAGAGATGCCACAACCAAACACCTCTTAAAGGCCCCACCACCTTTCAATACCGTTAAACTGGCAATTAAATTTCACCATGAGTTGTGGTGGGGACAAACCACATACAACTCACTGCACCATATATATTTATTCTACTATTTTTATTTTTGCAAATATTCTGTAATTTTGAAGCAATTTCCAAAAATCAATTCAAAAATAAGTATGAGGAAGCCCACTAACGAAAATGCCAGCAGACTGAAATGGTCACAAGAACCCTGCAGCAGAAAATAATAAGACTGGATAAAATATAACAAATAACTACTCAAAGGCACTGGAAAATATACATAACCAGCCAGAAGATGGGGAAGAGTTTATGCTCAAAAAATTGCAACAGAAAGGGGTAATAATTTTGTTTGTGGCTTTCTTGCCTGAGAGCACTCCTAAAACCCACAGAAACAAGAGGAGGGGAGGGGAGGGGAGGGGAGGGGAGGGGAGGGGAGAGGAGGGGAGAGGAGGGGAGGGGGAAAGAAAAAAACAACTGAAATTTAAAAATTCACTAGACAGGTTTAATAGCAAACAGAAAAAGAAGAAAGATTAGTGAATTTGAAAATAAAAGAATAGAAATTACATATATCCACCCACCCCTCAAAAAAGAGAAAAAAGACTGAAGAAAAATGAACAGAAGCTTATGAGACAATATGAATCTTCAGAAACACATTTCCAGCAGTCCAATATACAGGTAAATTGGGAGTCCTAGAATGAGAGGAAAGAGTAAAAGGGACAGGAAAAATATTGAAATAATAGCCAAGTACTTCTCACAGTGAATAGAAAATAAAACTTAGAGAGCCAAGAAGCTTCATAATGCTTAAGTAGTAGAAACACAAAGAAAACGGCTCATAGAAACATCACGGTCAAACTGCTGAAGGCCAAAGATAACGAGAAAATCTTGAAGACAGCCAGAGAAGATCAAAATATAAAAGAACAATATAATAATTACTCAACAAAAATTACAAAACTATGAAAGCCAGAAGACACTGCAATGCCAGAGAAAAATATGTTAACCAGCGATTCTATCTCCAGTTAATTTTCGCAAACTGGAGAGAAAATAATCTTTTCAGATTAAAATGGAAAATCCAATGCCAGGTAACTGTACTAAATGTTAAAGGAAGTCTTTCAGGATGAAGGAAAATGGTATCAGATGGCAACTTGTATCTACATTAAGGAGTGAAGAGCATAAGAAATGTGACAGATATAAAGCACACACACATATTTCTACATACATTTACCTTAATTTCTTTAAAAATACGTATTACTATACGATGGCTTAAAAATTTTAACACTGTAGTATTGGGTTTAGGATGTTTACAGAAATAATGTATATGACAACAGCACTGAAGATGAGGGGAATGTAAACATACTCTTGTGAGATTCTTACATTACCTTAAACAAATAATAACTCTAATTGGTTTAAGTTAAAAATACATATTGTAAGCCCTGGAAAAGTCATGAACACACACAAGGCAGATACATAGCTAGATAGCTGAGAGAAATTAACATGAAGATCGAAAAAGGAGCCGGGCGCGGTGGCTCACGCCTGTAATCTGAACACTTTGGGAGGCTGAGGCAGGCAGATCACTTGAGGTCAGGAGTTCGAGACCAGCCTGGCCAACATGGTGAAATCCCATCTCTACTGACAATACAAAAATTAGCTGGGCGTAGTAGCGTGCGCCCCTAGTCCCAGCTACTCGGGAAGCTGAGGCAGGAGAATCCCTTGAACCCAGGAGGCAGAGGATGACTGAGCCAAGATCTCACCACTGCACTCCAGTCTCGGTGACAGAGTGAGACTATGTCTCAAAAAAAAAAAAAAAAAAGAAAAAAGAATCTAAAAAGTATTTTATTAAAACATTAAAACAAAAGTAGGCTAAAGAAAACAGAGCAAGTAAAAACACATTGGAGAAAACAAAGAAAAATCTGGCAAAAGTAGAAATAACCTTACTTATCAACAATAACATTTGAGTGCTAATGCATTCAATACTCCAACAAAACGTAGAGATTGGCAAACTGGATAAAGAAGAAAAAAATCAACTATATGCTGTCTATAAGAGACTCATTTTAAATACAAAGACGCAAATAAAAAGATTGAAATATAAAGAATGGACAAAGGTATGCCACGGAAAGAGTAAATATTAAAAAGCTGGAATGGGCCAGACATGGTGGCTCACGTCTGTAATCCCAGCACTTTGGGAGGCAGAGGCAGGTGGATCACCTGAGGCCAGGAGTTCGAGACCAGCCTGGCCAACATGGTGAAATCCTGTCTCTACTAAAAATAGGAAAAAAATTAGCCAGGCGTGGTAGTGGGCACCTGTAATCCCAGCTACTCAGGAGGCTGAAGCAGGAGAATCACTTGAAGCCAGGAGGCCTTTAAGAGGTGTTTGGTCGTGGCATCTCCAAGCCACGCCCGAGAAAGTGCCACTGCACTCCAGCCTGGGCAACAAAAGCAAAACTCTGTCTCAAAAAAAAAAAAGCCTGGAGTAGCTATATTAATATCAGATAACAGACCTGAAGACAAGCGGTATTGCTAAAAAACAAAGGAGGAAATTCCATAATGATAAAAAGGTCAATAAGAAGACGTAACAATTATTAATGTACATGTGCCTCATAGCAAAATTACTAACTGTATGAATCAAAACCTTAGAGATCACTACAGAGACATAGACAAATCCACAATGATATGTTAACACACCTTTGCAGTAATGGATAGAAAAATAAGATCAAAAACTCAGTAAGGATATCAATCATCTGAAAAATATTACCAATATGACCTATCTGACATTTATAGGATAGTACCCTCAACAACTGCAGAATACACATTCCTTTTAAGAGCTCATAGGATGTTCACAAAAATAGATCATATGCTGTGCCATAAAATTAATCTCAACAGACTTTGAAAGATTGAAAATATACAGAATACATTCTCTCAACAAAATACAATTAAATTGAAAACCAATAAAAATAAAACATTTAGAAAATACCTGAATATCTGGAAATTAAGCAGCTCACTTCTAAACAACCAATAGGTTAAAAAATAAGAAAATTAGAAAATATCATGAACTAAATGATAAAGAAAACACAACACACCAAAAGTTGTAGGATTCAGCTAAAGCAAGGCTTAGAAATAAATGTACAGATATATATGTGATTGTATTAGAAAAGAAGGTCTATACCAATGACCTAAGCTTCTACCTCAGGAAGTAAGAAGAAGAGGAAATTAAACCCAAAGAAAGTAGAATGCAGAAAAAGATACAAATAAAAATCACTTAAATGGGATATAGATTAATACTACAGAAAATCAATGAAACCAAAAGTTGACTCTTTGCAAAAATCCATAAAATTAATAAACCTTTAGATAAAATACCCCCAAAATGTTTTAAATCACAATATGGGGAATGAAAGAGGAAGCACCACTAGAGAAATATACACACTTTTAAAGAAATTTGGGAATATTATGAACATTATGCCAACAAATTTAACTGCTGAGGTTAAGTGGACAAATTAATTAAAATACACAAATTTAAAAAGACTGACACATGAAGAAATGTAGCATAAGAATAATTATATATTTTAGTAGAAATAAAATTTGAGGCTGGGCACAAGTGGTTCACGCCTGTAATCCCAGCACTTTGGGAGGCCGAGGTGGGTGGATCACCTGAGGTCAGGAGTTCGAGACTAGGTTGGCCAACATGGTGAAACCCCGTCTCTACTAAAAATACAAAATTAGCCAGGCATGGTGGCACATGCCTGTAGTCCCAGCTACTCAGGAGGCTGAGGCAGGAGAATCGCTTGAGTCCAGTAGGCCGAGGTTGCAGTGAGCTGGGATTGCACCACTGCACTCCAGCCTGGGGGACAAGAACAAAATTCTGTCTCAAAAAAAAAAAAAAAAAAAAAAGCAAAAAGAATTATAGTGATGGGGAACAGATCAGTAGTTGCCAGGGGTTAAGATTGGAGGGAAGATAGCACAGGAGAGTTTTCTTTGTAGTGATAGAAGAGTTCTACATCTTTATTGTGGTGATGGTGGCTACATAAATCTTATTTATGTAATGAAATTTCATACTACTATAGAGCAACAATTAAAAAAAAGAGTACATGCAAAAACTGATGAAATCTGAATCTGAATAAAGTCTTTAGTTTACTCAATAGTACTGTACCAATGTCAGTTACCTGGTTTTGAAATGTACTGTGGTTATATAAGATATTATCATTGGGGAAAGCAGGGTGAAGAGTAAATGGAAACTCTCTGTATTATTTTTATAAATTGAGACAAATTATTTCACAGTTTGTTTAAATAGCAAGCAGGGCATCAGGTAAAGTGGCTCACGCCTGTAATCCCAGCACTTTGGGAGGCTGAGGTGGGCGGATCATGAGGTCAGGAGATGGAGACCATCCTGGCTAACACTAAAAATACAAAAAAGTTAGCCGGGCGTGGTGGCATGCATGTAGTCCCAGCTACTCGGGAGGCTGAGGCAGGAGAATTGCTTGAACCTGATAGGCGGAGGTTGCAGTGAGCCGAGATTGCGCCTTTGCACTCCAGCCTGGCAACAGAGCGAGACTCTGTATTAAAAAAAAAAAAAAAAAAAAAAAAGGCCAGTGGGGGCCGGGCGTGGTGGCTCACGTCTGTAATCCTTGAACCTGATAGGCGGAGGTTGCAGTGAGCCGAGATTGCGCCTTTGCACTCCAGCCTGGCAACAAAGCGAGACTCTGTATTAAAAAAAAAAAAAAAAAAAGGCCAGTGGGGGCCGGGCGTGGTGGCTCACGTCTGTAATCCCAGCATTTTGGGAGACCAAGGCAGGTGGATCACTTCAGGTCAGCAGTTCAAGACCAGCCTGGCCAACATGGTGAAACCCCGTCTCTACTAAAAATACAAAAACCAGCCAGGCATGGTGGCACACGCCTGTAGTCCCCGCTATTCAGGAGGCTGAGACAGCAGGATCGCTTGAACCTGGGAGGCAGAGGTTGCTGTGAGCTGAGATCATGCCACTGCACTCCTGGCTGGGTGACAGAGCAAGACTCCATCTCAATAAAAAAAAATAAAAAAAGCAAGGAGGTAGGCCACAGATTGGAACATCTGATAAAGAGTTCACCTCAATGATTTATTTTTAAAAATTCAAATTCAAATCAACAAGAAGAAAAGCAAAAGAATTGAAAAGGCTTCACAGAAGAGCAAACACCAAGGCCAGTCAAGGAATGAACATATAAAAAGATGCTCAAACTCAAAACTAATCAAATTACAACTACTATGAGAGGCCATTTCATACCCAAAAGATGATCAAAACCTAAAGTCTGACCACACAAAGTATTAGGAAGGATGTAGGGCAACTAGAATCCTCAAACAATAAAATGCTATGTGAGTGTAAGCAATTGCTATAGGTTGAGTTCTGTTTCCCCAAAAAATGACATATTGGAGTCCAAACCCCTAATATCTCAAAAGATGAACTTATTTGGAAACAGGGTTGTTGCAGATGTAATTAGTTAAGATGAGGTCATTAGAGTGGGTCCTAATCCAGTATGAATAATGTCCTTACAAACAAGGAAAATTTGGACACAGAGACACACACACAGGGAGAATGCTATATGAAGATGAAGGCAGAGACTGGGACTCTGCTCCTCCACGCCATGGATTGCCAGCAAACCTCCAGAAGCTAGAGGAGAGGCATGGGACAGATTCTTCCTCACAACCCTCAAAAGGAACCAACCCTACCAACACCTTCATCTCTACTTCTAGCCTCCAGAACTGTGAGAAAATAAACTTCTGTTGTTTAAGCCACTCAGTTTGTGGTACTTTGTTGTGGCAGCCCTAGAACACTAATACAACAACTTTGGAGAATAGTTTGGCATTACCTTGTCAGACTGACCAGGTGCATATTCTTTTACTCAGCTGTCCTATTCCTAGGTACATATCCTAGATAAACGGGTGCTTATGTGCCCAAGGACATATCTATGAGAAGGTTCACAGCAACATTCTTTAGTGGGTCAAAAGAATACACTGTTAGAACTGTAACTGTCCAACAAAAATGGAATGGATAAATGAATTGTATTATAATTATGCATAAAATACAATATTATATAGCCACAAAAATGAATGAAGCAGAGCTACATATACCAACATAGTACAAAATTAGTCTCAGGGAAGAAAACAAAATACATACATAATATGATGACATTGATATAAAGTTTTAAAATATGCCAAACAACAATATAGATGATTTAGCGATTCATACATATGAAGGAAATGATAAAGCCATGCATGAGAATTACAAATCCCTAATACTGAAAAACAATTCCATTGGAGGGATGGGTAGAGGATACCATCAGGGAAGGGGAAATAGGGGTTTCGACTGTTTAGGTCATTTTTTATTTCTTAAGCTGGGACATTGGCACATGAGTATGTATTTTATTATTAGTCATAGCTTAAGTATTGTGTAATAAGTTATGGGAATTGGAGAGGTGGAGTTAATCAATTAATCTTAGCATAAGAGTAGCTAGAAAGTATCTAGAAGTGTCGTAGACTTAACATTCATGGGTAGATGCAATTTTTAAGATCAGGTGAGAAAGAAGACAGTGAATGAGGAAAGACTAAGCATTACGGAGAAGACAAATGAGGAAGGGAGGCTTCCTGGTGTAGGGAAGAGACAAGGGAACCAGGGAAGTCCCTCCCTCAACTGAAGATTATGTTCCGGAAAGAAGACCATGTCAGGCAACGTTTCTCTTGGCTTAGGAGGCCTGAAGAAGAGCTTCTTCCCAGTATCTGAGAGATGCCTCCTCCTTCCTATCTGCCAAGCTGTGGATTATCCCGTCTACCCCACACTCAACACTCACCTGGACAGAGGTCCAGTGGACATTTTCTCTCCTCTCTCCAGGGCGCTTCCCCTCGCTCCAGCTGAGCAATGAGTTTTGGTTTAGAAGATGGAATTTCTGTTCATAGGGAAGAAAATGAGGACATTGTTGGTTATGGGCTCAAGAGGGCATTCTAGAACTCAGAGCTGAAATGGGTGAGGAAACCCAGAGGATAAAAAAGACCTATGAATAGTTCTCTCTCTGAAGTAGAAGGGTTGACTAAGGAAAGGTGACTCCAGTCAGAAAGATGGCATATTATGAACACTTGGTGTATGAAAAATTTCCTGGGTTTGAAGCAAAATAAAGAGAGAGCACAAGCCTTGGGAAACAGGCCTGGAAATGTAGTGTCATCCATAACATGAATAAATCAATCTGTCTGCTTTCAATTCTACTAAATCCAGATTTACCCAGAGGAAAAAAGTAAATTGTTTTCAAGCTCAACTCTAAGGGAAAGGTGCTCTGCAGGTAGCCCTTCCTCACGATGAGTGGAAAATACTCTGTAGGGCAGATTTTAAGTGCCAAGGGAGGCCATTCTTACCCAGTGAGACCAGATGGTTATAAGTCTCCAGCATCACCTCCCTGTGCAGGGTCCTCTGAGCAGGGCTCAACAACCTCCACTCCTCCTGGGTGAAGTACACAGCCACATCCCTGAATGCCACGAACGCCTTTAACACAAAACACACCTCTGCTCACCCAGGAGCCTGTCTTTCCCTCCCACACTTTAGAATGAGAGGTCAAGGCCAGGCCCGGTGGTTCATGCCTGTAATCCCAGCACTTTGGGAGGCCAAGGTGGGCGGATCACCTGAGGTCGAGAGTTTGAGATCAGCCTGACCAATATGGAGAAACCCCGTCTCTACTAAAAATACAAAATTAGTCAGGTGTGGTGGCGCATGCCTGTAATCCCAGTTACTTGCGGTAAGCCGAGATTGCGCCATTGCACTCCAGCCTGGGCAACAAGAGCAAAACTCTGTCTCAAAAAAAAAAAAAAAGAATGAGAGGTCAAAAGGCTTCCCTGAGGGAAGTAGGAAAGATTTCTAGACCCTACTTTGGATTGTGACCTTGGCACCAAGGAGTGAAAGACCATTATTCTCCTATCTCTGCCGAGCCAGCATCATTTATGCACCTGTTACTTACTGTCAATATCCCAGGCTAGCTGCTAGGGAGGATAAGAGCAAACAAAACCAAAGCCCTTACCTAGAGGGCGTTTCAAAACTAGGCAGGGAGAAGAAGACACCACACAAGTACAACTAAATAGTAAAGAATTATCTTGCTGAGTTTGAAAATTTTCTGAGACTACTTGGTCTCACTATTTGTTCTACTTGAAGCAGTGGTGCCTCTGGGGCTTGGGGGCAAATAACTCACCAATATATATAGTTCCTACAGCAGGGCTCACTCCTTCCTCTACCAAATGCTGCCACGTGCCTGCTCAGGCCTAAGGAGGGAAAGTGGGTGGTGATGAAGAGCGTGGATTCAACCCATACTATCTGGATTTGGAACCCATCTCTGTCCACAACTAGTGTAACCTCAGGCACTGAATTAGCTGCTCAGCACGTCAGTTTCTCCTGCGAACTAAAAATAACAGTGCTTATCTCACAGCTTGTGGTGAGGATTAGGATTACTGTGAAGGGCTCAGACAAAATGCCCAGTGCAGTCCCTGGCCGTTCTATGTAAAATTCCATGCTCTCATGCGGGTTTCATTCCCCTCTCCTGCTTTATTGTGTTGCCTTAACTCTAAGATAATACATTATATTCATTTCTATTTTCTGACTTCCCACTAAGACATCAGTTCCATGTGCATGGCTGGATCACTGTGATTGCCCTGGTGTCTACAACAGAATCTGCAAACACTTAGCAGTCAAATATTTTTAAATAACCAAAAATGATTTATTATTATTAGACAAGCAACAAAGTTTCAAACGAACCTCTGCTACCTAGAAAGCTGTACTTTGGAGGATGGGAATATATAACCGTCCTTGGCATGGAAGTTCGGTGAGATTTCCAAATGAGTCTGGAAATCTAGCACTGGGATTCTTCCCTGCCCAACACTTATTCTCTTTAGGTACAATCTGCAGTCCATAGAGGGGTTTAATTTGACCCATATACTGCTTTAAAACTTGTGTTTATATCAATTAAATGTTGGAAGATTTCATATGAAAATCTCAATCTATGGGTTATGTTAAAAATCCATAAATCTGACCACCCTGGGCTTTGCACTGCTGTAGGACCACAGTTGGCTGACGGTGACTCATGCTGGGGGTCTATCAGCCGCAACACACTATTGGAGACTGCCTCACCAGCGTCATTCATTTAGGTACATGCCTTGTCTCTTTGATTTTGCATCCCCTTCTCAGAATGCCTCCATCACTCCTTGAGGGTATGACATTGTGTCTCTAAAACTAATTCCACACTGTACCCTTCCCAGGGAATCCTCCCTACATTTCCTGTCCCCTACCAGCTCCACTATTCTACACTGGCTGGACTATGAAATGGCCTTAAGACTCTACCTACACTCAGTTATATCGATAGCTGTCCCCAAACCCAGCCAGTCCCAATGTACTTAATCGCAAGAGAAGAGCACAGATGAGTGAGGGCTTTGGTTCTCATACCTCATCTCTCTCTGGCTATATTTTAGAGCTACCTGGGTGGTGTTTTAAATTATGGATTCTTGAGTCCCACCACAAATCCGTAAAACCAGGGGATGGGGCTTTTGTACTTTCAAAGGCTCCTAAAAGTAGTGTGATGGTTGTGAATCACTGGGTCAGAGTAATCTCAAGAGGGAGAGGTCACTGTAGGATTGAGGATCAGGAAAAGTTCATGAGAAGGAGGTACTCACTGAGAATCTAGGTGATGGGTATGTGAGTGTTCAATGTACAAGGCTTCCTGGTTTTTTCCATATGTCTGAAACTGTTCATCATTAAACACTGGAGAGAAAAAGGCTATTCAGGTATCTGCCTAGTCCCTGTTGTGATTTGCTTTTACAACCCCTTCTCAGAACATACACACATACACCCCTTGAAAATCTCCCACGAAGGAGCTACATCACAGAGCAATTAGTGTTACTTTAACACATTTAATACAACCGTTATTCCTCCAGCCCCGGAACAACTCATGGTTTGTCTGTGAACCATGCATGTAGGGAGCATTGTAGACACTGTGTGGTTGACCCTCATGATTCACTCCAAATCTCTCCCACTGAGTAGAAACACAGCTAGAAGCTTGGGGGAGTTAATTCATCTGCTTGCCAGCTGAAAAATAAATATATGAAAAATGAATGGTAACCAACAGGCCACAAGAAGCCTTACCGTAGGATTCTAGCAAAAGACTTCGTCATTTGTAAGATGGAGTCACAGGAATTAAGCACTTTTCCTGATGCTCAGAAACATGGGCACAGATTACCCAAAAGAGGCAGCAGGGCTTAGTGCACTGGCTCAATGTGTGTTCCCTGAACCTGCAGCACCAGCATCCCCTGGGAACTTGTTAGAAATAAAAATTCTCAGTCCCCATCCTAGGGCTACTGAATCAGAAATTGCGGGGGGAGCCCAGCAATGTTTGAACAAGGCTTCCAAGTAATTCTGATGCACACTAAAGTTTAACAACTACTCAGTGGCTAAAAGCACAAACTCTGGAGACAAACTGTGTTCAAATTACAGTCCCCTCTCTCCTCCCTCCCCTATGACTTTGCGTTGATATCTTAATATCTGTGTCTCAATTTCCTATAAAATCGATATTATAATAGTACTTACCTTATGGGGCCATTGTGAGAATTAAACAAAGTTGCTATTGGCAGACATCCTATGGCTTTGAGGGGAACCAGCCTGGATGAGGCTGACACTGTAGAGAACAGGGTAGACTGCAGAGATGAAAGCACCCCAGTCCTTGGGAAGCTTATGGAGCTGAAGGACCAACCCCAAAGTGCACTCTCTCTGTGAACTTCTTTTTATATAGGCTAAGTTACTTATTGTTTAGAACAGCCTAAATTAGGTTTACTGTTGCTTGCGGCCAAAAGCATTGTATCTAACCAGTGGATGGGTACAGTGATGGCCCCAGTGAATCATGCCTCCCTGTTTCTACCCTTCATGCAGTCTCCTCCTAAATTAACCCTGGGCTTGGCCATGGGACCTGCTTTATCCAGTGGGACACCAGCAAACATGATGCAAGCAGATGTTTGAGAGGCATCTGAGTTCAGGGCTGGCCTTCTCGCTGTGCAAGAAACCTTGAGACCACCATGTGAATAACCTGAGCTTGCCTGCTGAAGAGGCCACATGGAGAAGAACCAGGAATTGAAGCATCCCAGCCAACCAAGCTGTCAACCACCAGACAGGTTGAGACCATCCAGCTGTAGCTGAGCAGCCAGCTAACTACAGCCACATGAGGATGCCAAGAGGATCAGCTCAGCCATGCCGGGCCTACTTGCTGACCCACAGGATTTTGAAAAAATGATTTCATTTTAAGCTGCTAAGTTTGTTTGGTTTTTTTTTTTTTTTGGTTTTATTTTATTTATTCTTTATTTTTTGGAGATAGTCTCACTCTGACACCTAGGCTGGAGTGCAATGACGTGGTCTCGGCTCACTGCAACCTCTGCCTCCTGGGTTCAAGCGATTCTCCTGCTCCCGCCTCAGCCTCCCAAGTAGCTGGGACTACAGGTGTGTACCACCACACCCGGCTAATTTTTGTATTTTTAGTAGAGACGGGGTTTCACTATGTTGGCCAGGCTGGTCTCGAACTCCTGACCTCATGATCCGCCCGCCTCGGCCTCCCAAAGTGTTGGGATTACAGGTGAGAGCCACTGTACCAGGCCTAAGCCGCTATGTTCTTTAGGCCACTAAGTTGGTACACAGAAGTGAAGTGCTGCCATAACAAAATACCTAAAACATGTGGCATTAGCTTTGGGAGCAGGACATGGGCAGAGGCTTGGAAAGCATCCAGGAAAACTATTAGCACAGGCTGGAAAACCAGTAAACAAACTGCTAGTGGGGACTGGGAAAGGAGTGATGAAACTGATATGGCAGCTTGAACAAGGCAACTAGTATTATATATTAGCAAAGCTATTGCCTGCATGAACTTGGAAAACAGAAAATATACCTGATGAATTTTTGGATCTAGCTAAAGAGATCTCCAAAAAGCCTGTTAAAAGTTTCACTTGGGCCAGGCGTGGTGGCTCACATTTGTAATCCCAACACTTTGGGAGGCCGAGGCAGGCGCATCACCCAAGGTTGGGAGTTTGAGACCAGCCTGACCAACATGGAGAAACCCCGTCTCTACTAAAAATACAAAATTACCCAGGTGTGGTGGCGCATGCCTGTAATCCCAGCTACTCGGGAGGCTGAGGCAGGAGAATTGCTTGAACCTGGGAGGTGGAGGTTGCAGTGAGCCGATATCGCTCCATTGCACTCCAGCCTGGGCAACAAGAGTGAAACTTCATCTCAAAAAAAAAAAAAAAAAAAATTCAGTTGGATGTTTCTAGTGACATATAATAATGTCCAGAAACAGAAGAGCTGAAGAAGCAATTATACAGCTTGCAAGCGTAATTCAGAGGAAATATAGACAAGTCAGGACTTGCTAGCTTGGAAATAAAATTATTTTACATCTTCAGTCTCTCCAGCCAGCACATGTCTCAAAATAAAAAAATAAACTCAGAGTAAAGTTCGAATCAAAAGTTTGGCTAAAAGACCCAAACTTTAGAACCTCTGAAGTGTTAAGGGGATGCCTAGTGGAGTCTCCACGCTGGACAAAAAGGCTTCTGAGATTCTTATGGGCATTGTCCCATAGCACCGACACCTTGCCAAAGATGTGAGGCCTGTCTGACTGTGATTTCAGCTTTTGTTTAATAGAGCAGTCCCAAATCTGGTACATGGGAAACCCATAGAGCTTTCAAGGAAGTCCAAAGGATCTGAAACAGTTCAAAATGGAGAGGCCTCCTCTATGCTTAATTCCTGTCCTTTCTGAATGGGAGCATCTACTGCAGTATCTCTCTCTCACCACTGTATGTTAGGTAGGGAATGTTTGGGGTGGAGGGAAACAAATGACTTGCCTTTTTAGTATACAGGTATCTGACTCAAAAAGGATCCAGTGAAGAAGCTTTAGCTACATCCAGACTGTTACACATAAGATACTGGACTTTTGAATCAAGATGAAACTTTTGGGGATCTTGGGAGGGGGGTGAGTTAATCTTGCACATGGTAAGGGTATGAATCATTGGGACCAATAAATCATGTCTCCCTGTATCTACTCCCTTATGTTATCCCGTTCTATGACGACTCTGGACTTGGCCATGTGACTTCCTTTGGCCAAAAGGACATCAGTGAACATGACAAAAGCCAAAACGTTAAAACTACTTGTTAATTGGGGCTGTCCTCTCTTCCTGCATAGAGAAACCCAAGACCATTTGACCAAGCCCAAGCCCACATGGAAGAGAACCAAGAAGAAACTAGGCACCCCAGCCAACCAGCTTCCTGTCACACATGGATAGTCCTCCAGCCCTGGTCAAAATGCCAGCCGACTGCAGCAAAATGACAAGACCAGGTGAAATCTGCAAAACCTACCTGCGGCCAGCCCAAAATATGAACCTACCAAATTATGTGCTAATAAGTGATTTTGTTTTAAGCCATTGATGTTTAGGATTGTTCATTATACAGCAAAGGCTGATACACTGATAGAGGGATCACGTGATATGAAAAATACGTGGTGACTAATGTGACCGTTGGCTTGCTGGGATGCCCATGATGTCAGAAACTCCTAAGCTAGTCTTGGAGAACAGCAGATTCAGTCCTCCCATTTCTCACTCACTCCTGGGCATGAATTCATTAAATGGGAAAGGAAACAGATTGACCTGACCTACTTTTATTTTTCTCCTCTTTTTTCAGCTGAGTGGATAAAAAGTAAATGTATCTAAGTTAAAAGTACACAAGGCCAGACGCGGTGGCTCACGCCTGTAATCCCAGGACTTTGGGAGGCCGAGGTGGATAGATCATGAGGTCAGGAGATCGAGACCATCCTGGCTGACAAGGTGACACCCCGTCTCTACTAACAATACAAAAAATTAGCCGGGCGTGGTGGTCGGCACCTGTAGTCCCAGCTACTCGGGAGGCTGAGGCAGGAGAATGGCGTGAACCCAGGAGGCGGAGCTTGCAGTGAGCTGAGATCGTGACACTGCACTCCAGCCTGGGCGACAGGGCCAGACTCCGTCTCAAAAAAAAAAAAAAAAAAAAAAGTACACATAAGATGACTCCCCTGTGGTAACAATAAACACACTTTCAGACTGAATAATCAGAACATGACATCAGACAACAGGATACAATATTTGAAATGAAGACTGTCCTAAATATCTAAGACACTGAAATGAGGCACTAAAGGTTTCTGAAAAGTGATGTTACTGCAATGTTGGGGAAAACGAGGATTACAGAAACATGTAGTGGGTGGCAAAGGACCATGTCAACATTTGGAAACAAATCAGGATACTATGTGAGCTTTCATGTGAGAGAAGAAAGAGACCTAAGTTGGCAGGTCTACCCCGGTAATCAAAATCTGCACAGTGTAATAATTAAAATAAAAGCAAATAAAAGTTGTACAGTAGGGCTGGGCGTGGTGGCTCACACCTGTAATCCCAGCACTTTGGGAGGCCGAGGCGGGTAGTTCACCAGAGGTCAGGAGTTCAAGACCAATCTGACCAACATGGTGAAACCCCATCTCTACTAAAAATACAAAATGAACTGGGCACGGTGGCACATGCCTGTAATTCCAGCTACTTGGGAGGCTGAGGCAGGAGAATCACTTGAACCTGGGAGGCGGAGGTTGCAGTGAGCTGAGATCATGCCATTGCACTCCAGCCTGGGCAACAAGAATGAAACTCCATCTCAAAAATAATAATAATAATAAATGAATAAAATAAAATAAAAATTGCACAGTATAAAGAAACACATGGTGAAGAAGGGAGTCTCAGAAAAGAAAGAAGTAATTGGAAGTTCAAATTCTTTAGAACTGGCAGGGTTCAGGGCCAGCCGCGGTGCTCATGCCTGTAATTCCAGCACTTTGGGAGGCCAAGGCAGGTGGGTCACTTGAGGTCAGGAGTTTGAGACCAGCCTGGCCAATATGGTGAAACCCTGTCTCTACTAAAAATACAAAAATTAGCCTGGTGTGGTGGCGGGCACCTGTAATCCCAGCTACTCAAGAGGCTGAGGCAAGAGAATTGCTCGAACCTGGGAGGCAGAGGTTGCAGTGAGGCGAGATCGATTGCACCACTGCATCCCAGCCTGATGCAGTGGGACAGAGTGACAGAGCGAGACTCTGTCTCAAAAAAAAAAAAAAAAAAAACTGGCAGGGTTCAAATCTCCAACTGCTGTGGGTGCCCAATGCTTCAAAACAGTCATGTCTATTCACCTTGTCATATTTTGTATGAGAATAAAAACCTATATAAGAATTTCATGTACAAAGCTGATCATAGAAGTATTATTTGCAACAGTTAAACATTGGAAACAGGAGTCCAAAAATTGGGAAACAATGGATGAGTTCATCCATTCAATGGATTACTATGGAAATTATTTTCAGTGGGATAAGTGTTGGCTGTTTCTACACCTTTAAAAATAGAGCTGGGTAGATACACTGCCAGTAACTTTACTCCATTATGATTTTACCATTAGGGCCTGTCAAAATATGTTTGCAGGGGTGTGAGCGCATATAAAATTAAATTAAATCCAAATGAGAAAGGAATCCTAAAATAAAATGGAAGACTCCTGAGTGTGCAGACTGTGTTTTACCCATCATTAACTGTAATCTACTGAGTGTTCTGCACATAGCAGACACTCAAGTTTGTTGTATGGCACCAAGGAAAAGGAAAAATGCTAAGAAAAAAAATAACATAATGTGCCTGCCAGTTCATCTCATTGTTACAAATTTAACACAAATTTTAATTTATCCTCTCAGGCAAAGGTCCTTGGCAGTAATACCTAATGTCCTAAGATAGTCTTGCTTTGATTATTTTGTATAATTCAGATGCCATGCATATCAAGAGTATCTGGAAATTCTACCCAACGCTCCTGAAACATGTGATTAACCACATGCCCAAAATAACAAACCAAAGCAAACAACAGAAACTCCTTTGTTACTTAGTTCCTTCAAATCGTTTACTTAAGGTTGTGATTCCTTCATGCACCAAACATTTCATGTGTGCTAGGCATGAGAGACACAGAGGTTTCATCTTAAACAACTATTTAAATGCTCATGCCCTTTAATTTTTCCTGAGTAAATACTATGTTAAAAAGCTACATTGAAGAACAAGTTGTTTATATACAGGAGGCAGTTCCGGGTAGACCTACTGAGAATGAAGGAGGTGGCACAGGAAAAGTCAGCTACCACAAACTTCTGACTTTTCCCAGCCAATCAGAAAGAATGCTTCCCTGGTAACACTGGGAGTGGTGAAGAAAGTACACACAAAAAGGCTGGGTGCAGTGGCTCACACCTGTAATCCCAGCACTTTGGGAGGCAGAGGTGGGTGGAACACCTGAGGTCAGGAGTTTGAAACCAGCCTGGCCAACATGGCGAAACCCCATCTCTACTAAAAACATAAAAATTAGCCGGGCGTGGTGGCATGCACCTGTAATCCCAGCTACTCGGGAGGCTGAGGCAGGAGAATCGCTTGAACCCAGGAGGCGGAGACTGCAGTAAGCCAAGATCGTGCCACTGCACTGCAGCCTGGGTGACAGAGCATGACTCCGCCTCAAAGAAAAGAGAAAGTACGCACAAAAAATATTCAATGTTACCTTGGGAAATGTCCTGAATTGGATTTCTTATGTATTCCTGGTATTAACACTCTCAAATGAATTAACTATTTTAGAAATGAGAAACAGAATTCTCAGTGTTGCTCTGATAACATCCAGGAATGCATAATCCCCACCACTGGAGTCCAGAATTAAGAAATCTCTTTTCCTGTCTAAATTCCACTCAGATTTCTTGATAAGGATAGTCAAGGCAAATCTGAAATAACCAAGTTAACCCATATCAAAAATGACTGTTAAACAGCCTGGCAACTGTGTTGGTGCTTAATGAATGTTAATTGCATTCAATTAAGTCAGGGGCATCATCGTCACCAATCTCAGGGCTTAGAAAAGCTTCCCCTCGGCCGGGGGCTGTGGCTCACACCTGTAATCCCAGCACTTTAGGAGGCCGAGGCAGGCGGACCACCAGGTCAGGAGTTCAAGACCAGCCTGGCAAACATGGTGAAATCCCGTCTCTACTAAAGATACAAAAGATTAGCTGGGCCTGGTGGCGCCACCTGTAATCCCAGCTACTCGGGAGGCTGGGACAGGAGAATCGTTTGAACCTGGGAGGCAGAGGGTGCAGTGAGCTGAGATCGCACCAGCCCGGAAGACAGACCGAGAATCCGTTTCAAAAAAAAGAAGAACGCTTCCCCTTAAGTCCTTATACACAGTCAATCACTATTTCCCACATACCATTGACTTCCTTATGTCAAGTCCCTTCTTAACATCCTTCAAAACTCAGCTTACTCAAAGACAAAGTCTACCCTGCTCAGCCTGGCACTCAGCATTTTCTGATTTGTCCCCACCCTGACCGAGAGGTGGAAAAGGCAAACCCTTCAGGGGTCAGGTAGGTAATAAAAATGAGAGGGGGGTGAAATGTTAGGTAGTCAATGGTTTCAACCTCAGTATAAAGGACACTGCAGAAAGTGCAGCTGATACTCTGAAGGTCACGTCCAAATGATAAAGACGTTGTTCAGCTCAAATTGTCTGACACCAAAGAACAGTGCAGATTTAGGGCAGATTTATTTTCAGAGAAGCAGGGAATCTGGAATTTTGGAAATGTCCCAATTGCCAGAAGCTGAAAGTGCTCTCAAATGTAAAATTCAGGTCAGACTATATCGAAATTCTCCTTGTTCTATGTGTGAATAGATAGTCTGTATCTTAACATATGTATATTTATTTATTTATTTATTTTGAGATGGAGTCTCACTCTGTTGCCCGGGCTGGAGTGCAGTGGTGCGATCTCAGCTCACTGCAACCCCCGCTTCCCAGGTTCAAGCGATTCTCCTGCCTCAGCCTCCCGAGTAGCTGGGACTACAGGCGCTTGCCACCATGCCCAGCTAATTTCTTGTATTTTTAGTAGAGACAGGGTTTCACCGTGTCAGCCAGGATGGTCTCCATCTCCTGACCTCGTGATTCGCCTGCCTCAGCCTCCCACAGTGCTGGGATTACAGGCCTGAGCCACCACGCCTGGCCAAGGTTGATTTTTAAATATGCATAGGTAGCCGGGTGTGGTGTAATCTCACTTGTAATCCCAGCACTTTGGGAGGCCGAGGTGGGTGGATCATGAGGTCAGGAGATCGAGACCATCCTGGCTGACACGGTGAAACCCCGTCTCTACTAAAAATACAAAAAATTAGCCTGGCATGGTGGCAAGCGCCTGTAGTCCCAGCTACTCAGGAGGCTGAGGCAGAAGAATGGTGTGAACCTGGGAGGCAGAGTCTGCAGCGAGCCGAGATGGCGCCACTGCACTCCAGCCTGGATGACAGAGTGAGACTCGGTCTCAAAAAAAAAAAAAAAAAAAATTCAATCTTAAGCAAGTCCACTGGCCACCATAATCCTTCCACACTGAGAGTCCAGCCTCTGAAACTATCTATGCTTCCTTGCCGCCTCCCACTGGAATGCCTTCCCCCCAATCTCCAACTTAACAAACCAGTCAGGGGCAATTGAGACAGCCCTACTTCTAGGAGGCCTCCCTAACCATTTGAAATCACAGGCATCTGTGCTGTCCCTGCCCTTCATCCACATCACTGAACAATTACGCATGTATGTCTCTTTACTTTTATTTAAACTGCTCCATATGTGTTGTTCACAATTAACTACTTCATGAGTGACTGCGGTAAGGATGGAGCAGAAAGGAATGCTGAGGGAAGACTCCTGTTAGAACGAGGCACTCTTCCAGGACTAGGAATGAACTCAAAGGTAAAATTCAGGTCAGACTATGTTTGGAGCCGAAAAGACCAAAGGGATTGTGACCAACTCAGCATTCCACTGGAGGTTATATGATTAAACGGTAAACTGTTTATCATGAATGCAGGATGTGAGCAAACGCACACTGCCACCAAAAGATGTGCTGAGAGCCATCACTGCCTGGCGCCTGGCTCCTTGAAGTGATCTACCAGGAAATCTAGCGCCTATTGTTGGAAGGATGCAGTCTTGCAATTGCGAACCAAACGGCCAACTGACAATTACCTGACAATCACCACCCCCTAACTTGTTATCTGTTTTACCAATAAATACGGGAGGGTTGTGTAAAGCTCAGGGCCCTTGTCCACTAGAGACAAAGTGCCCCCGACCCCTTCTTCCAAATATACTTTTTTGTTTCTTGTCTTTTATTCCTTTTGTTCAGTCCACCAGGTCCGTGCAGGTTACAAGTGGCGCCCTGAACAGCGACAGAATCGGACGCTCTACAAGACTATATCAAAATCCTCCTTGTTCTATGGACTAGGAATGACTAGGGCTAGGAATGACTTTGCCCAATACCAACAAGGCAGCCTCCAGGACAAGAAAAGGTAATGGGACCCATTCTGTTGACAGCCAAGATAGAATTACAGTTAATTCTCACCTCTTTTTTGGCTCTCAGGAGCCCTGTGGCCATTTTCCTGGTCTCCTGAGTGCTCTTCCTGGAGAAGGGCAAAGTCTCAGAAGACAGATCTGGGGATGTGAAGAGAAATAAGAGTGGCCTAGGTGGAAACACCCTCCCCACGAAGTGAAGCGCAGTCCGCTCCAGAGCCCCACAGTTGGGGTCTGGGATGTCACAGAAATCACCAGAGCAGCCAATTCCCATCCAGTGGGGGGCCAGGATGACCCAGCCACCCTCAAGCTCAGCCGCAAGCTCGGGACAGGGAGTGAAGCCCTTGTCCCCAAGCAACGGAGTGAGGGTTTATCTCTAACCCTGTGGGCTCGAATGAAAGGAAAATGGCCTGGAGGTGCCCAAAGGAGAGCGCCCTAGTTCTGAGATAGCTCTGCGGCTCCCAGCCGGCGTCCCCGTAACACAGGGACACGCAGAGGGGCATGCTGACTGCCTATAGGGCACTCACGGAACGCGGGTGCACGCTGCGGATCCTGAAGCCGAAAGTCAGGTAACAAGGTGCAGAGGTGTGGGAAAGACCTTAAGAGGGAGGCCTTCCCGGGTCCCAACCAGCTTAACGCGCCTGGGCCACCGACCGGAAGTGTTTCTGACGTCAACGCTACACACTGAAGGGTAGGGAGGGGAGCGGAAGTGACCGCAGAGGCCTCTGGGGATTGTAGTTTCGGAGCTACAGAGGCGGAGAAGTCGGCTTTGCCCACCACACAGGGTGACTGACATCTGCACAGCGCACACAACCAAGTTTACGAACCCACTCTTAAGATGCCCAAGTGACGTTGACAAGTTTCTCTGTAAACCAATGAGATCTGCTGACCGCGAAGGCATCGCGGGACTGCCGAAGGATTCTGCAAAATGTGGTCCCGGTGCTCTGCGGGTGGCCAGTGTGCGCTGACCTTCAAGGTGCGGGTGAGCTGAGCTCACTACGCAAGTCTCCGCCCTGATGCGCCCTTCCCTGAGCAGGTGCCAGGTCGGGACAGACGCGGCTCAGGGAGAGACGATGCTCTGCGGGAACCACCAGTTTGGAGGCGACACCGGCCCTTTGTCCCCTAGAGTAGGAGGGTGTACCAGGACAGGGAACCCCAAGGCTATTTTCGCGGAGAGCAGGATTGGTTTGGGGCAAACTCCCGGAATGCAGATGGGGGAGACTGGTCGCGTGTCCCTAGGATTTTAGGGGATGCAGACTGAACTTGGGGTGAACAGCAAAAGATCCCCTGGTGGTGGTGGGGATCCGAAGCTTGATCAGGAAATTCCCGAGGTTTTTATTGGAGGCTGGGGTACAGGTGCGGCTTGGAGGAAACTTCCGGAGGGTGGGGTGGAGGTGGGGCGGTGTTGGAAAGGAGGCATAAGTCTGACCGTTTTGTTCAACAGGGGTGTTTTCTTTTTGCATTGATTTTATTTTTAAAGATATTACATTAAAATATTGTTTATCTTGATTACTGAGTTTTTTTGGTGACCCTTTAAATTCTGTATCCACAGTCCCCAGCATTTACAGAAGTGAGGGCCTGGCTTCTAGGGCATCAAGCAGCCAGAAAGTCCCTTAGGACAATTGTTGAATTGTCAGTGAGTCATCTTTTCCTTTCCTGACTTCCTTAATATCCACAATTTCCTCGTAACCATCCCTCCAAAGCCACACCCACAAGGCACCTCCAAGACCTATCATGAAGCAGATATTCAAAGATTATTTGTAAATCTTCACACCCTACCCCCTCCAGAATGTCTTCCAACATCCCTTTGCCTGGAGAAGTAAAAAACAAGGTTTGCATGTTGGGTATCAGCCTCTCCCATTGAGAGGGTGTTTAGGAAGGAGGATCAGCCGAGAGCCCTATTCCAGCCCAGGTAAATGACCCGGCCAAAGATTTAATATCTATAAATGTAGAATGCTTGTCACAGAACTCAGTGGGAACCACAGTCAGGCATGGGGCTGGGATTTAAGAAGCACAAATGAAAAGCAGGGACTAGAAAACTTAAGAAAGATATGGTAGGGGTGGGGGTGGGGGTACAGTGAGGATGTGGGATCCTGAGATAATCCAAATCACTATGTTTAGATGTAGGTGTACAAAGGGAGTAAAGAGAGACCCAGGCTGATGGGGTATTTGTAATAAATCAAACATAATGTAACAGCAGGTCAAGTAATAAGGGGACTCTCAAGTGATAAGGATCAAGTGATAAACAGTGAAAGGGGCAGAATGAAACTCTACAGAAATTAACAAACATCAACAAGACATCTAGGAAAGCATTTACAGCTGCATTCATTTAAATGAAAGGTGATAGTTACTCAGTGCTGTGTGCCAAGTACAATGATACACTCTCACCTGAGTTACCCTTGTAAATCTGAACCACTTGTCATTATCTGTGCTTTAAGGAGTCCTATTTTCCACACTCTTAACTGGCTTGAGATGTGAAAATCCATCTAAATTATAAACGCAGTGGGGAAGAAAAAATCTAGTCATGCCCATCAAGGGAACATGTCTAGTTAAAATTAGCATAGATAAAAATCAGCAAAAAACAAAAAAGCAAATTGAAAAAATATTCTTTGAAATTAAAAGCCATACAAACCACTGTGTCACTGATGAGTTAAAGAAGAAACTGGCCTGCAAACCAGAAAATACACTGGAAGAAGCAATAGTTAAAATACTTCAGATCTAAACCTGTAGAATGAGGCTACCTCAGTTCCAAATATATCAGCTTAAAAGTAGTGGCAAAAAGAGCAAGAAGTTGGCCAGGCATGGTGGCTCACGCCTGTAATCCCAGCACTTTGGGAGGCCAAGGTGGGCAGATCACCTGAGGTCGGGAGTTCGAGACCAGCCTGGCCAACATTGCGAAACCCCATCTCTATTAAAAATACAAAAATTAGCTGGGCGTGTAGGGGTGGGTTGCCCCTACACACCTGTGGGTGTTTCTCGTAAGGTGGGACGAGAGATTTGGAAAAGAAAAAGACACAGAGACAAAGTATAGAGAAAGAAATAAGGGGACCCGGGGAACCAGCGTTCAGCATATGGAGGATCCCGCCAGCCTCTGAGTTCCCTTAGTATTTATTGATCATCTGTGGGTGTTTCTCGAAGAGGCGGATGTGTCAGGGTCACAAGACAATTGTGGGGAGAGGGTCAGCAGACAAACACGTGAACAAAGGTCTTTGCATCATAGACAATGTAAAGGATTAAGTGCTGTGCTTTTAGATATGCATACACATAAACATCTCAATGCTTTACAAAGCAGTATTGCTGCCCGCAGGTCCCACCTCCAGCCCTAAGGCGGTTTTTCCCTATCTCAGTAGATGGAGCATACAATCGGGTTTTATACCGAGACATTCCATTGCCCAGGGACGGGCAGGAGACAGATGCCTTCCTCTTGTCTCAACTGCAAGAGGCATTCCTTCCTCTTTTACTAATCCTCCTCAGCACAGACCCTTTACGGGTGTCGGGCTGGGGGTGTCGGGCTGGGGGACGGTCAGGTCTTTCCCTTCCCACGAGGCCATCTTTCAGACTATCACATGGGGAGAAACCTTGGACAATACCTGGCTTTCCTAGGCAGAGGTCCCTGCGGCCTTCTGCAGTTTTTGTGTCCCTGGGTACTTGAGATTAGGGAGTGGTGATGACTCTTAAGGAGCATGCTGCCTTCAAGCATCTGTTTAACAAAGCACATCTTGCACCGCCCTTAATCCATTTAACTCTGAGTTGACACAGCACATGTTTCAGAGAGCACGGGGTTGGGGGTAAGGTTATAGATTAACAGAATCTCAAGGCAGAAGAATTTTTCTTAGTACATAACAAAATGGAGTCTCCTATGTCTACTTCTTTCTACACAGACACAGTAACAATCTGATCTCTCTTGCTTTTCCCCACATGGGCGTGGTGGCCACTGCCTGTAATCCAGCTACTTGGGAGGGTGAGGCAGGAGAATCACTTGAACCCAGGAGGCAGAAGTTGCAGTGAGCCAAGATTGTGCCATTGCACTCCAGCCTTGGCAACAAGAGCGAGACTCTCAAAAAAAAAAAAAAAAAAAGCAAGGAGTTATTAGCTCTATACACTTTTTTTTTTTTTTTTTTTTGAGACAGAGTCTCACTCTGTCGCCCAGGCTGGAGTGCAGTGGTGCCATCTCGGCTCACTGCAAGCTCCGCCTCCCAGGTTCACGCCATTCTCCTGTCTCAGCCTCCCGAGTAGCTGGGACTACAGGCGCCTGCCACCTCGCCTGGCTAATTTTTTTGTATTTTTAGTAGAGATCGGGTTTCACCATGTTAGCCAGGATGGTCTCGATCTCCTGACCTCGTGATCCACCCGCCTCAGCCTCCCAAACGCTGGGATTACAGGCGTGAGCCACCACGCCCAGCCAAGCTCTATATACATTTATAGAAGAAACTTCTAATTTGAAAAACTCAAAGTTTTAAGTAACAATGATCACAAAAGGGGAAGAACAAACTTCCAGAATCTTGGGGACAGAGGGTGGTGTGGTGGGAAGAGAGGGAATTACTCTGTCACCAATGAGTCAAAAAAGTTATTAAAGATTAATTTTAAATGAATAAAACTAAAAACCAAGACTTACAGAATGAGACTAAAACCATGGCTGGAGGAAAACTTTTAGCCTGAAAGTAGCCTATGACTTAGAAATTAAGGCAGAAAACTAAGGAGTAAGCAGTTACCCTTCAGGTTAGAAAACCAACAGAATAACAGGAAATGAGAGAGGGAGGAAATAATCAGATGGGGCTGAGATGGGGGCTTATGGGGATGAAGGAGGCAGGAAGAGCACATTAAGTCTGTGCATAAAGTCACTCCCTAAGGACAGTCCCTGAGAGGAAAGTGGGTGCACAAGGATCAGGCTAGGTGTAAAAGGTGACAGGCAACCCTGGAGGGTACATTCAAGGGTTGACAGTGGCTAAGAAAACAGGAGGGAAAGTCAAGTGTTGAGCCTTTCCTGTCCCTAGCATGGAAGACATCAGGAGCTGATGAGTGAAAGTGATAAACACCATTCTCATCACCAAAAAAAGTCAAGTATTTGAGGTAATGGATAGGATAATTTGACTTAAACATTCCACACTGTATGGAAAAATCATAACATCATTTTGTACCCCATAAATATATACAATTTAAAAGATAGGTAAAAATCAGAAAAAAATTGAAAAAATATTCTTTATTTTTCAAACATATATAATTTATGGAGTACAATCTAATTCATCAATGTATATGATTTTTTTTAATGGTAAGTCAATAAACACAGCAAACAGTCCCTTGAGAGGCAGAGAAGGAAAATGGGCACAATCTGCCCTTAGAAAGACACAGCATTTAAATCCACGCATGTGAGAACTCCAGGATTCAAGACTAGGGGTCAAAACACAACCTGGTTTATCACCTATAGCCACAGGATGGCACCAACACCCACTGCTCCAGCCTGAGCTGGCCAGAGAGAGAGAGCATCCAGGAAAAGCTGGAACCTCCCAGAAGGCCTGAGACCTGCAGGTACCACACTGTAGTCCACTGAAGAGGAGGGCCCAATGTGAGGGGGAAAAAACCACTGAGGAAACATAATATTTGTGTATTTTTAATAAGATATTTAATACGTGTTCAGGTAGAAGTAGGTACAATGACAGAAAATAAGGTAGAGGAATGTGCTAGACACCACAGATACGTAATGATGGACAATAAATGACATGATGTGGAGAGTTCACCCACACATGCAGACTTCTTATGTTCACATAAACATTTATCTGCATGCATCACCCAGTAGAGACAAACTGCACTTACACTGTGAAGTCAACGAGGAGATAAAGTAAAAATCAAATACTTATGGAGAGAGTCAGTCTCTCCATTTAGTGGGAAACCCTTCAGAACACGCACACAGCATCTCCCCTCCCTTCTGAATACCATCCATAGCCTGCAGCAGTAGATGGCAAATCACAGCCTGGGCCACCCTTCCCAGAATGTCAAAAACATGGACATGCAGACCACAGAATTCACCAGATACCCAAGCTGGGTGGTGCGAGGCTCTGAAAGACATGCTTCAAATAAGAGGGACTAGAAAACTCCGCAAGGGAGCAACAGGGATCAGGGATTCCAGGAGGATCCAGGGGCCTGTGCGAAGAGCAAGCAGTGAGCAGATGTGTGTGTCAGTGATTCGGTGGCATGAACTCAACACCATCTAATACAGCAGCTCACGTTTCTTTGTGCATCAGACTCACCTGGGGACTTGTTAAACACAGATTGTTGGGTCTCACTCCTAGAGTTTCTTCTTCAGTATTCTGGGGAGCAGCCTGTGAATCTGTATTTCCAGCATGATTTTCAGGTGCTACTGATACTATTGGTCCAAGGACCACACTATGATCTAATTTAACATCAGATTAGGGGAGGAACTAAGGAGCAAAGAAGCAACAGAATGGACCTGAACCCTGTACGGGCTTCTCTGTAAACTCCTCAAACATAAAAGCCTTCGAGACACTCAAAGAGCATTTACAGCATCATGTCTACAAATACAAGGCACCACGCAGGGAGTGCTCCATCAAGTAGAGAGAAGAGCTCACTGAGTGTCCCTGTCTTAGTCTGTTTGTGTTGCTATAACAGAATACCACAGACTGGGTGATTTATAAGGGTTCACTTGGTTTATGGTTCTGAACACTGGGAAAGTGAGGGGCCTGCATCTGGTGAAGGTCTCGCTGTGTTGTCCTATGCTGGAAGGTAAAAGGGCAAGAGAGTGACCACATGTGAGAGGGAGAAGGGGAAAGACAGAAAGGGAGGAAGCCAACCTCATCCTTTTATCAGGAACCCCCTCCCAAGATAACTAACCCACCCTACCTTCATCCATTCATGAGGGCAGAGCCTTCATGACCTAATCACCTCTTAAAGGTTCCACTGATCAACACTGTTGCATTAGGGGTTGAGTTTCCAACACATGAACTTTGGGGAACACATTCAAACCACAGCAGTCCTCATGTAAACCTTCCAGAAAATCTGTGTGCCTGGCACTCTGGAATCCCTCTTTTCCACCCTTTCTCTTTTTTTCTTTTTTTGAGACAGAGTTTTGCTTTTGTTAACCAGGCTGGAGTGCAATGGTGCGATCTTGGCTTACTGCAGGCTCCACCTCCCAGTTCAAGTGATTCTCCTGTCTCAGTCTCCCAAATAGCTGGGGTTACACGCATGCACCACCACACCCAGCTAATTTGTATTTTTAGTAAAGATGGGGTTTCTCCGTGTTGGTCAGGCTGGTCTTGAACTCCTGACCTCAGGTGATCCGCCCGCCTTGGCCTCCCAAAGTGCTGAGATTACAGGCATGAGCCACCGCACCTGGTCTTTCCGCCCCTTCTCACTGCAACTCTAACATTGTGTTCCCTCATCATTTTCCA
Source organism: Homo sapiens (assembly GCF_000001405.40). Lineage (NCBI taxonomy): Eukaryota > Metazoa > Chordata > Mammalia > Primates > Hominidae > Homo > Homo sapiens. The sequence continues at coordinate 37,327,906 of NC_000019.10, read as the reverse complement.
TTCGAGCACAGGAAAGAACACAATCACTACACCCATTTCTTATGAACCTTTCTGACATTAAAATAATTCTATCACTCACATAGAAATTTGTAAAAATAAATTTTCATTTTTGATACGAGCGAGTATGATTTTTTTTTTTTTTTTTTGAGGAGTTTTGCTCTGTGGGCCAGGCTGGAGTGAAGTGGCAAGATCACGGCTCACTGCAACCTCTGCCTCCGGGTTCAAGCGATTCTCCTGCCTCAGCCTCCCAAGTAGCTGGGATTACAGGCCTGCACCACTACACGAATAATTTTGTATTTTTAGTAGAGACGGGGTTTTGCCATGTTGGCCAGGATGGTCTCAAACCCCTGACCTCAGGTGATCTGCCCGCCTCGGCCTCCCAAAGTGCTGGGAAAACAGGTATGAGCCACTATGCCTGCCCCTGAATATGAAATTCCGTATTAGTTTAATGAAATCTCTAAAATATATAGAAAATAAAAATAATTACCAAAAATGTTCAATGATGCAAAGCAACACACAGTGAGATATTACATCCTAAAACATATAGACCTGTCATTTAAAAATCAAGTAGAAACATAAGGGGCTCTATACACACCTTTTGAAATAAGTTTCCTGGCCAGGGAAAATGGCTCATGCCTGTAATACCAGCATTTTGGGAGGCCGAGGTGGGCGGATCACCTGAGGTCAGGAGTTCAAAACCAGCCTGGCCAACATGGTGAAACTCTGTCTCTACTAAAAATACAAAAATTAGCTGGGCATGGTGGTGGGCACCTGTAATCCCAGCTACTCGAGAGGCTGAGGCAGGGAGAACTGCTTGGACCCAGGAGGCAGAGGTTGCAGGGATCCGAGACCTGCCATTGTACTCCAGCCTGGGAGACAGAGCAAGACTTCATCTCGAAAAAAAAAAAATTATAATAATAAAATAAAATAAGCTGTCTAGGTTGTGCATGGTGGCCCACCCTTGTAATCCCAGCACTTTGGGAGGCTGAGGCGGGCAGATCACTTGAGGTCAAGAGTTCAAGACCAGGCTAGCCAAAATGGCAAAACTCTGGCTCTACTAAAAAGACAAAAATTAGCCAGGCATGGTGGTGCACATCTGTAATCCCGGGTACTCGGGAGGCTGAGGCAGGAGAATCACTTGAATCTGGAAGGCAGAGTTTGTAGTGAGATGAGATCACGCCACTGCACTCCAGTCTGGGCGACAGAGCGAGACTACAACTCAAAAAAAAAAAAAAAAAAAAAGCTTTCTAATTTAACTTTAGAATTTGAAATTCTTTCAAGAAAGAGGTACTCAAAAAACATGAAAAGTATGTGAGTCACTAATGTATCAAAGAAAACAATCATTCTTGTATTGCAAATAAATACCCAACCAAGACAAAAAGGCACGTCACATGTTATGGGAAAAGACTGAAATGAGGGTGAGAGGAAAACTGTGACCCTTGAATGTAAGACAGAAAAAAATCAGGCAGGATGTTAAGGAATTGGAAATAATTCTCCATATTAAAGGATTACAAGAGACAGGAAGAGAGGAGGGACACGATAGTCACAGACTGCAGGGGTGTGGGGTAGATGGGAATAAAGGAGGCAGAGAGAGCAGTGGGGATGTACATAAAATCACCCTCCAGAGCTGTGCTGTCCAATAAGGCAGGCACTTGCCACATGTGGCTGCTGAGCACTTGAAAGATGGCTAGTCCAACCTGAGAAATGCTGTAAGTGGAAAACACATTTTAAAAAAATTCTGAATACTCAGTATAAAAGAAAGAATGGGCCAGTGTGGTGGCTCACATCTGTAATCCCAGCACTTTGGAAGGCCAAGACAGGAGGACTGCTTGAGCCAGGAATTTGAGACCGGTCTGGGCAACATAGCAAGACCTCATCTCTTCAGAAAAAAAAAATCAGGCCAAGTGCAGTGGCTCACGCGTGTAATCCCAGCACTTTGGGAGGCCAAGGTGGGTGGATCACTTGAGCTCTGGAGTTCAAGACCAGCCTGGACAACATGCTGAAACCCTGTCTTAACAAAAAAATACAAAAATTATTCAGGCGTGGTGGCACATGTTTGTGGTCCCAGCTACTTGGGAGGCTGAGGTGGGAGGATCATTTCGGCCCCAGATATCGAGGCTGCAGTGAGTCAAGATTGTGCTACTGCACTCCAGCCCGGCTGACAGAGTGAGACCCAGCCTTTAAAAAAAAAAAATTAGCATGGCATGGTGGTGTGTGCCTGTAGTCCAAACTACCTGGAAGGCTGAGGTAGGAGGATCTCTTGAGCCCAGGAGTTTGAGACTGCAGTGAGCTATGCTGGTGCCACTGCATTCCAGCCTGGGCAACAAAGCAAGACCCTGTCTCAAAAAAAAAAAAAGTAAATGATTTCATTAATAATTTTTATTTTGATAAGATGTTGAAGTGATATTTTGGATAATGCTAACATTTTAGGTGAAATAAAACATTAATTTCACCTGTTTCTTTTTAACTTTTCTAAAGTGACTACTAGAAAATCTAAAATGACGTATGTGTCTGGCATTGTATTTCTATTGGAAAGCACTGCTCTGGAGAGAAATGGTCTCTAGGGAGGCAGAAACATGAGAACCACAATAGAGGTGGATGGAGGGAAGCGACAGACACATCTGGTGGGTACCTTCGGGTGCTGACAGCGGGAACCCAGGAGATTCGGGTGTGGACGGGCCCCCATCTATGCACAGCAGGAGAGTAGCATGGCTGACACTAGGGGTGCTGAGCTGACATACAGAACTATTCAGCTTTATAAAAATGTGAAAAACATACCGCTAAGTCACTGACATTCCACAGAACAAATCATAATAGAAATGAAAAAACAGCCGGGCACAGTGGCTCAGGCCTGTAATCCCAGCACTTTGAGAGGCTGAGGTGGGCAGATCACGAGGTCAGGAGATCCAGACCATCCTGGCCAACACGGTGAAACCCCGTTTCTACTAAAAACACAAAAACAAAATTAACCAGGTGTGGTAGCATGAGCCTGTAGTCCCAACTACTCCAGGGGCTGAGGTGGGAGAATGGTGTGAACCCGGAAGGCAGAGCTTGCAGTGAGCAGAGATCGCCATACTACACTCCAGCCTGGGCAACAGAGCGAGACTCTGTCTAAAAAAAAAAAAAAGAGAGAGAGGTTCAATCTTGATGGAAAATATAAAACACTTCTTCATGAACATTAAAGAAAATTCTAACAACCAAAACGTTTGGAATTAGGGTAACTGAAATGGCAGTTTAATCCTCCTGAAGGAATTTTAATTTCTCACTAACAGTACTTTAATGTTAGGGGTAGAATATTATTTTTTATAGCGTTTCACAAGCATTAAAGCTAAAAATCCAAAATCAGGTTTTTCTCTGACAGGAACTCCTCCTCAAAACAGAAGAAGCCTATAAGACTTTAACCTGGAAACTACTCAGGGAATCTGGAATATTCCTTCCAGGGATATCTGCAGTTGAAACCTGGCAGTAATTTTAAAAAAACCAGACAACTCTTGGGGTATGGTTGGAGCCTGAGGTCTACAGATGGGTCATTTTATATGCTGAGGTCTGAACAAGATGATTTTAACCCCTTAAAATGATGGAAACAAAATAAAACAGAATAAATTAGAAGACAACACAGGTGAGTGGTTTAAAGGGCCTACTTGCTGTGTTTCCTCTGGTCTTCAGGTCTCCTCCCTGCGGCGGGTTCCAGGCGCAGCTCTAGACCAAGAAATGGGAGGATTTTAGAGTGACTGGTGATTTCTCTATCATCTGCAGTTAGTAAACGTTCTCCGCAGTTTATGCAAAAAGTAACAAAACCACTGCAGATGACAAACACTAGGTAACACACATACTATCTCCCAAATACCTACCCACAAGCTCAACAATTTTAAACTGTTAGGATCATTGGCTCTAATCACCATGACATGAGGTCACCACCAAACCATCAAGCGCTAAACAGACAGAATGTTTCCACTCCTGATCCACTGTGTGGAGAAGCACAGAGCTTACCCACTGGGGCCCTGCATCAGAAGAGATGCACATGCACCGGGGTGTGCATTTGAACGGAGCGATCAAACCACCGTCCCCACAGCTCCTCTGTTCATGGGCACTTCAGTTTGTGGCCTCATGTCCTTTGGGGGACACAGTGGGAAGGTAACCCACATGCCAGTGACATCATCAAGAAAGAGACACTGTGGCACTTTCCCCTGATTTCTCAGGGGCCTTTTCTCTTTTCCGTTTGGGTTACATGTAGACTTCCCTACTGTCCACCTGACCACTCTCGTGCAGCCCAAAACCATAGCTTAAGTCATCAGCTAGGCCTTTCTTGGTGTAACTATTGAAAGGTGAGCCTTACCTGTTCAATCTCTAGAGAGACTTGTTCCAAATCTGGACCTAGAAGAATAAATAAACAAGATTTGCCTGAGTAGGTTTGGCTTCTTCCTTCTTGGGGAAAGCCCTTAAGAAATATCAGCCCCTTGGCCAGGTGCCCACCTGTAATCCCAGCACTCTGGGAGGCCTAGGCGGGCGGATCACCTGAGGTCAGGAGTTCGAGACCAGCCTGGCCAACACGATGAAACCCCGTCTCCACTAAAAATATTAAAAAATTAGCCAGGCGTGGTGGTGGGCACCTGTAATCCCAGCTACTCTGGAGGCTGAGGCAAGAGAATTGCTTGAACCCAGGAGACGGAGGTTGCAGTGAGCCAACACGGTGCCACAGAACTCCAGCCTGGGAAACAGAGTGAGACTCTGTTTCAAAAAAAAAAAGGAAATATCAGACCGTTTGCCCAACAACTCCTTGTGACCCTCCTTTAGGAACACAGTGAAAATCCCCCCGGCTCCACACACTATAACGCAGGACAGACCCACAGAGAACAAGACCCAAGAGAACCCACCATAATACAAACTCAGGGCGGGGTTTCCACCATCAAATGTTCAAGCTTGCAGTGGGTGGGGGAGGGTAGTGGGTCCTGAGCTCCAGATTTTCGTGGAGGTGGGAGGTGGGCATTAGGCTTTGGACACATGTAGGCCCAAATTACATCTGTGCAAACTCACACACAATGAAGATTACACCAGATCGGGTGAGATGGTTTAGAAATGGCAGAAAGCAGAGGAAGAGGCTGAAAATATGGGCTTCCCTGTAAACTGTGAGGACAGTAAATGCCAGCAACACCCCAGGAAGTGTTTACAGCTGCATTTCTTCAATTAACAGGGCAAAGTTAGAGCAGCAACAACCAGACAAGGGCCAGGCACTTCCCCTGGGGCAACTGATGTAAACCTGGAAATCAGCCACCCTGGGTGTCACCATTTCATGATGAATCAAATATACAGAGTAGTTCACTGATGGGTTCAGCATCAGAAAGCTAATAAATAAAGCCAGAGTCCCAGGCATATACTGAATGCTCATTGACTGAAAATCAATCACTGGATAAGCGCAAAGAAACTCACTTTCCACATCCCTTACGGTATTCTCTCTGGTGGGTATTTGCTCTGTAAATTACATACAACGGAAGAAAAAGAAGAAAATGAAAACTCAGGAAAGTAAACACACTTCTAAATTCATGAATAGTAAAATATGAAAATATCCCTGAGAATCTATGAGAATATCCAAAGAAAATGCAAAATGGGAGCGTAAAAAGGCCATTTGGCAAAGCCTACAAAATGAGTCCAAAATATGGTTCACAAGGAAACTTACCTTCCAATGCATCCAAAACAGAAGAACAGCAAAAGAAGCTCCTGATTCCTATTGAGGTGAGAATATCAGCACAAACAGAAGGAAATCAGACCAAAAAAAAAGTTACAGGCCAATTTAAATGAGAAACTCCTGCCCTGACCAATAAACCACAGCAAACACTATGCATTTCAAACACTGGGGGACGTGGGTGGGGGTTAGCCTGTTCTGTGCAGGACCGTTCTAACATACGGGAGAGTCTTTGACCCCTCCTCAGAATAATGCCATATACTACCAAAAACACAATTCACAGAATTTCAAAGGAGACCAATTACTTAGAAATGCAGCTATCAGGATGCTTTAATTTTTTCTGACATATTAATAGGCATGTTGCTGTGGTAGTTTTAAAAAATGGCTCAACATTTCTTGCCACTCCTCCCTTTGAGAGGCAGAATCGATGTCCTCTCTCCCCGATCCTGGGTGGATTTGCTGTGCTACCTCATAAAAGATCACTCAGCATCTGACCTGGAGCCCTGTGCCTCCTAAGAATTCTGACTACCCTGAGGCTGCCAGGTGAAAGGGATGGCCTGCCCCTCCACACCTGAGGGTGTTTCTTGTCGGGTGGGACGGGAAACTGAGAAAAGAAAGAGACACAGAGACAAAGTATAGAGAAAGAAAAGTGGGCCCAGGGGACTGGCGCTCAGCATACAGAGGACCCATGCTGGCACTGGTCTCTGAGTTCCCTCAGTATTTATTGATCATTATCTCTACCATCTCAGAGAGGGGGATGTGGCAGGACAATAGGGTAATAGTGGGGAGAGGGTCAGCAGGAAAACATGTGAATATCTCTGTGTCATAAACAAGGTTAAGAAAAAGGTGCTGTGCTTTGATGTGCACATACATAAAAATCTTGGTGCATTAAAGAGCAGTTAATCGGGTTTTACACAGAGACATTCCATTGCCCAGGGACGAGCAGGAGACAGATGCCTTCCTCTTATCTGAAGTGCAGAGGCCCTCCTCTTTTACTAATCCTCCTCACCACGGACCCTTTACAGGTGTCGGGCTGGGGGAACGTCAGGTCTTTTCCTTCCCACGGGGCCATATTCCAGACCATCACAAGGGGAGAAACCTTGGACAATACCTGGCTTTCCTAGGCAGAGATCCCTGCGGCCTTACACAGTGTTTTGTGTCTCTGGGTACTTGAGATTAGGGAGTGGTGATGACTTTTAACAAGCATGCTGCCTTCAAGCATTTGTTTAACAAAGCACATCCTGCATAGCCCTAAATCCATTAAACCTTGAGCCAACAGAGTACGTTTCTGTGAGCACAGGGTTGGGGGTAGGGTTACAGATTAACAGCATCTCAAGGCAGAATAATTTTTCTTAGTACAGAACAAAATGGAGTCTCTTATGTCTACTTCTTTCTACACAAACACAGTAACAGTCTGATCCCTCTTTCTTTTCCCCACACCAGGCTGTAAGGAAGTCAAGGCCATATGGAAACACTACATGTAGGGACTCAGTCCCAGCTGAGCCCCCTCTTCCAACATCCCAAGCCAGGTATCAGATGTGAAGGAACAAGCCTCCAGATGGTTCCAGACCCCAGCTGTTGAGTCTTCTGTGCTGAGGCCAGACATCACGGAACAGAGACAAGTGGGCTACCCTTGTGCCATGTCTGAAATCCTGACTATAAGCATGAGAATCCACAAACATAATAAAATGATGGTTTGAGCTACTAAATTTTGGTGTAATTCCTGACATAGTAATAGTGTCTGTAACAGCCACTTTAACACATTAAGTAACAATAGCAAGTAGCACATCATCACTGGGAACTGTTATTTGGAATTGTCATTGGGAAGCAGTGACAACCATGAAGGCTATTTGGAGATGCTGTCAGATGACATAAAAACTGCTGTGGTCTGACTGCTAATAATGCCCCATACCCAAGGGCTCTACAGCCTGTATTCAAGATGGAAGGAAACACTATATTTTGGCTAGAGGTATGTGAAAATTTCATTCATGGGCCCTTCTCATGGGCCCTAAACTTGGCTGATGGAACTGCAGGTAATAAACTCAGAGTTATGGCCGGGTGCGGTGGTTTACACTTGTAATCCCAGCACTTTGGGAGGCCGAGGCGGGTGGATTACGAAGTCAGGAGATCGAGACCACGGTGAAACCCCATCTCTACTGAAAATACAAAAAATTAGCTGGGCGTGGTGGCGGGTGCCTGTAGTCCCAGCTACTGGGAGAGGCTGAGGCAGGAGAATGGCGTGACCCCAGGAGGCGGAGCTTGCAGTGAGCTGAGATCACACCACTACACTCCAGCCTGGGTGACAGAGCGAGACTCCGTCTCAAAAAAACATAAATAAATAAAATAAACTCTGAGTTAGAGGGAGTCAAAGGAATCAAGGCTGCTCATGAAAGAGCTGAGGTTACCAACTCAAGTGTAGACAAGAGAAGAGAGAGAGGAAAAAAATGGTTGTTCAGCAGGGAGGTCAGAGGGATAGCCGGTCTTAGTTTCCAGACATCCAGGAAAAGGACACCCATCTGAGTAACGGATTGAGGGTCAGTATTAAGATATGGAGAAATATCAAGGAGAAACATTAGTGGCTAATGCTGGACATTTCCACAGCTCTCACATAACCACAAAAACATAGCTTAATTTTAGTAACAATGTCAGAAGCAGAGGGGAGCTGAGAATCAAGAATAAGGCCTATGAACAATGTGGGGGCTATTTTATAAAGCACCAAATCTTCACACTTCATGAAGATAGAGACCTGCCGCCTATAGGTGTCTCATTCACACTATGAAATAAATACTACAAAAGTCAGAGATCCACCAATTAACATTTTAAAGGATTTAGGAGATAGTGTCATTACCATTTTTATTATATATATATATATATATATATATGCCGGCTGCAGTGGAGCACACCTGTAATCCCAGCACTTTGGGAGGCCCAGGCGGGCGGATCACCCAAGCTCGGGAGTTCGAAACCAGCTTGACCAACATGAAGAAACCCAATCTCTACTAAAAATACAAAATTAGCCAGGCATGATGGTGCATGCCTATAATCCCAGCTACTCATGAGGCTGAGGCAGGAGAATAGCTTGAACCCGTGAGGCGGAGGTTGCAGTGAGCCAAGATCACACCATTGCACTCCAGCCTGGGCAACAAGAGCGAAACTCCGTCTCAAAAAAAAAAAAAAATCTAAACCAGCATTATAGTTCATAAAGGAAATCCCAAAACCTCCTTAACTGGTTGTTTCTTTCACAAAAGTTACTCTACATACGTGCCCCAAAAATTAGATTTCAAAGACATTGGGGAAAATACTACTACTAAGATATCAAAACCAGGAACTTACTTCCTTTAAAACAATTCCAAACTAACTCGCTGTGCCTTTCACAGAAATTTTCCACAAGAAATATGATTTTATAAGCTGGGCGCGGTGGCTCACACCTGTAATCCCTGCACTTTGGGAGGCAGAGGCGGGAGGATCACGAGGTCAGGAGATAGAGACCATCCTGACTAACACAGTGAAACCCCGTCTCTACTACAAATACAAAAAATTAGCGGGACGTGGTGGCGGGCGCCTGTAGTCCCAGCTACTCGGGAGGCTGAGGCAGGAGAATGGCGTGAACCCAGGAGACAGAGCTTGCAGTGACTCGAGATCACGCCACTGCACTCCAGCCTGGGCGACAGAGCGAGACTCTGTCTCAAAAAAAAAAAAAAAGAAAACAAATATGATTTCATAAAGCCTGAGAAGTTGCTGCTGTTAGGACAACCACCAAAACTAAAAATTGGTTTGATTAGCAACAACAACAAAATGCCATTTTAACTGGCTGTCCTTATCAGAGACAGTCCACTAAATAATACAACTGGCAAAAAGTGAGATTTTTTTTAAAGGTTGGGGTGCTTTATTATAAACATAATATAAACTAGTAATGTATTTTATTTAATAAACTTCAACCTACTGATCACTCCCTCCCTTCGAGGCGTTCTGCAACAAAACACCTGCCTAGAAATAAAAGGGCATTTTACCCGAGTGGGCTGAAAAAGTCCCGTTTTTACCTTTAATCTTGAGACAATACGTGTCAGAGGTCAGGAAACTACATCACAGTCAGTGCGGGCGCCCACGAGTCCGGTGGACGGATGGGGAAGGGCCGGGACGCAGCCAGTCCTAGTTCCCGCCGTGGCGATGGCCGATTTCCCAGCCGCGGACGCTGAAGGCCAGGACTCCACGCTGCTGACCCTCCAGCGTCCCACGTCCGGTGGGCGCTTGGCCGAACAGCCCAAGACTGCGGAATCACACTGGCCACTGTGCACTCGGACGCCATCTGCAGACCCAGCCTGTGCCGGGCTTCCGGAAACGGGAGGGCGGGCTTCCGGAAACGGCGACCAATGGGAAACGCGATCAGATGTTAGTAGGCGGACAGTCTGTTTCCAGGCAACACAAAAGGAAGGGACGCTCTCGGTTAGCCTCAAATAGACGGAGCTTTCAGTCAATGGATGTGCAGGTTCGCTCCACATTAGCCAATAAGAAGCGCTTGGGCCTGACCCGCCTACATGCGCAGCAAAAACTTTCTTGCGCATTTCAGCGCTGGAACGTCTACCCGCTGCGCCAAACCAAAACTTTGCAGTAATAGTTGATGCTGTTTCCTGCACTTTGGTGGAGATTTGCACCAGGCGCTGGAGACCGTCCCACCTGGCCAATGCCCACCTCCCGGTGAACACAGAGACCCAACTTTGTGCACCGCCAGTCTTGTTATCAAAAAACAGGCTAGTGCCAGGCGCGGTGGCTCAAGCTTGTAATCCCAACACTTTGGGAGGCGGATGCGGGCGGATCACGAGGTCAGGAGATCGAGACCACGGTGAAACCCCGTCTCTACTGAAAATACAAAAAATTAGCCGGGCGTGGTGGCGGGCGCCTGTAGTCCCAGCTACTCGGAGAGGCTGAGGCAGGAGAATGGCGTGAACCCGGGAGGAGGAGCTTGCAGTGAGCAGAGATCGCGCCAATGCACTCCAGCCTGAGCGACAGAGCGAGACTCCGTCTCAAAAAAAAAAAAAAAAAAAAAAAACCAGGTTAGTAAATTATAAAAAATAAAATAAAGGAAATGTAGCCGGGCGTGGTGGCGTGCGCCTGTAATCCCATCTACTCCGGAGGCTGATGCAGGAGAATCGTTTGAACCCGGGAGGTGGAGATTGCAGTGAGCCGAGATCGCGCCACTCCCCTCCAGCCTGGGCGGCAAGACCGAAACTCCGTCTGAAAAGAATAAAATAAAAGGAAATGGGGCCGGGCGCGGTGGCTCACGCCTGTAGTTCCAGCACTTTGGGAGGCCGAGGCGGGCGGATTACTTGAGGTCAGGAGTTCGAGACCAGTCCGGCCGCCAACATGACGAAACCTCCGTCTGTACTAAAAATACAAAAATTAGCCAGGCGTGGTGGCGGGCGCCTGTAATCCCGGCTACTCAGGAGTCAGAGGCACAAGAATCGCTTGAACCCGGGAGGCGGAGGTTGCAGTGAGCCGAGATCGCGCCCCTGCGCTCCAGCCTGGGCGACCGAGTGAGACTCCGTCTTAAAATAAAATAGGCCGGGCGCAGTGGCTCACGCCTGTAATCCCAGCACTTTGGGAGGCCGAGGCGGGTGGATTGCCTGAGCTCTGGAGTTCGAGACCATCCTGGGCAACATGGTGAAACTCCGTCTCTACTAAAAAAACAAAAATTAGCCGGGCGTGGTGGCACATGCCTGTAATCGTAGCTACTTGGGAGGCTGAGGCAGGAGAATCGTTTGAACCCGGGAGGGGGAGGTTGCAGTGAGCCGAGATCGCGATATTGCACTCCAGCCTGGGCGAGAGGATCGAAACTCCGTCTCAAAAAAATAAATAAACAAATAAATAAATATAAAGGAAATGGACAAAGGAAACACAAATGCATGAAATCAAACAAATGCTTTCTCTGACGGACTCCGTCTTTGCAAAACTGAACCTAGGACAATGTGCACGTTTCTACCTAGCAATTCCGGAGGACAGAGCGGGCAGGGAGGTGAACTTGCTTTTCTGTAATTTAATTGACTTGTCAGTAAAGTCAGTGTTTTGCAGGCATTTTCAGTGTTCTGTAGTGGGCTTTAGTTCCGATCACAGTGTGGCAGGCCAGGTTTCCATTAGCAACCAGAACAGTTTCCACTAACCCTTTACTATAATTTTGATGAATGCATAAGTTAAACGTTGAAGAAATGGAGAAACTGGTGCCTGAGTATCAGGGATGGAATGCGAAAACGAACCCATTAAGACCCTGCCTTGGTCTTCTCAGATCCTAAAGTCTGATCGAATAATAATAGCATTCTTACACATTCACCTCAGCCTGTCTTAAGATTCAGAAACTTTCCAAGACTCTAGAGAAATCTTTCCAGACCCTAGGCCCTAGTTAAAGATTAGATGTTGATTGAATGCAACACTTCTGCTTGTAGGTGCAGTCCCACACATACCGTGGACCTTAAGATGTCTATAAACACTAGAAAAAAACTTGTAACTTTGAGTTGGTCTGGTGAGTTACTTGGCCCTTCTCCATGTAATCGGTTGCAGAAATAAACTTTCTTCTTTCCCAGTCTGTCTGCATCCTATTGGAGAATCGCGACGGACTGACTCAGCAAACTCCTCTTTTGTGTGGTTATCTGGGACTCCTTTGGGAGGGAACATTTTAAATTTTCCATTTCAAAGGGTTCCATTGGCACTCTTGCACTGTTATTCTCTGCCTACCCTGAGACTTGAGTTCTCCTGGACTCGAATCTCCAGCCACAGAGTCCAGAAGCCCATACCTCCACATTCTGTGACTGTTCCCAAACACAGGGAGAATTTGCAGAAAATATGTATAAAAACCTTGCCATTCTTCGCAATAAAACCCCACATTACAAACTGGTGAAAACGGAGGATTTTAGCTTGAACAGGTTTTTCCTCTATTTGAAATCAATCATTTCCCTTTTACAATTTTGGAGTGAAGTTTCAAAATCAGTACGCACCCACTCCCAGGTTTATCCTTATGTAAAGTGCCCCCTCTGCACATGCAACATTTAATAAACCTTGAAAATATGATGCTAAGTGAAAGAAGCCAGTCACAAAAGACCACATGTTGTGTAATTCCATTTAAATAAAATATCCAAAATAGACCAATACATAGAAACAGAAAGTAGATTAGTGGTGGCCCGGGGTTAGGGGAGTTGGGGGGAACTGGAGGGATATGGGGTTTACTTCAAGGTAATGAAAATGATCTAAAACTTACTGTGGTGCTGTTTGCACAACTGTGCAAATATACTGAAAACCGTTGAATTTTACACTTTCAATGGGTGGCTTCTGTGATATGTTATTAATATTTCTCAATAAAACTTCAAAAAAAAATAGTGCCTATGTCTTTTTATGTATTATTCCTCCAGAGTCTAGTCCACATTTTTATACTTGATGAATAAATTAAGATTTTGTTTATTCTACTTCTTCTTCTTTTTTTTTTTTTTTTTTGAGACAGAGTCTCCCTCTGTTGCCCAGACTGGAGTGCAGTGGCACGATCTCAGCTCGCTGCAACCTCCAGGCTAATTTTTATATTTTTAGTAGAGACAGTGTTTCACCATGTTGGCTAGAATGCTCTCGAACTTCTGACCTCAAGTGAGTCCCCCACCTTTTCCTCCCAAAGTTCTGAGATTGCAGGCATGAGCCACCATACCCAGTCCAAGATTGAGTTTCCGTTGTTTCAGATGCCCTAGGACCATCTTATTCTACCTTAATTTCTGATGCATCATCTCAGTGGAAATTTTCCATTAGATGCCAAAGTATTTTACTCTTTTTAAGATTTTATCAGCTGGGTGCAGTGGCTCACACCTGTAATCTCAACACTTTGGGAGGCCAAGGTGGGAGTATCATTTGAGCCCAGGAGTTTGAGACCTGTCTCTGCAACATAGTGAGACCCACATATCTATAAAAAAAATAATAATAATTAGGTGGGCGTATTGGTGCATGCCTGTGGTCTCAGCTACTAGGTAGGTTAACGTGGGAGGATCTCTTGAGCCCAAGAGGTCGAGGCTGTGGTGGCCATGATTATACCACGGCACTCCATCGTGGGTGAAAGAGGGAGACCATGTCTAAAAAAAATTTTTTTTAATTAGAATTTTTTTTAGAAAACAAAGCATACACTTCGTGACTTGATATAAATGAATGACTTTTGTAATCTACAGAAACCAAAATAAATAAATAAATAAATAAAAACCCACATCCATTCTTTTTATGCGAGTCTTTGGTGTCTCTGAGTTATAAGAATTGTGAATTATGATCAATAACAAATATGTATGACAAGGACTCAATAAGGGATAGGCATTAATAAATTGCAATTCACACTGCCTGGAGTAAGGCCTTTAAAGATGTACAAGAAAAAGAAAGAAAATGAAAAGGCATTGAAAAACTGCATTGCCTACCAAAATGCTAAAGTTTACCTAAGTCCATTAATCAACACACACACACACACACACACACAATGGATGTGTAAAATGGTCAACACAGTCTCCCATGAGTGTATTCTCTTATCAATAGGTCTGTGGGGGTAAGAGATGAGGTTCTATACATCCTGGAATCGGGGATGGGAAATCTGAGGTCCCTGGGGTGACAGGGGAGGGTCTGTAGATTAGTGATAGGTGGTCTTTGGGATAGTGATGAGGTCCATGGAATCAATGATTGTAGGTATGTAGGGTCAGTGATGAGGGAATCTGGTGTGAGTAATGGGATGTGTGTGGAATCAGTGAGAGAGTGTGGAATCAATCTGTGAAAGCCCAGAACTGTGGTGTCATCTCTCAGGGTGACACATCCTGATCTGTGTGTCAGTGGTGGAGATTCTATGGGGTAAGAGTGTGGCTGTCAAGTCCCTGCCACTGTGTGTTCTGGGTCCCGCCAAGTGCACAGATTCCTTTACCTGGTTCTGGCTGGAGAGGCTCTTCTCAAGGACTCCTCTCGTGAAAGGTGGGTTGGTGGTGGTGTTTGTTGTTGTTGTTGTTGTTGTTGTTGTTGTTTCGCGGGGGGCGGGGTTGTCTTTTTCTTTTGGCTTTGGTTTTGACTCTTAGAGACCACAGACACATGCAGCATGTCAGAAGAAATTTTTGTCTGGGCAGTCGCTAGGTCCTTTGGGCCAAGCCATCTAATGGGAGAGAAGCTGACCATTCCCTCAGCGCGGTTCAGATCTAGACGGTCGCTTTTAGGTGTCCACACGGTGGTGTGCAAGTGGGTTGTGGCTTTGAGGGGCAGGTGGGCGGGAAGAAACAACTAAGAAAGACACAGGAGCGCTCCTCAGGCTGGATTTGTCACAGCCGGAAGAAAAGCCGCCCTAACCAACCCGTCAGGCGCCAATGGGAGGTGCCTCCGGGCTGTGAGAGGCTGGCGGAGGCGGGACCTGCAGATCCAGAGAGCCCGGGCACAGAGCCTGTTACTGCCAGACGCTGAGGCGTTGCCGTGGGAACCAAGGGCCTTTCGGGTCAGATCAGAGCCTTTCTCAGACAATTCTTTCGGTAACTGGCGAGGTCCTGTCCAGCGCACGCCCCTATGAAGGCCTAGTGTGCCGTCTGCCGCGGAGTCTTCTTTGGTCTTGTTTCTTACATCCCTGCGCTAATCTCGCCGTCTGCTCCTACATACCCCAGGCATTTGCCGCATGCTGGTCCTTTCTTTCCTGACAGGCGGGCCGTCTCTCCAGCTTCTGGGAGGACAGTTCAAATTATGGAGGAGGGGGCAGGTGCAGGGCAGCAGTGCTGAGGGGAGTAGGGGGGAGTTGGGGGAGCAGGGGCTCATTTTTCTTTGTTGCTCGGATTCCTAAGCCTGTGACTTTGAGAATCGGCTTCTTCCTTGCAAGGTTTCAATCTGAGGCTACTGGGGAAAGGGCAAAATTGGAGCTGGATGGAAGCGTGGTGGGGAGAGGAGTAGGTGTAGGGAACATGGAGAATGTGTCAGGCAGTGTCTTTATTCCTGGCACCTTACTTTGCCTGCTGGAGTTTCCCAGTCTGTTCCAGGCGCATTCTCTCGACCCAGAAGGGGCCTGATGGGGGATGTTGGTCGCCAGTGTGTGCTCCCCTGGACTGGATTGGAATTGGTCCCACAAACTATTTTTTTTGTTTGTTTTTTAGAGGGAGTCTCGCTCTGTCACCCAGGCTTGAGTGCAGTGGCGCGATCTCTGCCACAGTTATCAGTTCAGGGATAAAGATATTAGGATACCTTTATAGTAGATAAAGAGCTAACTCATTCTTTGTAAGAGTTAAATTATCTTCCATTATACGAGCATTTAGGATATTAAAGTACTTTTGCCACCAAAAATAATGCTTCTGTAAATATTCTTTTACTTATATCTTTATGAGTTTTTACTTCTGCTGGGACAAATTGCATGAGGAAACAAATGTATGGGTATATAAATATAACATATGTATATATATTTAATATGTGTATATACAACTTAATATATACACATACATACAATAACATATACAAGGCAGACTTCTATTACTGGCCAAGATGAGATAAGCACATTTCAGCATCTCTCTCACCGATTTCTACTTAACACCCCAGAGTGAATACAAAAAGAAACCACCTGAAGACTCAGAAATACAAATAATAGCAGGCAGATGTGAAGGGAGTTAAAAACGTGAAGAATGGACGTGATGACCACAGGTTTGCTGGGGTATTTTCCCCCTTTATCTTCTGGCTTTGGAAGGAAGGAAGTCTCAGAGCTGTGTGATAGGTTCAGGGAGCAAAAATTATGAGAGAAACGCTTTCCTTCCAGCCAGAGGAGTCCAAAAGAGGACCCGGTGTAACAGAGTAATAAAAAGGATATTGCATCCTTTTTTTGCAATAAAAAGGATATTACAAAGGTTTTCGATGAAGAAATACCTAGGGCAAAATATGTGGGAAGTGGCATTGGGCTTCAATGCTCTCTCCCCAGCACATCATCCTCCAGGAACCCCCACGTGTTCAGCAATCTGGAAGCTCTCTGAACCCAGTCCTTTTGGATTTTCATGGAGGCTTCATTACATAGGCATGATTGATGACATCATTGGCCATTGTCAGTCAACTCAACCTTAAGCTGCTGTCCCCTCCCCGGAGGTCAAGGGGTGGGGCTGAAAATTCCAACCCTCATATCACATCCCTTGGCCATCCAGGAGCCCACCAAGAAGTCCCCTCATTAGAACATAAGATGTTCCTATCAGCCAGGAAATCCCAAGGGATTTGAGAACTCTGTCAGGAACTAGGGTCAAAGACCAGATATTAGAACAGATGATCCTCCTAGTACCCAAGGGTTTTAAGGAGCTCTAGACCAGGAGCTAGGGGCAGAGACAAATATATGTATATTTCTTGTTATTTTATATTCTCAACTCCCCAAGGTTATCCATTTTAAAAGTCTGGTAAGTTTCCTTTACCTCTCTCCTTGCTCAGACATGCACACACACATATACTGAGTGACTTTTGTTCCCTTTTGCCTTTACTAGAATTATATGTAATTTTTTTTTAGCTTGTGTTTCTAGGGAAGACCTTATGGATGTCCTTCCAAATTAGTGCTTGCTGATTTGAGTAGTACTTGGAAGGAGGTAATTTTTTTTTAAATTCAAGCTCTTTATTATGGATACTTCCAGCATTATATGTGCAGAGAGCCTAGTACAGTGAACCCAGCCTTAACAAGTAACACATGGCCAGTTTTGCTTCATCTCCATTTACACTCAATTATTTTAGAGAAAATTCTAGACATTTCATCTATAAATATTTCAGTATGAAATATAGTTCTTTTAAGAACTTTTCTTAAAACTCTTTTTCTTATAGTTCTTTTAAGAACTTTTCCTGACCTCAGATGATCTGCCCGCCGCGGCCTCCAAAGTGCTGGCATTAAAAGCTTGAGCCACTGCGCCCAGCCGGCTCTTATATGTCTTTTAATCTATTGACTTCCCTTTTTTCTTGCTATTTATATTTTGGAGAAATCAAACACTAGATCATATAGAGTTCCCACATACTGCCTTTGAGTACACCCCCATGGTACTGATTAACAAATTAGATGCTGTATATTTTCTCTAAAATATCTGGTCATTAACTAGAGCAGTGGTTCTCAACCAGTTGTGGTTTTGTTTTTTGTTTGTTTGTTTTTATTTTTACCTCTAGAAGACATTCGGCAATGTTTGGAGATATTTTTGGTCGTCACAACTGCAAGGAAGGATGGTATTGCTGCCACCTATTGGCTAGAGGCCAGGATGCTGCTAAACATCCCATACACCTTACAGGACAGCCTTCTCCAATCCCAAAGAATCATCTGGTCCAAAGTGTAAATAGTGTCAGAGTTGAGAAATTCTGCTCTAGAAGCTTGGTCAAATTCAAGTTCAATTATTTTGGCAAGGTCTGCTTGTCACTGTTTTTGTGATTAGATTTGGTAGTGGGCTTAAGTGTCATCAATGTGATTTATCCATTGTAAAGTGATTGCCTTTTGCATAATGTCATGCATTCATTCATGATCATTGCCTAGATTCGTTGTTGTTAGGAGCTGCAAAATGATCACTTTCTTATTGTGTCTCTCTTTCAGCCATTACTGGAATCCTTTTATTTCCATTACTGAAATTTCCATTACAGGAATCCTTTTATAAAAATAAAATCCCCACACATCAACTATCTGATTACTTAGAGGGATAGCATGTGTAGGAAAGGGAGGATAAATGCTTGATTCTTTCCATTCATATTCATTAGTTTTCAGAATTACGAGTTTCAGAATACTGCATTGGTTTCCTAGTCTCCAAAGGTGATTGCTGCAGATTGTATTCTCCAAAGATGGTTGCAACAATAGGCTTGTCTCATATGTTGTTCTAGAATCTTGCAATTCCCACTTTAAGGGTGGAGTCTAACTCCTCTGCCCGTGAATCTGGATTTGTTTATTGTTTGTAACCAATGCTGTGTGACTCCCAAGGCTGAGTCATAAGAGGCACTGTGGCCTTCACCTCATTAGCTGAAACTCCTGTGTTTGAAGTCTCGAGCTATCATGTAAGAAGTTCCAAGTGCTGTGAGCTGCCATGCTATGAGGAAGCCAAGTCATGTGGGGAGGCTACTAGTCTGAGTCTTTGAGTCCTCCCACTGCATGTGCCAGACATGTGTGCAAAGCAGGCTTCATAGGTTTGCAGCCCTCAGGCATCAGGTTATTCCCAGCTTTTGAATCCTCCTGGTTGAGGCCAGAGACATCAGGAGCAGAGGCACACCATCTCTTCTGTGAGCTCTCTAAATGCCTAACCCACAGAATCAGTGAGCACAGTAAAATGGTTGTCTTATACTACTAAGTTTGGAGTGGTGTGTTATACAGCATCAGTAACTGGTGAACAATGATTGATATACCCACACTTGTTTATGTCATATTACACACACACACACACACACACACACACACACTTTTTTTCTTTAGAGGTGGGGTCTTGCTGTGTTGTCCAGGCTGGTCTTGAACTCCTGGCCTCAAGTGATCCTCCTATCTCAGCCTCCCAAAATGCTGGGATTACAGACATAAGCCACTGCACCTGGCCAATACTCACATATTTTATTTTATTAAAAAAATTTTTGGCTGGGCATGATGGCTTATGCCTGTAATCTCAGCACTTTGGAAGGCCAAGTTGGGTGGATCACAAGGTCAAGAGACTGAGATCATCCTGGCCAACACCGTGAAACCCCGTCTCTACTAAAAATACAAAAATTAGCTGGGTGTGGTGGCACGTGCCTGTATTCCCAGCTACTTGGGAGGCTGAGGCAGGAGAATCGCTTGAATCTGAGAGGCAGAGGTTGCAGTGAGCCAATATGGCAGCATTGCACTCCAGCCTGGCAACAGAGTGAGACTCTATCAAAATAATAATAATAATAATAATAATAATAATAATAATAATAATACGAGCAAGAATAACCATGCCTAACAAATAAAAACTGATGGTAATACATAAGGTTACACAAATATTCAGACATATCATGATCCAAAAACCACATATCTGTTCTCTTGGCTATCCCATCCAAGTGGAGCCAAAGGCTCTGCACAGGTTTCCAAACACTAATCATAGACATGATAGCAACTGTGGTCCGCTCCCTCCTGGTTACCTGCTCACCTGAAGCAGGTAAGAGCCTGCTTGGCCTCCTAAGGAGGCACTTCTGAGGCAGGAGAATAGAAAATTAGCATAAACTAAGGGTTAAGGTGGAAGCAAAAGAACAGCAGGTGCAGCAAGTTCTAGGCCAGGTTAAGCAGCACACAGGCCACATCCTCACTCCTGTGATAACAACACAGAAGTCTCCAGTTCAGCCTCTGAGTTCAGCCATGGGCCAATCCTTCACAGTGTGTAACCAATTGGAGGCCTCGAAAGGGCACTTATTGGTGTTATCAAATTCTTTGGCTTAATAAAAACTCTAAAGAACATTGTAATCTGGGCTCTTCGGCCGCTTGCTCTAGCCGGCTCTGGCTCTGTAGAGTGGACTTTCGCTTAAATAAATCTGCGGTTTCGTTGCTTCTTTCTTCTTTCGTGGCTTCGTTCTTTTGTTGCTTCGTGTAGTTTGTTTAATGCTTTCTTCAACAAGCCAGAAACGTGGACAACTTACAGTCAAGACCTTCCATCCAGTAACAGTTCTACACTCTAGAAGTATCAGTATCGCCAAGAGATGTCAAGACATCAAGGGGTCAAGTGTGGTATAAGACCTAAGATTAAGGCTCAATATTATATGTGCCCTGACATTGGGGGGAAAACAAGGAGGCCTGAATGGATTAACTGCAAATTCCTTGCCCTGTTGTACTCCTTTGAATAAGGTGCCCTAGCCGAATCACTTCCCTCAGAGGACCGGCACATTACCTGCTTACTGCATAGTAGCGGGCGTCAGGTTCCAGCCAGCCTGCAGAATTATTCAAACAGGCCAATCACACCCTCCTTCAAGAACCAGGGGTTACCTCCCATACTCTTGCTACTACAAAGCCTCCTGGTATAGCCTCCACCTGATTACTCTGTTCCTAAGTGCAACACGGTATCCCATATGGTGTGCTGGGCCCTCCTTCCCTGGGGCGTAAATATGGGTAATTAGCAAACCAATGTTCATCTCATTTATCCAGTGTTAGCTACCATGTGCTTTGCAATAATCTGCACTTCCTTTCTAATTCTTGAGAGACATCCGGGTCCTCTGCTCCTGGGTGGAGGATTTTTAGGATTTCTGCCACTCAGAATGGGCAGGTGACTTGAACGCCTGCGGGTCTGACACAGCACCAAACCTCGCCAAGGCCTTCAGAAACTAAAAGTGCAGCCGCCAGGAAAATGACTGCCGGTTCCGGTCACACGACCGGCTACACGACCCAGGCAGAGACCGAGAAAGAGGCTCACCAAAAAGGACGACGTGCAAGAAACCGCCCTCCAGCGAACAGGGGACGTTCGTCCGAAGACATACATGCACACCCCCATTCACACACACAGCCCCAGCAATTTTTTTTCAGGAGCTGCAGCCTGACCCAGAGTAGAGCGCAGTCAGCCTTGCCAAAGCGCATGCGCGAATCATCAGCGGATGCTCAAGTCACAGAGACCGCCACCGCTGCCTGGAGATGAGTCCTTGAACGCTTCGCGAAGGAGGAGCCTTCTGTGGCAGCACGTCGAACTCCGGGCTAAGGCCAGTCCTCGCCACGGGGTCGACAGGATGGTATCCGGAGGCCAGGATTCGCGGAGGGTCGACCAGGAGGAAGAAACCTCAGGAGGAGCGCCTGGGAAGCACCGCAGGATTCCAGGCTCAGGCCTGCGCGAACGGTGTGCCAGTGAGTTTCCCCAAAAGTCGTGCCTTTGCGATCTCGAGGACAGGTCTGCTTGTATGCCCAAGGGCTGCTCTCTCACCCCAGGGTCGTTGTCGCGGAAAGCAGAACCCTGAGGCTTCAGGGGCTGCCTGGGGATGAATGTTACTGTGCCACTGCAGTATGTCTGGGTTCTGTCTCTTTCTTTCTCTTGTTTCTCTCTGTCTCCTTTCTCTATCAATCTCTACCTGTTTCCGTCTGTGTGTGCTCGTGTGCGTGTGTGTTTGGATGCATATGCGCTGAAGGGCAGTTTCTTGTACGGCCTTTCTTCTGGTGAGCCTCTCCCCGCGTCTCTGCCTGGGTCATCTGGCCGGTTATCATTCGTTTTCCCGGTGGTTCCAGTTTGGGTTCGTGACGGCCTGGACAACGTGGGGAGTTGCGTCGGACCCGCAGGGGATTAAATCGGCTCCCCATCGTGAGCGGGCTCATTGCTAGTATCAAGACGACCACACTCCAGCAAAGGACAAAATTCTCACAGAAGCTCAATATCCACCTGCATGAGAGGTGCCCACCGACCTCAAAGAAGATGGGTCTCACTCCTCTCGCCGTATGCCCTCATTGAGATATCTAGACACTGCTGGAAACAAGGAAAGAAAAGAACGCCAGGTAGGAGATGTAGCAAGCATCTCTGCACTCGAATACTGGTCTTCTTGGCCAAATCACCGGTTTGGCACTCCTCCACACATGCCCAAGGTGGTGGCATTGTGCTGTATGGAGCCTGGGCTCTGGCCTCTGCTCTGTCCTCCCTCTTGCTCTGTCTGCCCTGTTTCTGAGAAGCCTAGAGGCTTCTTTGGCTGAATGTCTTCAACAAAGAAGACTTCTCAGTCCATCAGGGAGAAACTTCGTGAGGATGGGTTTCATGATTGTTTCCCTCTCCAAACTTATTTCTGGATGATTGGGCAGGAAGCCCGGAGCTCTGGGCTTCCATACCTGCCTGGGACAAGGAAGCTCCTTTGGTATCCATGTCACAAGTGATGGCTGCCTGACTGGTATAGGAAGAGCAGGAGGCGAAGGTGGCTGGCCTATTACCTTCTAGGAAATGTGGTGTTGTATCACACCTGCCTTTCCTCTCTGATTCTTCAAGGCCATCTGGCTCCTCTGCTCCTGGGGAAAGTGCCTTGAGGCACTGAATCTTCTGGCTGCCACGGATGTCAGGAAGCAAAAGGGACAGGGTTTTGCTGGGTGCAGGAGAGGCAGCATCAGTGGTACCTACCCAGTGGCGGCGTGAAGGTGAGGTGTATTTTGTCGAAACCTCTCGGCTCCTCTGGCAGGCGTCCCTGAATGTGGCTTGGACTCGGGCACAGGCCCTGTCTCGCAGGTTTTCCGGTGTGCTAGGCTTTTCCTCAGCTTTGTGCAGGAGGTCTCCAGTGGTCCGCGGGCGCATCCCGGGACACCACTGTCCGTCTCAGCATCTCTCCATACGGCCTCGGAGACACAAGCTCACTCCATCTGCTCTTGGGGGATACCAGTGCCACCTGTGGTCCCACTGGCTCCCCCTCGGACTCGCCTCTGTCTCTCTCTGCACATGTCAAGCAAAGCAGTGTAGGGATTCCGGACCCCCTGGGCCTTAAAGATTAAAGCAGGCCACGGTTTCACCAAAGAAAGAGGGAGCCAGTGGACTCACTGGTCGGTGTAATTTCAGTAGACACCACATCTTGGGGCCCATGGGATCTTTCTGTGCCCCAGCGAGACCTTTCCCACCTCACTACATCGTAACGCCATTACTGATCACCGGGTCGGATCCATAATCAGATCCGAAGAGGACTCCGGAGAGGCCAGCCGGCGCCCTGAAGCTACTCCGCCACTGGGAATTGAAGCAGAAGACAGATCAAGGAGGTCTTGAACACGGGAATCCTATGGGTCCGACCCTGGGTCTCCCACAGGAACCTCTCCCATTCCTCACCCCACACGATACCTCCAACACTGCTGCGGCCGTCGACACCCCACTCCCAGCAGCAGCAGCGTCGGCGCCATTTTGCAAAGGATCCGCGACCTTAGTCTCCGGAGTAACAAGGGGGGCGGGGGAGTCGGCCTCGCCAGTGCGCATGCGCGAGGTCCGAGCCGCCGCTTTGGTCACAGGGACCGCCACAGTTGCCCCGGGATGGGTCCCTGAGACCTGGGAAAGTAGGAGCTCTGTGGGATAGTGCGTCAGAGTCGGGGTTCAGACCAGTCCTGGCCAGGGAAGTTAACACCGCGGTCTCCGGAGCCCGGGATTCGCGGAAGGTACACCACCAGGAAAAAACAACAGCAGCAAGAAATCTCAGACAGATCGCCGGGGAGGCAGCGCGGGAATCCAGCCTCAGGAGTGCGCGGACGGTGTGCCGGTGAGTCTCCCCAAAAGTGGTGCCCTTGTGATGTCGAGGACAGGTCTGCCTGTGTGCCCTTGGGGCTGCTCTCTCACCGGTGGGTGGTAGTCACGGAGAGCAGAACCCGGCAGCTTCAGGGGCTGCCTGGAGGTGGCTGTTAACTGCTGTAGGTCTCTATGCCTTACGGGCGTGTGTGTGTGTGTGTGTGTATGTGTGCGCGCGCCTACGTGTCTGTCTGCCCACTTCTATCGCTCTCTTACGTCTCTCTCCCTTCTCGCTCTTTCCCTCGCTCTCTCTTTCTGTCATTGTCCATCTGTCTGTGCGTCACTCTTGGCACACATGTGCCCTGTACGCCGCATGCTGGGTTTCTTGCATGTCAGCCTTTCTTCTGGTCAGTCTTTTTCTGGTCAGCTTCTCCCTGCCTCTCTGCCTGGGTCGTGTGGCCAGTTGGCAGTCGTCGTCCCGGCGGTTCCAGTTTGGGGGTCTGTGAAGGCCTGAGCAACGTCGCCATCGGCGTCGGACCCGCAGGGGTTTTCATCCCCTCCCCATCCGGAGCAGCCTCTTTGCTAGGCTGGATCCAGACGAGCGCTCCCCAACCAAGGACAACGGCCTCCCAGGCGCTCATTGTCCACCCGCAGGAGGGTGCCCGCAGAGCTTCAAGAAGGTGGTTGTCACGCCTGTCGCCCTCTGCCCTCATCGAGAAATGTAGCCACAGCTCGACGCAGGGACGGAGAAGGAAGCCGGCAAGGGGATGGGGCGGCAAGCATGTCTGTCTCTCAAAGGCTGGCCTTCCTGGCCGAGTCACCCGTTTGACAGTCCTCCCCGGATGCCGGTGGTGGTGGCATGGTCCCCCCGTATCCTGCCTGTGCTCTGGCCTCTGCTCTGACCTCCCTCTTGCTGTGTCTGCCCCGTCTCTGAGAAGCCTGGCGGCTTCTTAGTGTGGCTCAGTGTCTTCCACAAAGAAGACTTCCCCGTCCATCAGGGAGAAACCTCGTGGCGGTCCGCGTCATGATTGTTTCCCTCTCCACACCTCTTTCTGGATGATTGGGCAGCTGTGGTGATCTTGGAGCTCTGGGCTTCCATACCTGTGTGGGACAGGGAAGCTCTCTCGGTCTCCATGGCCCAAGTGATGGCTGCACGCTCGGTCCAGGAAGAGGCGGAGGCAAGCCCACCGCTCCTGACATTGGCCTTCTAGGAAAGGCGGTGTTGCATCCCACCTGCACTTCCTCTCTGATTCTTGAGGGCCAACCGGTTCCTCCGCTCCTGGGGAAAGTGCCTTCTAGCACCGAATCTTTTGGCTGCCACGGATGTCAGGGAGCCAACGGGACTGGGTTTTGGCTGGGTGCAGGGGAGGTTGCGTCAGGGGTACCTAGCCGGCGGCGGGCTGGGGGTGGGGTGTACTTTGTCCAAACGTCTCGGCTCCTCTGGCGGGCCTCCCTGAACGTGGCGTGGACTCGCGCACAGGCCCTGTCTCGCAGGTTTTCAGGTGCGCTTGGCTTTTCCTCCGCTTTGTGGGGCAGGTCTCCAGTGGCCCCCCGGGCGCACGCCTGGACATCACTGTCCGTCTCGTCGTCGCCCCCTACGGCCTCAAAGACACACGCGGCCTGCATGTGCTCTTGGGGGACGACAGTGCCACATGTGGACACACTGGCACCAGCTCGGACTCGCCTCTGTCTCTCTTTGCCCGTGTCGCCGGAAGCCGCGTCGGGATGCCGGAGCCCTCGGGCCTTGGAGATGAAGGCAGGCCCCTGCTCCTGCCAGGAGGGAGGGAGGCAGTGGGCTCATGGGTCGGTGCCTTTGCAGCCGACAGCACGCCTTGCGGCCCTGGGGATCTTTCTGTGCCCCGGCGAGACCCTTTCGGCCTCACTGCATTGGAACCCCATTCCCGATCACCCGGTTGGATCCATCATCGGACCCCAAGAGGAGTCCGCGCAGCCCAGCCGGCATCCCGAAGCTCCTCCTTCAGCGGGAACCGAAGCAGAAGAGCGATCAAGGAGGTCCTCACCACAGGACTCCTATGAGTCCGACCCTGGGTCTGCCGCAGGCCCCTCTGGCAGTCCTCTTCCCACCCGCCGCCTCGGGCTGCGCCGCCACCGCCGCCGCCGCAACCTCCAGCACCGCCGCCCCAGGCCCCGCAGCCGCCGCGTCGCCGCCATTTTTTAAAGGGTCCGCAGCCTGACTCTGCGGAGTAAGGGGGGGTGGAGCGGGGGAGTCGGCCTCGCCAGTGCGCATGCGCGAGGCCCAAGCCGCCGCTTGGGTCACAGTGAAAGCCACCGTTGCCCGGGGATGGGTCCCTGACACTTGGCGAAGTAGGAGCCCTGTGTGATCGTGCGTCTGAGTCTGGGCTGAGACCAGTCCTGGTCAGGGCAGTTACCAGGACGGTTTCCGGAGGCCGGGATTCGCGGAGGGTCCACCAGCAGGAAGAAACGCCAGGAGGAAGAAAACTCAGACAGATCGCCGGCGAGGCAGCGCGGCATCCCAGCCTCAGGCGTGCGCGGACGGTGTGCGGGTGAGTCTCCCCAAAAGTGGAGCCCTTGTGATGACGAGCACAGGTCCGCCTGTGTGCCCGTGGGCTGCTCTCTCACCGGTGGCTCTTAGTCGCGGAGAGCAGAACCCGGCAGCTTCAGGGGCTGCCTGCGGGTGGGTGTTCCCTGCTGTACGTGTGTGTTCGTTATGGGTGTGTGTGTGTGTGTTGGGGGGGTGCGTCTGTGTGTGTGTCTGTGTGTGTGCGCGCGCAGTGCGTGTCTGTGTGCCGACTTCTGACTCTCTCTCACCTCTCTCTCTCTCTCTCTCTCTCTCTCTCTCTCTCTCTCTCTCTCTCTCTCCCTTCTCGCTGTTTCCGTCGCCCTCTCTGTCTGTCTCTGTCCGTCTGTGTGTGCGTGCGCCTTGGGACACATGTGCCCTGTGCGCCGGAGGGTGGGTTTCTTGCACGTCGGCCTTTCTTCTGGTCAGCGTGTCCCCGCGTCTCTGCCTGGGTCGTGTGGCCGGTTGGCAGTCGTCGTCCCGGCAGTTCCAGTTTGGGGGTCTGTGAAGGCCTGGGCAACGTGGGCATCGGCGTCGAACCCGCAGGGGTTTTCATCCCCTCCCCATCCGGAGCAGCCTCTTTGCTAGGCTGGATCCAGACGAGCGCTCCCCAACCAAGGACAACGGCCTCCCAGGCGCTCATTGTCCACCCGCAGGAGGGTGCCCGCAGAGCTTCAAGAAGGTGGTTGTCACGCCTGTCGCCCTCTGCCCTCATCGAGAAATGTAGCCACAGCTCGACGCAGGGACGGAGAAGGAAGCCGGCAAGGGGATGGGGCAAGCATGTCTGTCTCTCAAAGGCTGGCCTTCCTGGCCGAGTCACCCGTTTGACACTCCTCCCCGGATGCCGGTGGTGGTGGCATGGCCCCCCCGTATCCTGCCTGGGCTCTGGCCTCTGCTCTGACCTCCCTCTTGCTGTGTCTGCCCCGTCTCTGAGAAGCCTGGCGGCTTCTTAGCGTGGCTCAGTGTCTTCCACAAACAAGACTTCCCCGTCCATCAGGGAGAAACCTCGTGGCGGTCCGCGTCATGATTGTTTCCCTCTCCACACCTCTTTCTGGATGATTGGGCAGCTGTGGTGATCCTGGAGCTCTGGGCTTCCATACCTGTGTGGGACAGGGAAGCTCTCTCGGTCTCCATGGCCCAAGTGATGGCTGCACGCTCGGTCCAGGAAGAGGCGGAGGCAAGCCCACCGCTCCTGACATTGGCCTTCTAGGAAAGGCGGTGTTGCATCCCACCTGCACTTCCTCTCTGATTCTTGAGGGCCAACCGGTTCCTCCGCTCCTGGGGAAAGTGCCTTCTAGCACCGAATCTTTTGGCTGCCACGGATGTCAGGGAGCCAACGGGACTGGGTTTTGGCTGGGTGCAGGGGAGGTTGCGTCAGGGGTACCTAGCCGGCGGCGGGCTGGGGGTGGGGTGTACTTTGTCCAAACGTCTCGGCTCCTCTGGCGGGCCTCCCTGAACGTGGCGTGGACTCGCGCACAGGCCCTGTCTCGCAGGTTTTCAGGTGCGCTTGGCTTTTCCTCCGCTTTGTGGGGCAGGTCTCCAGTGGCCCCCCGGGCGCACGCCTGGACATCACTGTCCGTCTCGTCGTCGCCCCCTACGGCCTCAAAGACACACGCTGCCTGCATGTGCTCTTGGGGGACGACAGTGCCACATGTGGACACGCTGGCTCCAGCTCGGACTCGCCTCTGTCTCTCTTTGCCCGTGTCGCCGGAAGCCGCGTCGGGATGCCGGAGCCCTCGGGCCTTGGAGATGAAGGCAGGCCCCTGCTCCTGCCAGGAGGGAGGGAGGCAGTGGGCTCATGGGTCGGTGCCTTTGCAGCCGACAGCACGCCTTGCGGCCCTGGGGATCTTTCTGTGCCCCGGCGAGACCCTTTCGGCCTCACTGCATTGGAACCCCATTCCCGATCACCCGGTTGGATCCATCATCGGACCCCAAGAGGAGTCCGCGCAGCCCAGCCGGCATCCCGAAGCTCCTCCTTTCGCGGGAACCGAAGCAGAAGAGCGATCAAGGAGGTCCTCACCACAGGACTCCTATGGGTCCGACCCTGGGTCTCCCGCAGGCCCCTCTGGCAGTCCTCTTCCCACCCGCCGCCTCGGGCTGCGCCGCCACCGCCGCCGCCGCAACCTCCAGCACCGCCGCCCCAGGCCCCGCAGCCGCCGCGTCGCCGCCATTTTTTAAAGGGTCCGCAGCCTGACTCTGCGGAGTAAGGGGGGGTGGAGCGGGGGAGTCGGCCTCGCCAGTGCGCATGCACGAGGCCCAAGCCGCCGCTTGGGTCACAGTGAAAGCCACCGTTGCCCGGGGATGGGTCCCTGACACTTGGCGAAGTAGGAGCCCTGTGTGATCGTGCGTCTGAGTCTGGGCTGAGACCAGTCCTGGCCAGGGCAGTTACCAGGACGGTCTCCGGAGGCCGGGATTCGCGGAGGGTCCACCAGCAGGAAGAAACCCCAAGAGGAAGAAACCTCAGACAGATCGCCGGCGAGGCAGCGCGGGATCCCAGCCTCAGGCGTGCGCGGACGGTGTGCGGGTGAGTCTCCCCAAAAGTGGAGCCCTTGTGATGACGAGCACAGGTCCGCCTGTGTGCCCGTGGGCTGCTCTCTCACCGGTGGCTCTTAGTCTCGGAGAGCAGAACCCGGCAGCTTCAGGGGCTGCCTGCGGGTGGGTGTTCCCAGCTGTACGTGTGTGTTCGTTATGGGTGTGTGTGTGTGTGTTGGGGGGGTGCGTCTGTGTGTGTGTCTGTGTGTGTGCGCGCGCAGTGCGTGTCTGTGTGCCGACTTCTGTCTCTCTCTCACGTCTCTCTCTGTCTCTCTCTCTCTCTCTCTCTCTCTCTCTCCCTTCTCGCTGTTTCCGTCGCCCTCTCTTTCTATCTCTGTCCGTCTGTGTGTGCGTGCGCCTTGGGACACATGTGCCCTGTACGCCGGAGGGTGGGTTTCTTGCACGTCGGCCTTTCTTCTGGTCAGCCTCTCCCCGCGTCTCTGCCTGGGTCGTGTGGCCGGTTGGCAGTCGTCGTCCCGGCAGTTCCAGTTTGGGGGTCTGTGAAGGCCTGGGCAACGTGGGCATCGGCGTCGAACCCGCAGGGGTTTTCATCCCCTCCCCATCCGGAGCAGCCTCTTTGCTAGGCTGGATCCAGACGAGCGCTCCCCAACCAAGGACAACGGCCTCCCAGGCGCTCATTGTCCACCCGCAGGAGGGTGCCCGCAGAGCTTCAAGAAGGCGGTTGTCACGCCTGTCGCCCTCTGCCCTCATCGAGAAATGTAGCCACAGCTCGACGCAGGGACGGAGAAGGAAGCCGGCAAGGGGATGGGGCAAGCATGTCTGTCTCTCAAAGGCTGGCCTTCCTGGCCGAGTCACCCGTTTGACACTCCTCCCCGGATGCCGGTGGTGGTGGCATGGCCCCCCCGTATCCTGCCTGGGCTCTGGCCTCTGCTCTGACCTCCCTCTTGCTGTGTCTGCCCCGTCTCTGAGAAGCCTGGCGGCTTCTTAGCGTGGCTCAGTGTCTTCCACAAAGAAGACTTCCCCGTCCATCAGGGAGAAACCTCGTGGCGGTCCGCGTCATGATTGTTTCCCTCTCCACACCTCTTTCTGGATGACTGGGCAGCTGTGGTGATCCTGGAGCTCTGGGCTTCCATACCTGTGTGGGACAGGGAAGCTCTCTCGGTCTCCATGGCCCAAGTGATGGCTGCACGCTCGGTCCAGGAAGAGGCGGAGGCAAGCCCACCGCTCCTGACATTGGCCTTCTAGGAAAGGCGGTGTTGCATCCCACCTGCACTTCCTCTCTGATTCTTGAGGGCCAACCGGTTCCTCCGCTCCTGGGGAAAGTGCCTTCTAGCACCGAATCTTTTGGCTGCCACGGATGTCAGGGAGCCAACGGGACTGGGTTTTGGCTGGGTGCAGGGGAGGTTGCGTCAGGGGTACCTAGCCGGCGGCGGGCTGGGGGTGGGGTGTACTTTGTCCAAACCTCTCGGCTCCTCTGGCGGGCCTCCCTGAACGTGGCGTGGACTCGCGCACAGGCCCTGTCTCGCAGGTTTTCAGGTGCGCTTGGCTTTTCCTCCGCTTTGTGGGGCAGGTCTCCAGTGGCCCCCCGGGCGCACGCCTGGACATCACTGTCCGTCTCGTCGTCGCCCCCTACGGCCTCAAAGACACACGCTGCCTGCATGTGCTCTTGGGGGACGACAGTGCCACATGTGGACACGCTGGCACCAGCTCGGACTCGCCTCTGTCTCTCTTTGCCCGTGTCGCCGGAAGCCGCGTCGGGATGCTGGAGCCCTCGGGCCTTGGAGATGAAGGCAGGCCCCTGCTCCTGCCAGGAGGGAGGGAGGCAGTGGGCTCATGGGTCGGTGCCTTTGCAGCCGACAGCACGCCTTGCGCCCTGGGGATCTTTCTGTGCCCCGGCGAGACCCTTTCGGCCTCACTGCATTGGAACCCCATTCCCGATCACCCGGTTGGATCCATCATCGGACCCCAAGAGGAGTCCGCGCAGCCCAGCCGGCATCCCGAAGCTCCTCCTTTCGCGGGAACCGAAGCAGAAGAGCGATCAAGGAGGTCCTCACCACAGGACTCCTATGGGTCCGACCCTGGGTCTCCCGCAGGCCCCTCTGGCAGTCCTCTTCCCACCCGCCGCCTCGGGCTGCGCCGCCACCGCCGCCGCCGCAACCTCCAGCACCGCCGCCCCAGGCCCCGCAGCCGCCGCGTCGCCGCCATTTTTTAAAGGGTCCGCAGCCTGACTCTGCGGAGTAAGGGGGGGTGGAGCGGGGGAGTCGGCCTCGCCAGTGCGCATGCGCGAGGCCCAAGCCGCCGCTTGGGTCACAGTGAAAGCCACCGTTGCCCGGGGATGGGTCCCTGACACTTGGCGAAGTAGGAGCCCTGTGTGATCGTGCGTCTGAGTCTGGGCTGAGACCAGTCCTGGCCAGGGCAGTTACCAGGACGGTCTCCGGAGGCCGGGATTCGCGGAGGGTCCACCAGCAGGAAGAAACCCCAAGAGGAAGAAACCTCAGACAGATCGCCGGCGAGGCAGCGCGGGATCCCAGCCTCAGGCGTGCGCGGACGGTGTGCGGGTGAGTCTCCCCAAAAGTGGAGCCCTTGTGATGACGAGCACAGGTCCGCCTGTGTGCCCGTGGGCTGCTCTCTCACCGGTGGCTCTTAGTCTCGGAGAGCAGAACCCGGCAGCTTCAGGGGCTGCCTGCGGGTGGGTGTTCCCTGCTGTACGTGTGTGTTCGTTATGGGTGTGTGTGTGTGTGTTGGGGGGGTGCGTCTGTGTGTGTGTCTGTGTGTGTGCGCGCGCAGTGCGTGTCTGTGTGCCGACTTCTGTCTCTCTCTCACGTCTCTCTCTGTCTCTCTGTCTCTCTCTCTCTCTCTCTCCCTTCTCGCTGTTTCCGTCGCCCTCTCTGTCTGTCTCTGTCCGTCTGTGTGTGCGTGCGCCTTGGGACACATGTGCCCTGTGCGCCGGAGGGTGGGTTTCTTGCACGTCGGCCTTTCTTCTGGTCAGCGTGTCCCCGCGTCTCTGCCTGGGTCGTGTGGCCGGTTGGCAGTCGTCGTCCCGGCAGTTCCAGTTTGGGGGTCTGTGAAGGCCTGGGCAACGTGGGCATCGGCGTCGAACCCGCAGGGGTTTTCATCCCCTCCCCATCCGGAGCAGCCTCTTTGCTAGGCTGGATCCAGACGAGCGCTCCCCAACCAAGGACAACGGCCTCCCAGGCGCTCATTGTCCACCCGCAGGAGGGTGCCCGCAGAGCTTCAAGAAGGTGGTTGTCACGCCTGTCGCCCTCTGCCCTCATCGAGAAATGTAGCCACAGCTCGACGCAGGGACGGAGAAGGAAGCCGGCAAGGGGATGGGGCAAGCATGTCTGTCTCTCAAAGGCTGGCCTTCCTGGCCGAGTCACCCGTTTGACACTCCTCCCCGGATGCCGGTGGTGGTGGCATGGCCCCCCCGTATCCTGCCTGGGCTCTGGCCTCTGCTCTGACCTCCCTCTTGCTGTGTCTGCCCCGTCTCTGAGAAGCCTGGCGGCTTCTTAGCGTGGCTCAGTGTCTTCCACAAACAAGACTTCCCCGTCCATCAGGGAGAAACCTCGTGGCGGTCCGCGTCATGATTGTTTCCCTCTCCACACCTCTTTCTGGATGATTGGGCAGCTGTGGTGATCCTGGAGCTCTGGGCTTCCATACCTGTGTGGGACAGGGAAGCTCTCTCGGTCTCCATGGCCCAAGTGATGGCTGCACGCTCGGTCCAGGAAGAGGCGGAGGCAAGCCCACCGCTCCTGACATTGGCCTTCTAGGAAAGGCGGTGTTGCATCCCACCTGCACTTCCTCTCTGATTCTTGAGGGCCAACCGGTTCCTCCGCTCCTGGGGAAAGTGCCTTCTAGCACCGAATCTTTTGGCTGCCACGGATGTCAGGGAGCCAACGGGACTGGGTTTTGGCTGGGTGCAGGGGAGGTTGCGTCAGGGGTACCTAGCCGGCGGCGGGCTGGGGGTGGGGTGTACTTTGTCCAAACCTCTCGGCTCCTCTGGCGGGCCTCCCTGAACGTGGCGTGGACTCGCGCACAGGCCCTGTCTCGCAGGTTTTCAGGTGCGCTTGGCTTTTCCTCCGCTTTGTGGGGCAGGTCTCCAGTGGCCCCCCGGGCGCACGCCTGGACATCACTGTCCGTCTCGTCGTCGCCCCCTACGGCCTCAAAGACACACGCTGCCTGCATGTGCTCTTGGGGGACGACAGTGCCACATGTGGACACGCTGGCTCCAGCTCGGACTCGCCTCTGTCTCTCTTTGCCCGTGTCGCCGGAAGCCGCGTCGGGATGCCGGAGCCCTCGGGCCTTGGAGATGAAGGCAGGCCCCTGCTCCTGCCAGGAGGGAGGGAGGCAGTGGGCTCATGGGTCGGTGCCTTTGCAGCCGACAGCACGCCTTGCGGCCCTGGGGATCTTTCTGTGCCCCGGCGAGACCCTTTCGGCCTCACTGCATTGGAACCCCATTCCCGATCACCCGGTTGGATCCATCATCGGACCCCAAGAGGAGTCCGCGCAGCCCAGCCGGCATCCCGAAGCTCCTCCTTCAGCGGGAACCGAAGCAGAAGAGCGATCAAGGAGGTCCTCACCACAGGACTCCTATGGGTCCGACCCTGGGTCTCCCGCAGGCCCCTCTGGCAGTCCTCTTCCCACCCGCCGCCTCGGGCTGCGCCGCCACCGCCGCCACCGCAACCTCCAGCACCGCCGCCCCAGGCCCCGCAGCCGCCGCGTCGCCGCCATTTTTTAAAGGGTCCGCAGCCTGACTCTGCGGAGTAAGGGGGGGTGGAGCGGGGGAGTCGGCCTCGCCAGTGCGCATGCGCGAGGCCCAAGCCGCCGCTTGGGTCACAGTGAAAGCCACCGTTGCCCGGGGATGGGTCCCTGACACTTGGCGAAGTAGGAGCCCTGTGTGATCGTGCGTCTGAGTCTGGGCTGAGACCAGTCCTGGCCAGGGCATTTACCAGGACGGTCTCCGGAGGCCGGGATTCGCGGAGGGTCCACCAGCAGGAAGAAACCCCAGGAGGAAGAAAACTCAGACAGATCGCCGGCGAGGCAGCGCGGCATCCCAGCCTCAGGCGTGCGCGGACGGTGTGCGGGTGAGTCTCCCCAAAAGTGGAGCCCTTGTGATGACGAGCACAGGTCCGCCTGTGTGCCCGTGGGCTGCTCTCTCACCGGTGGCTCTTAGTCGCGGAGAGCAGAACCCGGCACCTTCAGGGGCTGCCTGCGGGTGGGTGTTCCCTGCTGTACGTGTGTGTTCGTTATGGGTGTGTGTGTGTGTGTGTTGGGGGGATGCGTCTGTGTGTGTGTCTGTGTGTGTGCGCGCGCAGTGCGTGTCTGTGTGCCGACTTCTGTCTCTCTCTCACGTCTCTCTCTCTCTCTCTCTCTCTCTGTCTCTCTCCCTTCTCGCTCTTTCGGTCGCCCTCTCTTTCTGTCTCTGTCCGTCTGTGTGTGCGTGCGCCTTGGGACACATGGGCCCTGTGCGCCGGAGGGTGGGTTTCTTGCACGTCGGCCTTTCTTCTGGTCAGCGTGTCCCCGCGTCTCTGCCTGGGTCGTGTGGCCGGTTGGCAGTCGTCGTCCCGGCGGTTCCAGTTTGGGGGTCTGTGAAGGCCTGGGCAACGTGGGCATGGGCGTCGGACCCGCAGGGTTTTCATCCCCTCCCCATCCGGAGCAGCCTCTTTGCTAGGCTGGATCCAGACGAGCGCTCCCCAACCAAGGACAACGGCCTCCCAGGCGCTCATTGTCCACCCGCAGGAGGGTGCCCGCAGAGCTTCAAGAAGGTGGTTGTCACGCCTGTCGCCCTCTGCCCTCATCGAGAAATGTAGCCACAGCTAGACGCAGGGACGGAGAAGGAAGCCGGCAAGGGGATGGGGCGGCAAGCATGTCTGTCTCTCAAAGGCTGGCCTTCCTGGCCGAGTCACCCGTTTGACACTCCTCCCCGGATGCCGGTGGTGGTGGCATGGTCCCCCCGTATCCTGCCTGTGCTCTGGCGTCTGCTCTGACCTCCCTCTTGCTGTGTCTGCCCCGTCTCTGAGAAGCCTGGCGGCTTCTTAGTGTGGCTCAGTGTCTTCCACAAAGAAGACTTCCCCGTCCATCAGGGAGAAACCTCGTGGCGGTCCGCGTCATGATTGTTTCCCTCTCCACACCTCTTTCTGGATGATTGGGCAGCTGTGGTGATCTTGGAGCTCTGGGCTTCCATACCTGTGTGGGACAGGGAAGCTCTCTCGGTCTCCATGGCCCAAGTGATGGCTGCACGCTCGGTCCAGGAAGAGGCGGAGGCAAGCCCACCGCTCCTGACATTGGCCTTCTAGGAAAGGCGGTGTTGCATCCCACCTGCACTTCCTCTCTGATTCTTGAGGGCCAACCGGTTCCTCCGCTCCTGGGGAAAGTGCCTTCTAGCACCGAATCTTTTGGCTGCCACGGATGTCAGGGAGCCAACGGGACTGGGTTTTGGCTGGGTGCAGGGGAGGTTGCGTCAGGGGTACCTAGCCGGCGGCGGGCTGGGGGTGGGGTGTACTTTGTCCAAACCTCTCGGCTCCTCTGGCGGGCCTCCCTGAACGTGGCGTGGACTCGCGCACAGGCCCTGTCTCGCAGGTTTTCAGGTGCGCTTGGCTTTTCCTCCGCTTTGTGGGGCAGGTCTCCAGTGGCCCCCCGGGCGCACGCCTGGACATCACTGTCCGTCTCGTCGTCGCCCCCTACGGCCTCAAAGACACACGCTGCCTGCATGTGCTCTTGGGGGACGACAGTGCCACATGTGGACACGCTGGCACCAGCTCGGACTCGCCTCTGTCTCTCTTTGCCCGTGTCGCCGGAAGCCGCGTCGGGATGCTGGAGCCCTCGGGCCTTGGAGATGAAGGCAGGCCCCTGCTCCTGCCAGGAGGGAGGGAGGCAGTGGGCTCATGGGTCGGTGCCTTTGCAGCCGACAGCACGCCTTGCGCCCTGGGGATCTTTCTGTGCCCCGGCGAGACCCTTTCGGCCTCACTGCATTGGAACCCCATTCCCGATCACCCGGTTGGATCCATCATCGGACCCCAAGAGGAGTCCGCGCAGCCCAGCCGGCATCCCGAAGCTCCTCCTTTCGCGGGAACCGAAGCAGAAGAGCGATCAAGGAGGTCCTCACCACAGGACTCCTATGGGTCCGACCCTGGGTCTCCCGCAGGCCCCTCTGGCAGTCCTCTTCCCACCCGCCGCCTCGGGCTGCGCCGCCACCGCCGCCGCCGCAACCTCCAGCACCGCCGCCCCAGGCCCCGCAGCCGCCGCGTCGCCGCCATTTTTTAAAGGGTCCGCAGCCTGACTCTGCGGAGTAAGGGGGGGTGGAGCGGGGGAGTCGGCCTCGCCAGTGCGCATGCGCGAGGCCCAAGCCGCCGCTTGGGTCACAGTGAAAGCCACCGTTGCCCGGGGATGGGTCCCTGACACTTGGCGAAGTAGGAGCCCTGTGTGATCGTGCGTCTGAGTCTGGGCTGAGACCAGTCCTGGCCAGGGCAGTTACCAGGACGGTCTCCGGAGGCCGGGATTCGCGGAGGGTCCACCAGCAGGAAGAAACCCCAAGAGGAAGAAACCTCAGACAGATCGCCGGCGAGGCAGCGCGGGATCCCAGCCTCAGGCGTGCGCGGACGGTGTGCGGGTGAGTCTCCCCAAAAGTGGAGCCCTTGTGATGACGAGCACAGGTCCGCCTGTGTGCCCGTGGGCTGCTCTCTCACCGGTGGCTCTTAGTCTCGGAGAGCAGAACCCGGCAGCTTCAGGGGCTGCCTGCGGGTGGGTGTTCCCTGCTGTACGTGTGTGTTCGTTATGGGTGTGTGTGTGTGTGTTGGGGGGGTGCGTCTGTGTGTGTGTCTGTGTGTGTGCGCGCGCAGTGCGTGTCTGTGTGCCGACTTCTGTCTCTCTCTCACGTCTCTCTCTGTCTCTCTGTCTCTCTCTCTCTCTCTCTCCCTTCTCGCTGTTTCCGTCGCCCTCTCTGTCTGTCTCTGTCCGTCTGTGTGTGCGTGCGCCTTGGGACACATGTGCCCTGTGCGCCGGAGGGTGGGTTTCTTGCACGTCGGCCTTTCTTCTGGTCAGCGTGTCCCCGCGTCTCTGCCTGGGTCGTGTGGCCGGTTGGCAGTCGTCGTCCCGGCAGTTCCAGTTTGGGGGTCTGTGAAGGCCTGGGCAACGTGGGCATCGGCGTCGAACCCGCAGGGGTTTTCATCCCCTCCCCATCCGGAGCAGCCTCTTTGCTAGGCTGGATCCAGACGAGCGCTCCCCAACCAAGGACAACGGCCTCCCAGGCGCTCATTGTCCACCCGCAGGAGGGTGCCCGCAGAGCTTCAAGAAGGTGGTTGTCACGCCTGTCGCCCTCTGCCCTCATCGAGAAATGTAGCCACAGCTCGACGCAGGGACGGAGAAGGAAGCCGGCAAGGGGATGGGGCAAGCATGTCTGTCTCTCAAAGGCTGGCCTTCCTGGCCGAGTCACCCGTTTGACACTCCTCCCCGGATGCCGGTGGTGGTGGCATGGCCCCCCCGTATCCTGCCTGGGCTCTGGCCTCTGCTCTGACCTCCCTCTTGCTGTGTCTGCCCCGTCTCTGAGAAGCCTGGCAGCTTCTTAGCGTGGCTCAGTGTCTTCCACAAAGAAGACTTCCCCGTCCATCAGGGAGAAACCTCGTGGCGGTCCGCGTCATGATTGTTTCCCTCTCCACACCTCTTTCTGGATGATTGGGCAGCTGTGGTGATCCTGGAGCTCTGGGCTTCCATACCTGTGTGGGACAGGGAAGCTCTCTCGGTCTCCATGGCCCAAGTGATGGCTGCACGCTCGGTCCAGGAAGAGGCGGAGGCAAGCCCACCGCTCCTGACATTGGCCTTCTAGGAAAGGCGGTGTTGCATCCCACCTGCACTTCCTCTCTGATTCTTGAGGGCCAACCGGTTCCTCCGCTCCTGGGGAAAGTGCCTTCTAGCACCGAATCTTTTGGCTGCCACGGATGTCAGGGAGCCAACGGGACTGGGTTTTGGCTGGGTGCAGGGGAGGTTGCGTCAGGGGTACCTAGCCGGCGGCGGGCTGGGGGTGGGGTGTACTTTGTCCAAACCTCTCGGCTCCTCTGGCGGGCCTCCCTGAACGTGGCGTGGACTCGCGCACAGGCCCTGTCTCGCAGGTTTTCAGGTGCGCTTGGCTTTTCCTCCGCTTTGTGGGGCAGGTCTCCAGTGGCCCCCCGGGCGCACGCCTGGACATCACTGTCCGTCTCGTCGTCGCCCCCTACGGCCTCAAAGACACACGCTGCCTGCATGTGCTCTTGGGGGACGACAGTGCCACATGTGGACACGCTGGCTCCAGCTCGGACTCGCCTCTGTCTCTCTTTGCCCGTGTCGCCGGAAGCCGCGTCGGGATGCCGGAGCCCTCGGGCCTTGGAGATGAAGGCAGGCCCCTGCTCCTGCCAGGAGGGAGGGAGGCAGTGGGCTCATGGGTCGGTGCCTTTGCAGCCGACAGCACGCCTTGCGGCCCTGGGGATCTTTCTGTGCCCCGGCGAGACCCTTTCGGCCTCACTGCATTGGAACCCCATTCCCGATCACCCGGTTGGATCCATCATCGGACCCCAAGAGGAGTCCGCGCAGCCCAGCCGGCATCCCGAAGCTCCTCCTTCAGCGGGAACCGAAGCAGAAGAGCGCTCAAGGAGGTCCTCACCACAGGACTCCTATGGGTCCGACCCTGGGTCTCCCGCAGGCCCCTCTGGCAGTCCTCTTCCCACCCGCCGCCTCGGGCTGCGCCGCCACCGCCGCCACGGCAACCTCCAGCACCGCCGCCCCAGGCCCCGCAGCCGCCGCGTCGCCGCCATTTTTTAAAGGGTCCGCAGCCTGACTCTGCGGAGTAAGGGGGGGTGGAGCGGGGGAGTCGGCCTCGCCAGTGCGCATGCGCGAGGCCCAAGCCGCCGCTTGGGTCACAGTGAAAGCCACCGTTGCCCGGGGATGGGTCCCTGACACTTGGCGAAGTAGGAGCCCTGTGTGATCGTGCGTCTGAGTCTGGGCTGAGACCAGTCCTGGCCAGGGCATTTACCAGGACGGTCTCCGGAGGCCGGGATTCGCGGAGGGTCCACCAGCAGGAAGAAACCCCAGGAGGAAGAAAACTCAGACAGATCGCCGGCGAGGCAGCGCGGCATCCCAGCCTCAGGCGTGCGCGGACGGTGTGCGGGTGAGTCTCCCCAAAAGTGGAGCCCTTGTGATGACGAGCACAGGTCCGCCTGTGTGCCCGTGGGCTGCTCTCTCACCGGTGGCTCTTAGTCTCGGAGAGCAGAACCCGGCAGCTTCAGGGGCTGCCTGCGGGTGGGTGTTCCCTGCTGTACGTGTGTGTTCGTTATGGGTGTGTGTGTGTGTGTTGGGGGGGTGCGTCTGTGTGTGTGTCTGTGTGTGTGCGCGCGCAGTGCGTGTCTGTGTGCCGACTTCTGTGTCTCTCTCACGTCTCTCTCTGTCTCTCTCTCTCTCTCTCTCTCTCTCCCTTCTCGCTGTTTCCGTCGCCCTCTCTGTCTGTCTCTGTCCGTCTGTGTGTGCGTGCGCCTTGGGACACATGTGCCCTGTGCGCCGGAGGGTGGGTTTCTTGCACGTCGGCCTTTCTTCTGGTCAGCGTGTCCCCGCGTCTCTGCCTGGGTCGTGTGGCCGGTTGGCAGTCGTCGTCCCGGCAGTTCCAGTTTGGGGGTCTGTGAAGGCCTGGGCAACGTGGGCATCGGCGTCGAACCCGCAGGGGTTTTCATCCCCTCCACATCCGGAGCAGCCTCTTTGCTAGGCTGGATCCAGACGAGCGCTCCCCAACCAAGGACAACGGCCTCACAGGCGCTCATTGTCCACCCGCAGGAGGGTGCCCGCAGAGCTTCAAGAAGGTGGTTGTCACGCCTGTCGCCCTCTGCCCTCATCGAGAAATGTAGCCACAGCTCGACGCAGGGACGGAGAAGGAAGCCGGCAAGGGGATGGGGCAAGCATGTCTGTCTCTCAAAGGCTGGCCTTCCTGGCCGAGTCACCCGTTTGACAGTCCTCCCCGGATGCCGGTGGTGGTGGCATGGCCCCCCCGTATCCTGCCTGGGCTCTGGCCTCTGCTCTGACCTCCCTCTTGCTGTGTCTGCCCCGTCTCTGAGAAGCCTGGCGGCTTCTTAGCGTGGCTCAGTGTCTTCCACAAAGAAGACTTCCCCGTCCATCAGGGAGAAACCTCGTGGCGGTCCGCGTCATGATTGTTTCCCTCTCCACACCTCTTTCTGGATGACTGGGCAGCTGTGGTGATCCTGGAGCTCTGGGCTTCCATACCTGTGTGGGACAGGGAAGCTCTCTCGGTCTCCATGGCCCAAGTGATGGCTGCACGCTCGGTCCAGGAAGAGGCGGAGGCAAGCCCACCGCTCCTGACATTGGCCTTCTAGGAAAGGCGGTGTTGCATCCCACCTGCACTTCCTCTCTGATTCTTGAGGGCCAACCGGTTCCTCCGCTCCTGGGGAAAGTGCCTTCTAGCACCGAATCTTTTGGCTGCCACGGATGTCAGGGAGCCAACGGGACTGGGTTTTGGCTGGGTGCAGGGGAGTTTGCGTCAGGGGTACCTAGCCGGCGGCGGGCTGAGGGTGGGGTGTACTTTGTCCAAACCTCTCGGCTCCTCTGGCGGGCCTCCCTGAACGTGGCGTGGACTCGCGCACAGGCCCTGTCTCGCAGGTTTTCAGGTGCGCTTGGCTTTTCCTCCGCTTTGTGGGGCAGGTCTCCAGTGGCCCCCCGGGCGCACGCCTGGACATCACTGTCCGTCTCGTCGTTGCCCCCTACGGCCTCAAAGACACACGCTGCCTGCATGTGCTCTTGGGGGACGACAGTGCCACATGTGGACACGCTGGCACCAGCTCGGACTCGCCTCTGTCTCTCTTTGCCCGTGTCGCCGGAAGCCGCGTCGGGATGCCGGAGCCCTCGGGCCTTGGAGATGAAGGCAGGCCCCTGCTCCTGCCAGGAGGGAGGGAGGCAGTGGGCTCATGGGTCGGTGCCTTTGCAGCCGACAGCACGCCTTGCGGCCCTGGGGATCTTTCTGTGCCCCGGCGAGACCCTTTCGGCCTCACTGCATTGGAACCCCATTCCCGATCACCCGGTTGGATCCATCATCGGACCCCAAGAGGAGTCCGCGCAGCCCAGCCGGCATCCCGAAGCTCCTCCTTTCGCGGGAACCGAAGCAGAAGAGCGATCAAGGAGGTCCTCACCACAGGACTCCTATGGGTCCGACCCTGGGTCTCCCGCAGGCCCCTCTGGCAGTCCTCTTCCCACCCGCCGCCTCGGGCTGCGCCGCCACCGCCGCCGCCGCAACCTCCAGCACCGCCGCCCCAGGCCCCGCAGCCGCCGCGTCGCCGCCATTTTTTAAAGGGTCCGCAGCCTGACTCTGCGGAGTAAGGGGGGGTGGAGCGGGGGAGTCGGCCTCGCCAGTGCGCATGCACGAGGCCCAAGCCGCCGCTTGGGTCACAGTGAAAGCCACCGTTGCCCGGGGATGGGTCCCTGACACTTGGCGAAGTAGGAGCCCTGTGTGATCGTGCGTCTGAGTCTGGGCTGAGACCAGTCCTGGCCAGGGCAGTTACCAGGACGGTCTCCGGAGGCCGGGATTCGCGGAGGGTCCACCAGCAGGAAGAAACCCCAAGAGGAAGAAACCTCAGACAGATCGCCGGCGAGGCAGCGCGGGATCCCAGCCTCAGGCGTGCGCGGACGGTGTGCGGGTGAGTCTCCCCAAAAGTGGAGCCCTTGTGATGACGAGCACAGGTCCGCCTGTGTGCCCGTGGGCTGCTCTCTCACCGGTGGCTCTTAGTCTCGGAGAGCAGAACCCGGCAGCTTCAGGGGCTGCCTGCGGGTGGGTGTTCCCAGCTGTACGTGTGTGTTCGTTATGGGTGTGTGTGTGTGTGTTGGGGGGGTGCGTCTGTGTGTGTGTCTGTGTGTGTGCGCGCGCAGTGCGTGTCTGTGTGCCGACTTCTGTCTCTCTCTCACGTCTCTCTCTGTCTCTCTCTCTCTCTCTCTCTCTCTCTCTCCCTTCTCGCTGTTTCCGTCGCCCTCTCTTTCTATCTCTGTCCGTCTGTGTGTGCGTGCGCCTTGGGACACATGTGCCCTGTACGCCGGAGGGTGGGTTTCTTGCACGTCGGCCTTTCTTCTGGTCAGCCTCTCCCCGCGTCTCTGCCTGGGTCGTGTGGCCGGTTGGCAGTCGTCGTCCCGGCAGTTCCAGTTTGGGGGTCTGTGAAGGCCTGGGCAACGTGGGCATCGGCGTCGAACCCGCAGGGGTTTTCATCCCCTCCCCATCCGGAGCAGCCTCTTTGCTAGGCTGGATCCAGACGAGCGCTCCCCAACCAAGGACAACGGCCTCCCAGGCGCTCATTGTCCACCCGCAGGAGGGTGCCCGCAGAGCTTCAAGAAGGCGGTTGTCACGCCTGTCGCCCTCTGCCCTCATCGAGAAATGTAGCCACAGCTCGACGCAGGGACGGAGAAGGAAGCCGGCAAGGGGATGGGGCAAGCATGTCTGTCTCTCAAAGGCTGGCCTTCCTGGCCGAGTCACCCGTTTGACACTCCTCCCCGGATGCCGGTGGTGGTGGCATGGCCCCCCCGTATCCTGCCTGGGCTCTGGCCTCTGCTCTGACCTCCCTCTTGCTGTGTCTGCCCCGTCTCTGAGAAGCCTGGCGGCTTCTTAGCGTGGCTCAGTGTCTTCCACAAAGAAGACTTCCCCGTCCATCAGGGAGAAACCTCGTGGCGGTCCGCGTCATGATTGTTTCCCTCTCCACACCTCTTTCTGGATGACTGGGCAGCTGTGGTGATCCTGGAGCTCTGGGCTTCCATACCTGTGTGGGACAGGGAAGCTCTCTCGGTCTCCATGGCCCAAGTGATGGCTGCACGCTCGGTCCAGGAAGAGGCGGAGGCAAGCCCACCGCTCCTGACATTGGCCTTCTAGGAAAGGCGGTGTTGCATCCCACCTGCACTTCCTCTCTGATTCTTGAGGGCCAACCGGTTCCTCCGCTCCTGGGGAAAGTGCCTTCTAGCACCGAATCTTTTGGCTGCCACGGATGTCAGGGAGCCAACGGGACTGGGTTTTGGCTGGGTGCAGGGGAGGTTGCGTCAGGGGTACCTAGCCGGCGGCGGGCTGGGGGTGGGGTGTACTTTGTCCAAACCTCTCGGCTCCTCTGGCGGGCCTCCCTGAACGTGGCGTGGACTCGCGCACAGGCCCTGTCTCGCAGGTTTTCAGGTGCGCTTGGCTTTTCCTCCGCTTTGTGGGGCAGGTCTCCAGTGGCCCCCCGGGCGCACGCCTGGACATCACTGTCCGTCTCGTCGTCGCCCCCTACGGCCTCAAAGACACACGCTGCCTGCATGTGCTCTTGGGGGACGACAGTGCCACATGTGGACACGCTGGCTGCAGCTCGGACTCGCCTCTCTCTTTGCCCGTGTCGCCGGAAGCCGCGTCGGGATGCCGGAGCCCTCGGGCCTTGGAGATGAAGGCAGGCCCCTGCTCCTGCCAGGAGGGAGGGAGGCAGTGGGCTCATGGGTCGGTGCCTTTGCAGCCGACAGCACGCCTTGCGGCCCTGGGGATCTTTCTGTGCCCCGGCGAGACCCTTTCGGCCTCACTGCATTGGAACCCCATTCCCGATCACCCGGTTGGATCCATCATCGGACCCCAAGAGGAGTCCGCGCAGCCCAGCCGGCATCCCGAAGCTCCTCCTTTCGCGGGAACCGAAGCAGAAGAGCGATCAAGGAGGTCCTCACCACAGGACTCCTATGGGTCCGACCCTGGGTCTCCCGCAGGCCCCTCTGGCAGTCCTCTTCCCACCCGCCGCCTCGGGCTGCGCCGCCACCGCCGCCGCCGCAACCTCCAGCACCGCCGCCCCAGGCCCCGCAGCCGCCGCGTCGCCGCCATTTTTTAAAGGGTCCGCAGCCTGACTCTGTGGAGTAAGGGGGGGTGGAGCGGGGGAGTCGGCCTCGCCAGTGCGCATGCGCGAGGCCCAAGCCGCCGCTTGGGTCACAGTGAAAGCCACCGTTGCCAGGGGATGGGTCCCTGACACTTGGCGAAGTAGGAGCCCTGTGTGATCGTGCGTCTGAGTCTGGGCTGAGACCAGTCCTGGCCAGGGCAGTTACCAGGACGGTCTCCGGAGGCCGGGATTCGCGGAGGGTCCACCAGCAGGAAGAAACCCCAAGAGGAAGAAACCTCAGACAGATCGCCGGCGAGGCAGCGCGGGATCCCAGCCTCAGGCGTGCGCGGACGGTGTGCGGGTGAGTCTCCCCAAAAGTGGAGCCCTTGTGATGACGAGCACAGGTCCGCCTGTGTGCCCGTGGGCTGCTCTCTCACCGGTGGCTCTTAGTCGCGGAGAGCAGAACCCGGCAGCTTCAGGGGCTGCCTGCGGGTGGGTGTTCCCTGCTGTACGTGTGTGTTCGTTATGGGTGTGTGTGTGTG
Organism: Homo sapiens; assembly: GCF_000001405.40. Taxonomy (NCBI): domain Eukaryota; kingdom Metazoa; phylum Chordata; class Mammalia; order Primates; family Hominidae; genus Homo; species Homo sapiens. The sequence goes on along the minus strand of NC_000019.10, from coordinate 37,283,747 downwards.
TGTTGGGGGGATGCGTCTGTGTGTGTGTCTGTGTGTGTGCGCGCGCAGTGCGTGTCTGTGTGCCGACTTCTGTCTCTCTCTCTCTCTCTCTCTCTCTCTCTCTCTCTCTCTGTCTCTCTCCCTTCTCGCTCTTTCGGTCGCCCTCTCTTTCTGTCTCTCTCCGTCTGTGTGTGCGTGCGCCTTGGGACACATGGGCCCTGTGCGCCGGAGGGTGGATTTCTTGCACGTCGGCCTTTCTTCTGGTCAGCGTCTCCCCGCGTCTCTGCCTGGGTCGTGTGGCCGGTTGGCAGTCGTCGTCCCGGCAGTTCCAGTTTGGGGGTCTGTGAAGGCCTGGGCAACGTGGGCATGGGTGTCGGACCCGTAGGGTTTTCATCCCCTCCCCATCCGGAGCAGCCTCTTTGCTAGGCTGGATCCAGACGAGCGCTCCCCAACCAAGGACAACGGCCTCCCAGGCGCTCATTGTCCACCCGCAGGAGGGTGCCCGCAGAGCTTCAAGAAGGTGGTTGTCACGCCTGTCGCCCTCTGCCCTCATCGAGAAATGTAGCCACAGCTCGACGCAGGGACGGAGAAGGAAGCCGGCAAGGGGATGGGGCGGCAAGCATGTCTGTCTCTCAAAGGCTGGCCTTCCTGGCCGAGTCACCCGTTTGACAGTCCTCCCCGGATGCCGGTGGTGGTGGCATGGTCCCCCCGTATCCTGCCTGTGCTCTGGCCTCTGCTCTGACCTCCCTCTTGCTGTGTCTGCCCCGTCTCTGAGAAGCCTGGCGGCTTCTTAGCGTGGCTCAGTGTCTTCCACAAAGAAGACTTCCCCGTCCATCAGGGAGAAACCTCGTGGCGGTCCGCGTCATGATTGTTTCCCTCTCCACACCTCTTTCTGGATGATTGGGCAGCTGTGGTGATCCTGGAGCTCTGGGCTTCCATACCTGTGTGGGACAGGGAAGCTCTCTCGGTCTCCATGGCCCAAGTGATGGCTGCACGCTCGGTCCAGGAAGAGGCGGAGGCAAGCCCACCGCTCCTGACATTGGCCTTCTAGGAAAGGCGGTGTTGCATCCCACCTGCACTTCCTCTCTGATTCTTGAGGGCCAACCGGTTCCTCCGCTCCTGGGGAAAGTGCCTTCTAGCACCGAATCTTTTGGCTGCCACGGATGTCAGGGAGCCAACGGGACTGGGTTTTGGCTGGGTGCAGGGGAGGTTGCGTCAGGGGTACCTAGCCGGCGGCGGGCTGGGGGTGGGGTGTACTTTGTCCAAACCTCTCGGCTCCTCTGGCGGGCCTCCCTGAACGTGGCGTGGACTCGCGCACAGGCTCTGTCTCGCAGGTTTTCAGGTGCGCTTGGCTTTTCCTCCGCTTTGTGGGGCAGGTCTCCAGTGGCCCCCCGGGCGCACGCCTGGACATCACTGTCCGTCTCGTCGTCGCCCCCTACGGCCTCAAAGACACACGCTGCCTGCATGTGCTCTTGGGGGACGACAGTGCCACATGTGGACACGCTGGCACCAGCTCGGACTCGCCTCTGTCTCTCTTTGCCCGTGTCGCCGGAAGCCGCGTCGGGATGCCGGAGCCCTCGGGCCTTGGAGATGAAGGCAGGCCCCTGCTCCTGCCAGGAGGGAGGGAGGCAGTGGGCTCATGGGTCGGTGCCTTTGCAGCCGACAGCACGCCTTGCGGCCCTGGGGATCTTTCTGTGCCCCGGCGAGACCCTTTCGGCCTCACTGCATTGGAACCCCATTCCCGATCACCCGGTTGGATCCATCATCCGACCCCGAGAGGAGTCCGCGCAGCCCAGCCGGCATCCCGAAGCTCCTCCTTTCGCGGGAACCGAAGCAGAAGAGCGATCAAGGAGGTCCTCACCACAGGACTCCTATGGGTCCGACCCTGGGTCTCCCGCAGGCCCCTCTGGCAGTCCTCTTCCCACCCGCCGCCTCGGGCTGCGCCGCCACCGCCGCCGCCGCAACCTCCAGCACCGCCGCCCCAGGCCCCGCAGCCGCCGCGTCGCCGCCATTTTTTAAAGGGTCCGCAGCCGGACTCTGCGGAGTAAGGGGGGGTGGAGCGGGGGAGTCGGCCTCGCCAGTGCGCATGCGCGAGGCCCAAGCCGCCGCTTGGGTCACAGTGAAAGCCACCGTTGCCCGGGGATGGGTCCCTGACACTTGGCGAAGTAGGAGCCCTGTGTGATCGTGCGTCTGAGTCTGGGCTGAGACCAGTCCTGGCCAGGGCAGTTACCAGGACGGTCTCCGGAGGCCGGGATTCGCGGAGGGTCCACCAGCAGGAAGAAACCCCAGGAGGAAGAAAACTCAGACAGATCGCCGGCGAGGCAGCGCGGCATCCCAGCCTCAGGCGTGCGCGGACGGTGTGCGGGTGAGTCTCCCCAAAAGTGGAGCCCTTGTGATGACGAGCACAGGTCCGCCTGTGTGCCCGTGGGCTGCTCTCTCACCGGTGGCTCTTAGTCGCGGAGAGCAGAACCCGGCAGCTTCAGGGGCTGCCTGCGGGTGGGTGTTCCCTGCTGTACGTGTGTGTTCGTTATGGGTGTGTGTGTGTGTGTTGGGGGGATGCGTCTGTGTGTGTGTCTGTGTGTGTGCGCGCGCAGTGCGTGTCTGTGTGCCGACTTCTGTCTCTCTCTCACGTCTCTCTCTGTCTCTCTCTCTCTCTCTCTCTCTCTCCCTTCTCGCTGTTTCCGTCGCCCTCTCTGTCTGTCTCTGTCCGTCTGTGTGTGCGTGCGCCTTGGGACACATGTGCCCTGTGCGCCGGAGGGTGGGTTTCTTGCACGTCGGCCTTCCTTCTGGTCAGCCTCTCCCCGCGTCTCTGCCTGGGTCGTGTGGCCGGTTGGCAGTCGTCGTCCCAGCAGTTCCAGTTTGGGGGTCTGTGAAGGCCTGGGCAACGTGGGCATCGGCGTCGAACCCGCAGGGGTTTTCATCCCCTCCCCATCCGGAGCAGCCTCTTTGCTAGGCTGGATCCAGACGAGCGCTCCCCAACCAAGGACAACGGCCTCCCAGGCGCTCATTGTCCACCCGCAGGAAGGTGCCCGCAGAGCTTCAAGAAGGTGGTTGTCACGCCTGTCGCCCTCTGCCCTCATCGAGAAATGTAGCCACAGCTCGACGCAGGGACGGAGAAGGAAGCCGGCAAGGGGATGGGGCGGCAAGCATGTCTGTCTCTCAAAGGCTGGCCTTCCTGGCCGAGTCACCCGTTTGACAGTCCTCCCCGGATGCCGGTGGTGGAGGCATGGCCCCCCCGTATCCTGCCTGGGCTCTGGCCTCTGCTCTGACCTCCCTCTTGCTGTGTCTGCCCCGTCTCTGAGAAGCCTGGCGGCTTCTTAGCGTGGCTCAGTGTCTTCCACAAACAAGACTTCCCCGTCCATCAGGGAGAAACCTCGTGGCGGTCCGCGTCATGATTGTTTCCCTCTCCACACCTCTTTCTGGATGATTGGGCAGCTGTGGTGATCCTGGAGCTCTGGGCTTCCATACCTGTGTGGGACAGGGAAGCTCTCTCGGTCTCCATGGCCCAAGTGATGGCTGCACGCTCGGTCCAGGAAGAGGCGGAGGCAAGCCCACCGCTCCTGACATTGGCCTTCTAGGAAAGGCGGTGTTGCATCCCACCTGCACTTCCTCTCTGATTCTTGAGGGCCAACCGGTTCCTCCGCTCCTGGGGAAAGTGCCTTCTAGCACCGAATCTTTTGGCTGCCACGGATGTCAGGGAGCCAACGGGACTGGGTTTTGGCTGGGTGCAGGGGAGGTTGCGTCAGGGGTACCTAGCCGGCGGCGGGCTGGGGGTGGGGTGTACTTTGTCCAAACCTCTCGGCTCCTCTGGCGGGCCTCCCTGAACGTGGCGTGGACTCGCGCACAGGCCCTGTCTCGCAGGTTTTCAGGTGCGCTTGGCTTTTCCTCCGCTTTGTGGGGCAGGTCTCCAGTGGCCCCCCGGGCGCACGCCTGGACATCACTGTCCGTCTCGTCGTCGCCCCCTACGGCCTCAAAGACACACGCTACCTGCATGTGCTCTTGGGGGACGACAGTGCCACATGTGGACACGCTGGCACCAGCTCGGACTCGCCTCTGTCTCTCTTGGCCCGTGTCGCCGGAAGCCGCGTCGGGATGCCGGAGCCCTCGGGCCTTGGAGATGAAGGCAGGCCCCTGCTCCTGCCAGGAGGGAGGGAGGCAGTGGGCTCATGGGTCGGTGCCTTTGCAGCCGACAGCACGCCTTGCGGCCCTGGGGATCTTTCTGTGCCCCGGCGAGACCCTTTCGGCCTCACTGCATTGGAACCCCATTCCCGATCACCCGGTTGGATCCATCATCGGACCCCAAGAGGAGTCCGCGCAGCCCAGCCGGCATCCCGAAGCTCCTCCTTTCGCGGGAACCGAAGCAGAAGAGCGATCAAGGAGGTCCTCACCACAGGACTCCTATGGGTCCGACCCTGGGTCTCCCGCAGGCCCCTCTGGCAGTCCTCTTCCCACCCGCCGCCTCGGGCTGCGCCGCCACCGCCGCCGCCGCAACCTCCAGCACCGCCGCCCCAGGCCCCGCAGCCGCCGCGTCGCCGCCATTTTTTAAAGGGTCCGCAGCCTGACTCTGCGGAGTAAGGGGGGCTGGAGCGGGGGGAGTCGGCCTCGCCAGTGCGCATGCGCGAGGCCCAAGCCGCCGCTTGGGTCAAAGTGAAAGCCACCGTTGCCCGGGGATGGGTCCCTGACACTTGGCGAAGTAGGAGCCCTGTGTGATCGTGCGTCTGAGTCTGGGCTGAGACCAGTCCTGGCCAGGGCAGTTACCAGGACGGTCTCCGGAGGCCGGGATTCGCGGAGGGTCCACCAGCAGGAAGAAACCCCAAGAGGAAGAAACCTCAGACAGATCGCCGGCGAGGCAGCGCGGGATCCCAGCCTCAGGCGTGCGCGGACGGTGTGCGGGTGAGTCTCCCCAAAAGTGGAGCCCTTGTGATGACGAGCACAGGTCCGCCTGTGTGCCCGTGGGCTGCTCTCTCACCGGTGGCTCTTAGTCGCGGAGAGCAGAACCCGGCAGCTTCAGGGGCTGCCTGCGGGTGGGTGTTCCCTGCTGTACGTGTGTGTTCGTTATGGGTGTGTGTGTGTGTGTTGGGGGGGTGCGTCTGTGTGTGTGTCTGTGTGTGTGCGCGCGCAGTGCGTGTCTGTGTGCCGACTTCTGTGTCTCTCTCACGTCTCTCTCTGTCTCTCTCTCTCTCTCTCTCTCTCTCCCTTCTCGCTGTTTCCGTCGCCCTCTCTGTCTGTCTCTGTCCGTCTGTGTGTGCGTGCGCCTTGGGACACATGTGCCCTGTGCGCCGGAGGGTGGGTTTCTTGCACGTCGGCCTTTCTTCTGGTCAGCGTGTCCCCGCGTCTCTGCCTGGGTCGTGTGGCCGGTTGGCAGTCGTCGTCCCGGCAGTTCCAGTTTGGGGGTCTGTGAAGGCCTGGGCAACGTGGGCATCGGCGTCGAACCCGCAGGGGTTTTCATCCCCTCCACATCCGGAGCAGCCTCTTTGCTAGGCTGGATCCAGACGAGCGCTCCCCAACCAAGGACAACGGCCTCACAGGCGCTCATTGTCCACCCGCAGGAGGGTGCCCGCAGAGCTTCAAGAAGGTGGTTGTCACGCCTGTCGCCCTCTGCCCTCATCGAGAAATGTAGCCACAGCTCGACGCAGGGACGGAGAAGGAAGCCGGCAAGGGGATGGGGCAAGCATGTCTGTCTCTCAAAGGCTGGCCTTCCTGGCCGAGTCACCCGTTTGACAGTCCTCCCCGGATGCCGGTGGTGGTGGCATGGCCCCCCCGTATCCTGCCTGGGCTCTGGCCTCTGCTCTGACCTCCCTCTTGCTGTGTCTGCCCCGTCTCTGAGAAGCCTGGCGGCTTCTTAGCGTGGCTCAGTGTCTTCCACAAAGAAGACTTCCCCGTCCATCAGGGAGAAACCTCGTGGCGGTCCGCGTCATGATTGTTTCCCTCTCCACACCTCTTTCTGGATGACTGGGCAGCTGTGGTGATCCTGGAGCTCTGGGCTTCCATACCTGTGTGGGACAGGGAAGCTCTCTCGGTCTCCATGGCCCAAGTGATGGCTGCACGCTCGGTCCAGGAAGAGGCGGAGGCAAGCCCACCGCTCCTGACATTGGCCTTCTAGGAAAGGCGGTGTTGCATCCCACCTGCACTTCCTCTCTGATTCTTGAGGGCCAACCGGTTCCTCCGCTCCTGGGGAAAGTGCCTTCTAGCACCGAATCTTTTGGCTGCCACGGATGTCAGGGAGCCAACGGGACTGGGTTTTGGCTGGGTGCAGGGGAGTTTGCGTCAGGGGTACCTAGCCGGCGGCGGGCTGAGGGTGGGGTGTACTTTGTCCAAACGTCTCGGCTCCTCTGGCGGGCCTCCCTGAACGTGGCGTGGACTCGCGCACAGGCCCTGTCTCGCAGGTTTTCAGGTGCGCTTGGCTTTTCCTCCGCTTTGTGGGGCAGGTCTCCAGTGGCCCCCCGGGCGCACGCCTGGACATCACTGTCCGTCTCGTCGTTGCCCCCTACGGCCTCAAAGACACACGCGGCCTGCATGTGCTCTTGGGGGACGACAGTGCCACATGTGGACACACTGGCACCAGCTCGGACTCGCCTCTGTCTCTCTTTGCCCGTGTCGCCGGAAGCCGCGTCGGGATGCCGGAGCCCTCGGGCCTTGGAGATGAAGGCAGGCCCCTGCTCCTGCCAGGAGGGAGGGAGGCAGTGGGCTCATGGGTCGGTGCCTTTGCAGCCGACAGCACGCCTTGCGGCCCTGGGGATCTTTCTGTGCCCCGGCGAGACCCTTTCGGCCTCACTGCATTGGAACCCCATTCCCGATCACCCGGTTGGATCCATCATCGGACCCCAAGAGGAGTCCGCGCAGCCCAGCCGGCATCCCGAAGCTCCTCCTTCAGCGGGAACCGAAGCAGAAGAGCGATCAAGGAGGTCCTCACCACAGGACTCCTATGAGTCCGACCCTGGGTCTGCCGCAGGCCCCTCTGGCAGTCCTCTTCCCACCCGCCGCCTCGGGCTGCGCCGCCACCGCCGCCGCCGCAACCTCCAGCACCGCCGCCCCAGGCCCCGCAGCCGCCGCGTCGCCGCCATTTTTTAAAGGGTCCGCAGCCTGACTCTGCGGAGTAAGGGGGGGTGGAGCGGGGGAGTCGGCCTCGCCAGTGCGCATGCGCGAGGCCCAAGCCGCCGCTTGGGTCACAGTGAAAGCCACCGTTGCCCGGGGATGGGTCCCTGACACTTGGCGAAGTAGGAGCCCTGTGTGATCGTGCGTCTGAGTCTGGGCTGAGACCAGTCCTGGTCAGGGCAGTTACCAGGACGGTTTCCGGAGGCCGGGATTCGCGGAGGGTCCACCAGCAGGAAGAAACGCCAGGAGGAAGAAAACTCAGACAGATCGCCGGCGAGGCAGCGCGGCATCCCAGCCTCAGGCGTGCGCGGACGGTGTGCGGGTGAGTCTCCCCAAAAGTGGAGCCCTTGTGATGACGAGCACAGGTCCGCCTGTGTGCCCGTGGGCTGCTCTCTCACCGGTGGCTCTTAGTCGCGGAGAGCAGAACCCGGCAGCTTCAGGGGCTGCCTGCGGGTGGGTGTTCCCTGCTGTACGTGTGTGTTCGTTATGGGTGTGTGTGTGTGTGTTGGGGGGGTGCGTCTGTGTGTGTGTCTGTGTGTGTGCGCGCGCAGTGCGTGTCTGTGTGCCGACTTCTGACTCTCTCTCACCTCTCTCTCTCTCTCTCTCTCTCTCTCTCTCTCTCTCTCTCTCTCTCTCTCCCTTCTCGCTGTTTCCGTCGCCCTCTCTGTCTGTCTCTGTCCGTCTGTGTGTGCGTGCGCCTTGGGACACATGTGCCCTGTGCGCCGGAGGGTGGGTTTCTTGCACGTCGGCCTTTCTTCTGGTCAGCGTGTCCCCGCGTCTCTGCCTGGGTCGTGTGGCCGGTTGGCAGTCGTCGTCCCGGCAGTTCCAGTTTGGGGGTCTGTGAAGGCCTGGGCAACGTGGGCATCGGCGTCGAACCCGCAGGGGTTTTCATCCCCTCCCCATCCGGAGCAGCCTCTTTGCTAGGCTGGATCCAGACGAGCGCTCCCCAACCAAGGACAACGGCCTCCCAGGCGCTCATTGTCCACCCGCAGGAGGGTGCCCGCAGAGCTTCAAGAAGGTGGTTGTCACGCCTGTCGCCCTCTGCCCTCATCGAGAAATGTAGCCACAGCTCGACGCAGGGACGGAGAAGGAAGCCGGCAAGGGGATGGGGCAAGCATGTCTGTCTCTCAAAGGCTGGCCTTCCTGGCCGAGTCACCCGTTTGACACTCCTCCCCGGATGCCGGTGGTGGTGGCATGGCCCCCCCGTATCCTGCCTGGGCTCTGGCCTCTGCTCTGACCTCCCTCTTGCTGTGTCTGCCCCGTCTCTGAGAAGCCTGGCGGCTTCTTAGCGTGGCTCAGTGTCTTCCACAAACAAGACTTCCCCGTCCATCAGGGAGAAACCTCGTGGCGGTCCGCGTCATGATTGTTTCCCTCTCCACACCTCTTTCTGGATGATTGGGCAGCTGTGGTGATCCTGGAGCTCTGGGCTTCCATACCTGTGTGGGACAGGGAAGCTCTCTCGGTCTCCATGGCCCAAGTGATGGCTGCACGCTCGGTCCAGGAAGAGGCGGAGGCAAGCCCACCGCTCCTGACATTGGCCTTCTAGGAAAGGCGGTGTTGCATCCCACCTGCACTTCCTCTCTGATTCTTGAGGGCCAACCGGTTCCTCCGCTCCTGGGGAAAGTGCCTTCTAGCACCGAATCTTTTGGCTGCCACGGATGTCAGGGAGCCAACGGGACTGGGTTTTGGCTGGGTGCAGGGGAGGTTGCGTCAGGGGTACCTAGCCGGCGGCGGGCTGGGGGTGGGGTGTACTTTGTCCAAACGTCTCGGCTCCTCTGGCGGGCCTCCCTGAACGTGGCGTGGACTCGCGCACAGGCCCTGTCTCGCAGGTTTTCAGGTGCGCTTGGCTTTTCCTCCGCTTTGTGGGGCAGGTCTCCAGTGGCCCCCCGGGCGCACGCCTGGACATCACTGTCCGTCTCGTCGTCGCCCCCTACGGCCTCAAAGACACACGCTGCCTGCATGTGCTCTTGGGGGACGACAGTGCCACATGTGGACACGCTGGCTCCAGCTCGGACTCGCCTCTGTCTCTCTTTGCCCGTGTCGCCGGAAGCCGCGTCGGGATGCCGGAGCCCTCGGGCCTTGGAGATGAAGGCAGGCCCCTGCTCCTGCCAGGAGGGAGGGAGGCAGTGGGCTCATGGGTCGGTGCCTTTGCAGCCGACAGCACGCCTTGCGGCCCTGGGGATCTTTCTGTGCCCCGGCGAGACCCTTTCGGCCTCACTGCATTGGAACCCCATTCCCGATCACCCGGTTGGATCCATCATCGGACCCCAAGAGGAGTCCGCGCAGCCCAGCCGGCATCCCGAAACTCCTCCTTCAGCGGGAACCGAAGCAGAAGAGCGATCAAGGAGGTCCTCACCACAGGACTCCTATGGGTCCGACCCTGGGTCTCCCGCAGGCCCCTCTGGCAGTCCTCTTCCCACCCGCCGCCTCTGGCTGTGCCGCCGCCGCCGCCGACGTAACCTCCAGCACCGCCGCCCCAGGCCCCGCAGCCGCCGCGTCGCCGCCATTTTTTAAAGGGTCCGCAGCCTGACTCTGCGGAGTAAGGGGGGGTGGAGCGGGGGAGTCGGCCTCGCCAGTGCGCATGCGCGAGGCCCGAGCCGCCGCTTGGGCCACAGTGAAAGCCACCGTTGCCCGGGGATGGGTCCCTGACACTTGGCGAAGTAGCAGCCCTGTGTGATCGTGCGTCTGAGTCTGGGCTGAGACCAGTCCTGGCCAGGGTAGTTACCAGGACGGTCTCCGGAGGCCGGGATTCGCGGAGGGTCCACCAGCAGGAAGAAACCCCAGGAGGAAGAAACCTCAGACAGATCGCCGGCGAGGCAGCGCGGGATCCCAGCCTCAGGCGTGCGCGGACGGTGTGCGGGTGAGTCTCCCCAAAAGTGGAGCCCTTGTGATGACGAGCACAGGTCCGCCTGTGTGCCCGTGGGCTGCTCTCTCACCGGTGGCTCTTAGTCGCGGAGAGCAGAACCCGGCAGCTTCAGGGGCTGCCTGCGGGTGGGTGTTCCCTGCTGTACGTGTGTGTTCGTTATGGGTGTGTGTGTGTGTGTTGGGGGGATGCGTCTGTGTGTGTGTCTGTGTGTGTGCGCGCGCAGTGCGTGTCTGTGTGCCGACTTCTGTCTCTCTCTCTCTCTCTCTCTCTCTCTCTCTCTCTCTCTCTCTGTCTCTCTCCCTTCTCGCTCTTTCGGTCGCCCTCTCTTTCTGTCTCTGTCCGTCTGTGTATGCGTGCGCCTTGGGACACATGGGCCCTGTGCGCCGGAGGGTGGATTTCTTGCACGTCGGCCTTTCTTCTGGTCAGCGTCTCCCCGCGTCTCTGCCTGGGTCGTGTGGCCGGTTGGCAGTCGTCGTCCCGGCGGTTCCAGTTTGGGGGTCTGTGAAGGCCTGGGCAACGTGGGCATGGGTGTCGGACCCGCAGGGTTTTCATCCCCTCCCCATCCGGAGCAGCCTCTTTGCTAGGCTGGATCCAGACGAGCGCTCCCCAACCAAGGACAACGGCCTCCCAGGCGCTCATTGTCCACCCGCAGGAAGGGTGCCCGCAGAGCTTCAAGAAGGTGGTTGTCACGCCTGTCGCCCTCTGCCCTCATCGAGAAATGTAGCCACAGCTCGACGCAGGGACGGAGAAGGAAGCCGGCAAGGGGATGGGGCAAGCATGTCTGTCTCTCAAAGGCTGGCCTTCCTGGCCGAGTCACCCGTTTGACACTCCTCCCCGGATGCCGGTGGTGGTGGCATGGCCCCCCCGTATCCTGCCTGGGCTCTGGCCTCTGCTCTGACCTCCCTCTTGCTGTGTCTGCCCCGTCTCTGAGAAGCCTGGCGGCTTCTTAGTGTGGCTCAGTGTCTTCCACAAACAAGACTTCCCCGTCCATCAGGGAGAAACCTCGTGGCGGTCCGCGTCATGATTGTTTCCCTCTCCACACCTCTTTCTGGATGATTGGGCAGCTGTGGTGATCCTGGAGCTCTGGGCTTCCATACCTGTGTGGGACAGGGAAGCTCTCTCGGTCTCCATGGCCCAAGTGATGGCTGCACGCTCGGTCCAGGAAGAGGCGGAGGCAAGCCCACCGCTCCTGACATTGGCCTTCTAGGAAAGGCGGTGTTGCATCCCACCTGCACTTCCTCTCTGATTCTTGAGGGCCAACCGGTTCCTCCGCTCCTGGGGAAAGTGCCTTCTAGCACCGAATCTTTTGGCTGCCACGGATGTCAGGGAGCCAACGGGACTGGGTTTTGGCTGGGTGCAGGGGAGGTTGCGTCAGGGGTACCTAGCCGGCGGCGGGCTGGGGGTGGGGTGTACTTTGTCCAAACCTCTCGGCTCCTCTGGCGGGCCTCCCTGAACGTGGCGTGGACTCGCGCACAGGCCCTGTCTCGCAGGTTTTCAGGTGCGCTTGGCTTTTCCTCCGCTTTGTGGGGCAGGTCTCCAGTGGCCCCCCGGGCGCACGCCTGGACATCACTGTCCGTCTCGTCGTCGCCCCCTACGGCCTCAAAGACACACGCTACCTGCATGTGCTCTTGGGGGACGACAGTGCCACATGTGGACACGCTGGCACCAGCTCGGACTCGCCTCTGTCTCTCTTGGCCCGTGTCGCCGGAAGCCGCGTCGGGATGCCGGAGCCCTCGGGCCTTGGAGATGAAGGCAGGCCCCTGCTCCTGCCAGGAGGGAGGGAGGCAGTGGGCTCATGGGTCGGTGCCTTTGCAGCCGACAGCACGCCTTGCGGCCCTGGGGATCTTTCTGTGCCCCGGCGAGACCCTTTCGGCCTCACTGCATTGGAACCCCATTCCCGATCACCCGGTTGGATCCATCATCGGACCCCAAGAGGAGTCCGCGCAGCCCAGCCGGCATCCCGAAGCTCCTCCTTTCGCGGGAACCGAAGCAGAAGAGCGATCAAGGAGGTCCTCACCACAGGACTCCTATGGGTCCGACCCTGGGTCTCCCGCAGGCCCCTCTGGCAGTCCTCTTCCCACCCGCCGCCTCGGGCTGCGCCGCCACCGCCGCCGCCGCAACCTCCAGCACCGCCGCCCCAGGCCCCGCAGCCGCCGCGTCGCCGCCATTTTTTAAAGGGTCCGCAGCCTGACTCTGCGGAGTAAGGGGGGCTGGAGCGGGGGGAGTCGGCCTCGCCAGTGCGCATGCGCGAGGCCCAAGCCGCCGCTTGGGTCAAAGTGAAAGCCACCGTTGCCCGGGGATGGGTCCCTGACACTTGGCGAAGTAGGAGCCCTGTGTGATCGTGCGTCTGAGTCTGGGCTGAGACCAGTCCTGGCCAGGGCAGTTACCAGGACGGTCTCCGGAGGCCGGGATTCGCGGAGGGTCCACCAGCAGGAAGAAACCCCAAGAGGAAGAAACCTCAGACAGATCGCCGGCGAGGCAGCGCGGGATCCCAGCCTCAGGCGTGCGCGGACGGTGTGCGGGTGAGTCTCCCCAAAAGTGGAGCCCTTGTGATGACGAGCACAGGTCCGCCTGTGTGCCCGTGGGCTGCTCTCTCACCGGTGGCTCTTAGTCGCGGAGAGCAGAACCCGGCAGCTTCAGGGGCTGCCTGCGGGTGGGTGTTCCCTGCTGTACGTGTGTGTTCGTTATGGGTGTGTGTGTGTGTGTTGGGGGGATGCGTCTGTGTGTTTGTCTGTGTGTGTGCGCGCGCAGTGCGTGTCTGTGTGCCGACTTCTGTCTCTCTCTCACGTCTCTCTCTCTCTCTCTCTCTCTCTCTCTCTCTCTCTCTCTTTGTCTCTCTCCCTTCTCGCTCTTTCGGTCGCCCTCTCTTTCTGTCTCTGTCCGTCTGTGTGTGCGTGCGCCTTGGGACACATGGGCCCTGTGCGCCGGAGGGTGGGTTTCTTGCACGTCGGCCTTTCTTCTGGTCAGCGTGTCCCCGCGTCTCTGCCTGGGTCGTGTGGCCGGTTGGCAGTCGTGGTCCCGGCAGTTCCAGTTTGGGGGTCTGTGAAGGCCTGGGCAACGTGGGCATCGGCGTCGAACCCGCAGGGGTTTTCATCCCCTCCCCATCCGGAGCAGCCTCTTTGCTAGGCTGGATCCAGACGAGCGCTCCCCAACCAAGGACAACGGCCTCCCAGGCGCTCATTGTCCACCCGCAGGAGGGTGCCCGCAGAGCTTCAAGAAGGTGGTTGTCACGCCTGTCGCCCTCTGCCCTCATCGAGAAATGTAGCCACAGCTCGACGCAGGGACGGAGAAGGAAGCCGGCAAGGGGATGGGGCAAGCATGTCTGTCTCTCAAAGGCTGGCCTTCCTGGCCGAGTCACCCGTTTGACACTCCTCCCCGGATGCCGGTGGTGGTGGCATGGCCCCCCCGTATCCTGCCTGGGCTCTGGCCTCTGCTCTGACCTCCCTCTTGCTGTGTCTGCCCCGTCTCTGAGAAGCCTGGCGGCTTCTTAGCGTGGCTCAGTGTCTTCCACAAAGAAGACTTCCCCGTCCATCAGGGAGAAACCTCGTGGCGGTCCGCGTCATGATTGTTTCCCTCTCCACACCTCTTTCTGGATGATTGGGCAGCTGTGGTGATCCTGGAGCTCTGGGCTTCCATACCTGTGTGGGACAGGGAAGCTCTCTCGGTCTCCATGGCCCAAGTGATGGCTGCACGCTCGGTCCAGGAAGAGGCGGAGGCAAGCCCACCGCTCCTGACATTGGCCTTCTAGGAAAGGCGGTGTTGCATCCCACCTGCACTTCCTCTCTGATTCTTGAGGGCCAACCGGTTCCTCCGCTCCTGGGGAAAGTGCCTTCTAGCACCGAATCTTTTGGCTGCCACGGATGTCAGGGAGCCAACGGGACTGGGTTTTGGCTGGGTGCAGGGGAGGTTGCGTCAGGGGTACCTAGCCGGCGGCGGGCTGGGGGTGGGGTGTACTTTGTCCAAACCTCTCGGCTCCTCTGGCGGGCCTCCCTGAACGTGGCGTGGACTCGCGCACAGGCCCTGTCTCGCAGGTTTTCAGGTGCGCTTGGCTTTTCCTCGCTTTGTGGGGCCGGTCTCCAGTGGCCCCCCGGGCGCACGCCTGGACATCACTGTCCGTCTTGTCGTCGCCCCCTACAGCCTCAAAGACACAGGCTGCCTGCATGTGCTCTTGGGGGACGACAGTGCCACATGTGGACACGCTGGCTCCAGCTCGGACTCGCCTCTGTCTCTCTTTGCCCGTGTCGCCGGAAGCCGCGTCGGGATGCCGGAGCCCTCGGGCCTTGGAGATGAAGGCAGGCCCCTGCTCCTGCCAGGAGGGAGGGAGGCAGTGGGCTCATGGGTCGGTGCCTTTGCAGCCGACAGCACGCCTTGCGGCCCTGGGGATCTTTCTGTGCCCCGGCGAGACCCTTTCGGCCTCACTGCATTGGAACCCCATTCCCGATCACCCGGTTGGATCCATCATCGGACCCCAAGAGGAGTCCGCGCAGCCCAGCCGGCATCCCGAAACTCCTCCTTCAGCGGGAACCGAAGCAGAAGAGCGATCAAGGAGGTCCTCACCACAGGACTCCTATGGGTCCGACCCTGGGTCTCCCGCAGGCCCCTCTGGCAGTCCTCTTCCCACCCGCCGCCTCTGGCTGTGCCGCCGCCGCCGCCGACGCAACCTCCAGCACCGCCGCCCCAGGCCCCGCAGCCGCCGCGTCGCCGCCATTTTTTAAAGGGTCCGCAGCCTGACTCTGCGGAGTAAGGGGGGGTGGAGCGGGGGAGTCGGCCTCGCCAGTGCGCATGCGCGAGGCCCGAGCCGCCGCTTGGGCCACAGTGAAAGCCACCGTTGCCCGGGGATGGGTCCCTGACACTTGGCGAAGTAGCAGCCCTGTGTGATCGTGCGTCTGAGTCTGGGCTGAGACCAGTCCTGGCCAGGGTAGTTACCAGGACGGTCTCCGGAGGCCGGGATTCGCGGAGGGTCCACCAGCAGGAAGAAACCCCAGGAGGAAGAAACCTCAGACAGATCGCCGGCGAGGCAGCGCGGGATCCCAGCCTCAGGCGTGCGCGGACGGTGTGCGGGTGAGTCTCCCCAAAAGTGGAGCCCTTGTGATGACGAGCACAGGTCCGCCTGTGTGCCCGTGGGCTGCTCTCTCACCGGTGGCTCGTAGTCGCGTAACGCAGAAGTAGCAGTTTCAGCGGCTGACACTAAGAACAATGCATACTGGCAAAGTGAGGTGTCTCACATCTTTAATCCCAGCAATTTGGGAGGCTGAGGCGGATGGATCACTTGAGGTCAGGGGATCACACCAGCCTAACCAACATGATGAAACTCCGCGTCTACTAAAAAAAAGTACCAGACAGTTAGCGCGGTGTGGTGGCATATGCCTGTAAATCCCAGCTATTTGGGAGGCTGAGGCAGGAGAATCGGTTGAACCCGTGTGGCAGAGGTTGCGGTGAGTGTAGATTGCACCACTGCACTCTAGCCTGGGTAACAAGCACAAAACTGTCTCAAAAAAAAAAAAAAAATTCATCAGTGCAGAGTTAGGCCAGATTCATTTTCAGAGTAGGAGGGAATTTCAAATTTTGGGTGAAATGTCCCAACTGCCGGAAGGTGAAAGTGTTCTGTGATGTAAAATTTAGGTCACACTCTATAAAGCTTCTCCTTATTCTATGTGTGAACAGCTAGTCTGTATCTTCACCTATGCATATTTAAAAATCAACCTTAAGAAGGCTCTTGGCCACCATAATCCTTCCTACCCTGTAGCAAGAGCCCAGCCTCAGACTATGCTTCCTTCTGCCTCCGAGTGCAATGCCTTCCCCCGAATCTCCAAGGTACCAAACCGGTCAGGGGCAGCTGAGACAGCTCTACTTGTACGAGTCCTCCCCAAGCCCTTGAAATCACAGGCATCTCTGCTGTCCCTGCCCTTCATCCACATCACTGAACAATTAAGCACACACATCTGTGTAGTTTTATTTAAACTGTTCCATGTGTGTTTGTTTACAATTAACAACATGAATGACTGCAGGATGGATGCAGCAGAAAGGAATGCTGAGGGAGGACTCCAGTTGGAATGAGCCACTTTTCCAGGACTAGGAATGAACTTTCCCCAATACCAACAAGGCAGCCTCCAGGGCAAGAAATGGTAACAGAATCCATCCTGTTGACAGTCAAGATGGAATTACAGAGAATTCTCACCTCTTTTTTGACTCTCAGGTGGAAACCCCCTTCCCATGGGGTGAAGCGCAGTCTGCTCCAGAGACCCACTGTTAGGGTCGGGGATGTCACAGAAATTAACAGGGCAGCCAATTCCCATCCAGAGGGGCCCAGGATGACCCCGAACCCTCTAGCTCAGCCCCAAGCTCGGGCCAGGGAGTGAAGCCTTTGTCCCCAAGCAACAGAGTGAGGGTCTGTCTCTAACCCGGTGGGCTCCAGTGAAAGGAAAATGGCCTGGAGGTGCCCACAGGAGGGCGCCCTAGTTCTGAGACAGGTCTACGGCTCCCAGACTGTGTCCCCATGAGTAACAGAGGGACACGCAGAGGGGCATACTGAGTGCCTATAGGGGACTCACAGACTGCAGATGCACGCTGCGGATCCAGAAGCCGGTCAGGTAATGAGGTGCAGAGGTGTGGGGAAGACCTGGGTGCCTCCCTGGGTGCCAACCAGCCTAACCAGCCGGGGCCACCAAACAGAAGTGCTTCTGACATTAACGCGACACACAGAAGGTGTGTAGGGTGGGTAGTGGAAGTGACCGCAGAGGCCTCTGGGGATTGTAGTTTTGGAGCTAGAGAGGCAGGCAAGCAGTTGGGTTCGCCCACACGGTGTGCCTCTCACATCTGCACAGCGCACACAACCAAGCTTAGGAGCCGACTGTTAAGATGCCCCAGTGACACGGACAAGTTTCTCCTCTGCAACCCAATGAGAGCTGCTGACCACGAGAGCATCGCGGGACCGCCAAAGGATTCTGGAAAATGTGGTCCCGGGTGGCCAGTGTGCGCTGACCTTCACCTGAAGGTGAGCTGAGCTCACCATGCAAGTCTCCACCCTGGGGTGCCCTTCCCCAAGCAGATGCCAGGTTGGGGCAGAAGCAGTTCAGGGAGAAGCGATGCGCTCCTGGGACTGCCGGTTTGGGGGCAACATCGGCCCTGTGTCCCCTAGAGTAGGAGGGTGTACCAGGATGGGGAACCCCAAGGCCGTTTTCAGGGAGAACAAGATTGGCTTGAGGCAAACTCCCGGAATGGAGATGGGGAGAGTCTGGTCGCATTTCCCCAGGAGTTTAGGGGATGAAGGCTGGACTTGGGTGAACAGCAAAAGATCCCCTGGTGATAGTGGTGGTGAGGATCAGAGGCTTGAGCCAGAAATTCCCGAGGTGTTTGTTTGTTTTGTTTTTTTTGAGACAGAGTCTTGATCTGTCTCCCAGGATGTAGTGCAATGGCATGCTCTTGGCTCATTGCAACCTCCGCCTCCCAGGTTCAAGCGATTCTCCTGCCTCAGCCTCCCAAGTAGCTGAGATTATAGGCACCTGCCACTGTGCCCACCTAAATTTTTTTTGTTTTTTTGTATTTTTAGTAGAGACGATGTTTCACCACATTGCCCAGCCTGGTCTCGAACTCCTGACCTCAAGTGATCCACCTGCCTCGGCCTCCCAAAGTGCTGGGATTACAGGCATGAGCCCCCACACCCAGCTCATTTTTATCTTTTAACTTAAAGGTTTTTATTTTTCTCTATTTTTACTCTTACAGGTACGGCTTGAAGGAAACTTCTGGAGGGTGGGGTGGTGTTGAAGAGAAGGCACAATTGTCACCATTTTGTTCAACATGGGCGTTTTCTTTGTGCATTGATTTGCATTTTTAAAGGTATTCCATTAAAAATATGTTTATCTATTTTAATGTTTTTTTGGTGCCCCTTTAAATTCTCTATCCACAGTCCTGAGCCTTAATACGAAGTGAGGGCCTGGCCTCTGGGCATCAAGCAGCCAGAAAGTCCCTTAGGAGCTTTCTCTGAATTGTTGAATTGTGACTGATCTTTTCCTTTCCTGACTTCCTTAATATCCACAATTTCCTCGTAACCATCCCCCCAAAGCCACACCCACAAGGCACCTCCAAGACCTATCATGAAGCAGATATTCAAAGATTATTTGTAAATCTTCACACCCCACCCCTTCCAGAATGTCTTCCAACATCCCTTCGCCTGGAGAAATAAAACACAAGGTTTGCATGTTGAGTATCAGCCTCTCCCATTGGGTGGGTGTTTAGGAAAAAGAATCAGCCAAGAGCCCTATTCCAGCCCAGGTAAATGACTTTGCCAAAGATTTAATATCCACAAATGTACAATGCTCACTGGGAACCAAAGTCAGGCATGGGGCTGGGCTTTAAGGACCACAAACAAAAAGGAGGGACTAGAAAACTTCAGAAAGGTATTGGTGTGGGATGTTGTGGGGGGACAGGGGACAGCGAGGATGTGGGATCCCGAGATCATCCAAATCCCTATGTGTAGACATATGTGTATAAAGGCCTTTAAGAGACTCAGGCTGATGGGGTATCTGTAATAAATCAAACATAATATAACAGCACGTCAAGTGATAAGGGGACTCTGGAAAAACAAGCAGCAAAAGGAGCAGTATCAAACTCCACAGAAATTCACAAACATCAAGACACCAAGAAAGCTGCATTCATTTAAATCAAGGTGACAGGCTGGGCTCCGTAGCTCCAGCCTGTAATCCTAGCACTTTGGGAGGCCAAGGTGGGCAGATCATTTGAGGTTCAAGACCAGCCTGGCCATTATGGTGAAAGCTCCTCTCTACTAAAAATACAAAAATTAGCTGGGCATGTTGGTGGGTGCCTGTAATCCCAGCTAAAGAGGCTGAGGCAGGAGAATCACTCTGAACCTGGGAGGCAGAGGTTGTAGTGAGCAGAGATCACGCCATTGCACTCCGGCCTCGGGGACAGAACCAAACTCCATCTCAAGTAAATCAATAAATCAAAGGTGACAGTTATTGAGTGATGCGGGCCAGGTACAATGATATACCTTCATCTGGATTACCCTCGTGAATCTGAATCACTTGTGTGATACCTGTGCTTTAACGAGTCCTATTTCCCATACTCTTAGCTGGCTTGAGATGTGAAAATCCACCTAAATTATAAACAGAGGGAAAAAAAAAAAAAAAACTAGTGATGTCCTTCCAGGGAACATGTCTAGTTAAAATTAACATAGATAAAAATCGGCAAAAAGATATTTTAAAAAATCTTTTGAAATTAAAAGCCATATAAACCACTGTGTCAATGATGAATTAAAAGAAGAAACTGACCTGCAAACCAGGAAATACATGGAAAGAAGCAATAGTGAAAATGCTTCAGATCTAAACCTGTGGAATGAGGCTACCTCAGTGTCCAAAAATATCATCACTTAAATATAGTGCCAAGGGGTGGGGTGCGGTGACTCACCCCTGTAATCCCAGTATTTTGGGAGGCCAAGGCGGGCGGATCACTTGAGGTCAAGAGTTCGAGACCAACCTGGCTGACATGGTGAAATGCCGTCTCTGCTAAAAATACAAAAATTAGCTGGGTGTGGTGGCAGGCACCCATAATCCCAGCTACTCAGGAGGCTGAGGAAAGAGAACTGCTTGAGCCCGGGAACCGGAGGTTGCAGTGAGCTGAGATGGCACCACTGTACTACAGCCTGGGTGATAGAGCGAGACTCTGTCTCAAAAACAAAAAATTTCCAATGAATAAACTACCTAGCAAGACTTATAGAATGAGACTAAAACCATGGCTGGAGGAAAACTTTTAGCCTGAAAGTAGCCTATGACTTAGAAATTAAGGCAAAAAACTAAGGAGTAAGAAGTTACCCTTCAGGTTAGAAAACCAACAGCATAACAGGAAATGAGAGAGGGAGGAAATAATCAGATGGGGCTGAGATGGGGGCTTCTGGGGATGAAGGAGGCAGGAAGAGCATGTGAAGTTTGTGCATAAAGTCACTCCCTAAGGACAGTCCCTGGGAGGAAGGTGGGTGCACAACGATCGAGCTAGATGTAGAAGGTCTAGAAGTCAATCCTGGAGGGTACATTCAGGGGTTGACAGCAGATAAGAAAACAGGAGGGAAAGTCAAGCGTGGAGCCTTTCCTGTCCCCAGCATGGAAGACAGCAGGAGCTGGTGAGTGAAAGTGATAAACAGCCTTCTCATCACAAAAAAAGTCAAGTACTTGAGGTAACGGATAGGTTAATTTGATTCTCATTCCACACTGTATTGAAAAATCACAACATCATTTTATACCCCATAAATATATACAATTTAGAAGATACATAAAAACCAGCAAGAAAAAAATGAAAAACTATTCTTTGAAGTATTTTTAAAACATGCAGTTTATGGGGTACAATCCAATTTGTCTATATATACATATATTTTTTTTAAACAGGGAGTCAATAAATACAGGAAACAGCCCCTTGGGAGGGAGATAAGGAAAATGGCCATAATGTGCCCTTAGAAAGACACAGCATTTAAATCCATGCATGTGAGAACTCCAGGGTTCAAGGTAAGACCAGGTCAGTGAAGAACAGCCGGCTTATCACCTATAGCCACAGGATGGCACCAACACCCACTGCTCCAGCCTGAGCTGGCCAGAGAGAGAGAACATTCAAGAAAAGCTGGGACTTCCCAGAAGGCCTGAGACCTGCAGGTCCCACACTGAAGTCCAGTGAGGGAGGAAGGTATGATATGAGGTGAAAAAAATACCATAGAGGTGTAGCTGAAATGAAACATTTAATAGTTATTAAATAGTCATTGTACTTCAGGTAAAAGTAGGTAAAATGACAGAAAATGAGAGGAATGAGCCAGACACCACAGATATGTAATGATGGACAATGACCTGATGTGGAGTGTTCACCCACACATGCAGACTTTATATGTTCACATAAACATTTATCTGCATGCATCACCCCGTAGAGATGTTTACACAAACTGCACTGACACTGTGAAGTCAACGAGGAGATAAAGTAAAAATCAAATAGTTATGGAGAGGGTTGGTCTGTTTAGTGGGAAACCCTTCAGAACACGCACACAGCATCTCCCCTCCCTTCTGAATACCATCCATAGCCTGCAGTAGATGGCAAATCACAGCCTGGGCCACCCTTCCCAGAATGTCACAAACATGGACATGCAGACCACAGAATTCACCAGATACCCAACTTGGGTGGTGCCGGGCTCTGAAAGACATGCTTCAAGTAAGAGGGACTAGAAAACTCCGCCAGGGAGCAACAGGGATCAGGGATTCCAGGAGGATCCAGGGGCCTGTGCAAAGAGCAAGCAGTGAGCAGACGTGTGTGTCAGTGATCCGGTGGCATGAACTCAACACCATCTAATACAGCAGCTCACATTTCTGTGTGCATCAGACTCACCTGGGGACTTGTTAAACACAGATTGTTGGGTCTCACTCCTAGAGTTTCTTCTTCAGTATTCTGGGGAGCAGCCTGTGAATCTGTATTTCCAGCATGACTTTCAGGTGCTATTGATACTGTTGGTCCAAGGACCACACTATGATCTAATTTAGCACCAGGTTAGGGGAGGAACTAAGGAGCAAAGAAGCAACAGAAGAAGGGACCTGAAGCCTGTAGGGGCTTCTCTGTAAACTCCTCAAACAAAAGCCTTCAAGACATTCAAAAAACATTTACAGCATCATGTCTACAAATACAAGGCACCACGCAGGGAGTGCTCCATCAAGTAGAGAGAAGAGCCCACTGAGTGTCCCTCTCTTAGTCCGTTTGTGTTGCTATAACAGAATACCACAGACTGGGTGATTTATAAGCAAGAGTTCACTTGGTTTACGGTTCTGAACACTGGGAAAGTGAGGGGCCTGCATCTGGTGAAGGTCTCACTGTGCCGTCCTATGGTGGAAGGTGGAAGGGCAAGAGAGTGACCACATGTGAAGGGGGGAGGGGGAAAGAGAAAGGGAAGGAAGCCAACCTCATCCTTTTATCAGGAACCCCCTCCCAAGATAACTAACCCACTCTAGCTTCATCCATTCATGAGGGCAGAGCCTTCATGACCTAATCACCTCTTAAAGGTTCCACTGGTCAACACTGTTGCATTAGGGGTTGAGTTTCCAACACATGAACTTCGGGGAACACATTCAAACCACAGCAGTCCTCATGTAAACCTTCCAGAAAACCTGTGTGCCTGGCACTCTGGAATCCCTCTTTTCCACCCCTTCTCACTGCAACTCTAACATCATGTCCCCTCATCATTTTCCATTCGAGCATAGGAAAGAACACAATCACTACACCCATTTTTGATGAACCTTTCCTACATTAAAATAATTCTATCACTCAGATAGAAATTTGAAATGAGAATATAGTTTAATGGAAATCCTAAAATACACAGAAAATAAAAATAATCACCAAAAATGTTCAATGAAGCAAAGCAACACATAGAGATCTTATATCCTAAAATATATAGACCTAAATATGTCATTTTAAAAATCAAGGAAGAAACATAAGGAGCTCTATACACACCTTTAAAAATATGCTGTCTAGAATTAATTTGGAATTCTGTTAAGATACATTTTACTAGGAAAAGTATCTAAGTCATTAATGTATCAAAGAAAACAATCATTCTTGTATTGCAAATAAATGCCCAACCAAGACAAAAAGGCATGTCACATCTTATGGGAAAAGACTGAAATGAGGGTGAGAGGAAAACTGTGACCTTTGAATGTAAGACAGAAAAAAATCAGGCCAGAATGTTAAGGAATTGGAAATGATTCTCCAAATTAAAGGAATATGAGACAGAAAGAGAGGAGAGAGGGAGGCGATAGTCCTCCAGGGGCTACTCCAGGGGTGTGGGGGTATCTCCCTTTCAAGGGGCTGTTTCCTGTGTTAACTGACTCCCCATAAAAAAAAATTATATATACTAACAAATGATATTGTACCCCATAAATTGTACATGTTTGCTTAAAAATATTTCAAAGAATTGTTTTGGCTGATTTTTATCTATCTTCTAAATTATATATATTTATGGGGTATAAAATGATGGTATGACTTTTCATTACGATGTGGAATGATGAAATCAAATTAACCAACCCATTACCTCAAATACTTGACTTTTTTTTGTGATGAGAATGCTGTTTAATCACTTTCATCACCACCTGCTGATGTCATCCATGCTAGGGACAGGAAAGCCTCCACACTCCCAGTAGACTCCCTCCAATAGACATCAGGGGTGTGGGGTAGATGGGAATAAAGGAGGCAGAGAGAGCAGTGGGGATGTACATAAAATCACCGTTCAGAGCTGCGCTGTCCAATAAGGCAGCCACTGCCACATGTGGCTGCTGAGCACTTGAAAGATTGCTAAGGCCAAGTGCGGTGACTCGCGCCTGTAATCCCAGCACTTTGGGAGGCCAAGCCAGATGGATCACTTGACGTCAGGAGTTCGAGACCAGCCTGGCCAACATGGTGAAACCCTATGTATACAAAAAATACAAAAAATTGGCCAGGTGTGGTGGCGTGTACCTGTAGTCCCAGCTAATAGGGAAGCTGAGGTGGGAAAAATCACTGGAACCTGGAAGGCAGAGGTTGCAGTGAGCCAAGATCATACCACTGCAGCCTGGGTGACAGAGTGAGACCCTATCACCCTATCTCAAAAAAAAAAGGCTTGGCGCAGTGGCTCACACCTGTAATCCCAGCACTTTGGGAGGCCGAGGTGGGTGGATCAGCTGAGGTCAGGAGTTCAAGACCAGCCTGGCCAACATAGTGAAACCCTGTCTCTACTAAAAATACAAAAAAATTAGCTAGGCATGGTGGTGCACGCCTGTAGTCCCAGCTACTTGGGAGGCTGAGACAGGAAAATCACTTAAACCTGGGAGGCGGAGGTTGCAATGAGCTGAGATCATGCCATTGCACTCCACCCTGGGTGACAGAGTGAGATTTCCTCTCAAAAAAAAAAAAAAAAGAAAAAAGAAAAAAAAGAAAAACAAACAAACAAAAAAGAAAAACAATTAGCTGGGCATGGTGGTGTGTGCCTGTAGTCCTAACTACTAGGAAGGCTGAGGCAGGAGGATCTCGAGCCCAGGAGTTTGAGGCTGCAGTGAGCTATGCTGGTGCCACTGCATTCCAGCCTGGGCCAAAAAAAAAGCAAGAGCCCATCTCAAAAAAGAGGAAGAATGCAAACTATCTCATTAATAATTTTTATTTTGATAAGACGTTGAAGTGATATTCTGGATAATACTAACATTTTAGGTGAAATAAAACACATTATTAATTTCACCTGCTCCCTTTTAACTTTTCTTTCTTTTCTTTTTTTTGTGTGAGACAAAGTCTTGCTCTGTTGCCAAGGTTGGATTGCAGTGGTGCACATGACCTCGGCTCACTGCAGCCTCCACCTCCCAGAATCAAGTGATTCTCATGTCTCAGCCTACTCGGGAGGCTGTAATCCCAGGCACCTGCTACCATACCCGGCTAATTTTTGTATTTTTAGTAGTGACGGGGTTTCACCATGTTGGCCAGGCTGGTCTCGAACTCCTGACCTCAGCTAATCTGCCCACCTCAGCCTCCCAAAGTGCTGGGATTACAGGTGTGAGCTACCATGCCCAGCCTCTTTTTAACTTTTCTAAAGTGACTACTAGAAAATCTAAAATGACGTATGTGTCTGGCATTGTATTTCTATTGGAAAGCACTGCTCTAGAGAGAAATGGTCTCTAGGGAGGCAGAAACATGAGAAACACAAGAGAGGTGGATGGAGGGAAGTGACAGACACATCTGGTGGGTACCTTCAGGTGTTGACAGCAGGAACCCAGGAGATTCAGCAGGGGGACAGGCCCCCATCTATGCACAGCAGGAGAGTAGCATGGCTGATGCTAGGGGTGCTAAGCTGACATACAGAAGTATTCAGCTTTATAAACGTGAAAAACACACCGGTAAGTCACATCCCACAGAACAAATCATAATAGAAATGAAAAAACACTAAGGAACAAATGAAATGATATATAAATATCCAGTACAAAAACTAGCTGGCTTAAGAGACAGGCCCCTTCTCTCCAATATAAGTTCAAATTATAAGAGAAATGAGGGTCCAAATCAAAAAGCCAAGATTGCTGTGATGGTTCATTTTGAAGCAGGAACGTCAATTCCATGCTGGGGTTGAAGGTGCCCTCTACTGTTCCCGCTGTTCTTTGCCCTTTTTGAGGAAAACTGCCTTTCCTGTTAAGTTAGAAATCTGTAGCAGAGAGAAGACTGAGGAAAAACCAAATTTGGGTATTTAAGAAACTAAAGTTCAAAATTACCTGCTAAAGAGAATGAATGTCGAAGGAAAATATAAAATACTTCTTCATGAACAGTAAAGAAAATTCTAACAACCAAAACTTTTGTAATTAGGGTAACAGAAATGGCAGTTTAATCCTCCTGAAGGAATTTTAATTTCTCACTAACAGTACTTCAAAGCTAGGCGTAGAAAATTATTTTTATAGCTTTTCACAAGCATTAAAGCTAAAAATCCAAAATCAGGTCTTTCTCTGATAGGAATTTCTAAAAACAGAAGAAGCCTACAGGACTTTAACCTGGAAGCTACTCCGGGAATCGGGAATGTTTCCTCAGGGCACAGCTACAACTGAAACTTGTCAGGAATTTCAAAAAAAAACAAAACAGACAACTTTGGGATACGGCTGGAGGTCTACAGATGGGTCATTTTATATCCTGAGGTCTGAACAAGATGATTATAGCCCCTTAAAATGATGTACACAAAAGGAGAATAAATTGGAAGAGAGCACAGATGAGTGGTTTATAGGGAGGACCTGCTTTTTTTCCTCTAGTTTTCAGGTCTCCTCGTTGCTGAGGGATCCAGCCCCAGCTCTAGACCAAGAAATGGGAAGATTTTAGAGTGACTAGTGATCTATCATCTACAATTATTAAACATTCTCAGCAGTTTATGCAAAAAATAACAAAACCACTGCAGATAACTAAGACTAGGTAATACATATAATGTTTCCCAAATACCTACCCACAAGCTGAACAATTTTTTTTTTTTTTTGAGACAGAGTCTCGCTCCGTCACCCAGGCTGGAGTGCAATGGCAAGATCTCAGCTCACTGAAGCCTCCACCTTCCGGGTTCAAGCGATTCTCCTGCCTCAGCCTCCCAAGTAGCTGGGATTACAGGCGTGTGCCACCATACCCGGCTAATTTTTGTATTTTTAGTAGAGACGGGGTTTCGCCATGTTGGCCAGCCTGGTCTCAAACTCCTGACCTCAGGTGATACCCCCACCTCAGTCTCCCAAAGTGCTGGGATTACAGGTGTGAGCCACCAGGCCCGGCCAAGCTGAACAGTTCTAAGCTGTTAGGATCATTGCCTCTATTATCACCATGACATCAGGTCACCACCAAACCGTCAAGTGCTAAACAGACAGAATGTTTCCACTCCTGATCCACTGTGTGGAGAAGCACAGAGCTTACCCATGGGGAGCTGCATCAGAAGAGACGCACACGCACCGGGGCGTGCATTTGAATGAAGCAATCACACTTCCATCCCCACAGCTCCTCTGTCCACAGGCACTGTAGTCTGTGCCCTCATGTCTTCTGGGAGACATAGTGGGAAGGTAACCCCCACACCAGTGACACTATGGGGAAAGAGACACTGTGGGACTTTGCCCTGATTTCTCAGGGGCCTTTTCTCTTTTCCGTTTGGGTTACATGTAGACTTCCCTACTGTCCACCTGACCACTCTCGTGCTGCCCAAAACCATAGCTTAAGTCACCACCTAGGCCTTTCTTGGTGTAACTATTGAAAGGTGAGCCTTATCTGTTCAATCTCTATAGAGATTCATCCAAAATCTGGA
Source organism: Homo sapiens (assembly GCF_000001405.40). Classification (NCBI taxonomy): domain Eukaryota; kingdom Metazoa; phylum Chordata; class Mammalia; order Primates; family Hominidae; genus Homo; species Homo sapiens. The sequence continues at coordinate 37,257,012 of NC_000019.10, read as the reverse complement.
CCTACAAGAATAAAAAAACAAGATTTTCCTGAATATGTCTGGCCTCTCCCTTCTGTGGGATACCCTTAAGAACTATCAGCCCCTCTTTGCTCAAAAACTCCTTGTGACCCTCTTTTGGGAACACAGGGAAAATCCCCCCGGCTCCACACAGTATAGCGCAGGACAGACCCACAGAGAACAAGACCCAAGAGAACCCACCATAATACAAAGTCAGGGAGGGGTGTCCACCATCAAATGTTCAAGCTTGCAGTGGGCCGGGGAGGTAGTGGGTCCTGAGCTCCAGATCCTAGTGGAGGTGGGAGGTGGGCATTAGGCTTTGGACACATGTAGGCCCAAATTACATCTGTGCAAACTCACACACAATGAAAATTACACCAGGTCGGGTGAGATGGTTCAGAAATGACAGAAAGCAGAGGAAGAGGCTGAAAATATGGGCTTCTCTGTAAACTGTGAGGACAATAAATGCCAGCAACAACCCAGGAAGTGTTTATACCTGCATTTCTTCAATTAACAGGGCAAAGTTAGAGCAGCAAGGACCAGATGGGGGCCAGGCACTTCCCCTGGGGCAACCGATGTAAACCTGGAAATCAGTCACCCTCGGCGTCACCATTTTCCTTATGATGAATCAAATATACAGAGAAGTTCACTGATGGGTTCAGCATCAGAAAGCTGATAAATAAAGGCTGGCTCTGAATCTAAATAGCAGCTGTTGGATTCCCAGGCATATACCAAATGCTTATTGACTAAAAATCACCCTCACTAGATAAGCGCAAAGAAACTCACTTTCCACATCTCTCAAGTTATCCATTCTGGTAGGTATTTGCTCTGTAAATTACATATGACAGAAGAAAAAGAAAATGAAAACTCAGGAAAGTAAACACACTTCTAAACTCATGAATGGTAAAATACAGGAATACAATATCCTTGAGAATCCATGAGACTATCCAAAGAAAATGCAATATACATGAGGGTAAAAAGGCCATTTGGCAAAGCCTGCAGAGTCCAAAATCTGGTTTACAAGGAAACTTACCTTCCAATGCATGCAAAACAGAGGAATTGGAAAAGAAGCTCCTAATGATCTTGAGAGGTGGGAACCTAATTATTAGCAGAGCAGCTGCAAAACAGGAAACATTGTGAGTTAAGTATTCAATTAAAAGAAAACATGATTCTACCTGGAAAAAAAAAAAAAGGAAAAGAAGCTCCTATCCTTATTGAGGTGAGAAAAATATCAGCACAAACAGAAGGAAATCATGCCAAAAAAAGTTACAGGCCAATTTCTAAACTACTGTTAGGTTTAAGGCAAACGAGAAAGTCCTGCCCTGACCAATGAACCAGAGCAGAAACTGTGCATTTCAAATACTGGGGGAAATGGACTGGGCATGGTGGCTCCCGCCTATAATCCCAGCACTACGGGAGGCCAAGGCGGGCGGATCACTGAGACCAGGAGTCCAAGACTAGCCCTGCCAACACAATGAAACCAGTCTCTACTAAAAATAGAAAAAATGAGCCAGGAGTGGTGGTGCACAACTGTAATCCCAGCTACTTGGAAGACTGAGGCACGAGAATCGCTCAAACCCATGAGGCGGAGGCTGCAGTGAGCCAAGATTGCACCACTGCACTCCAGCCTGGGCAACAGAGTGAGACTGTGTCTCAAAAAAAAAAAAAAAAAAAATACATATATACATGTATATATTGGGGGAAATGGTTGGCAGTGAGCTTGTTCTGTCCAGGATCCTTCTGATATATGGAAGAGTCTTTGATCCCTTCTCAAAATAATGCTGTAAACTACAGGAAATAAAATTCATAGAATTTCAAAGGAGACTAATTACTTAGAAATGCAGCTATTGGCCAGGAGTGGTGGCTCACCCCTGTAATCCCAGCACTTTGGGAGGCTGAGGTGGGCAGATCATGAGGTCAAGAGATCGAGACCATCCTGGCCAACATAGTGAAACCCTGTCTCTACTAAAAATACAAAAGTAGCTGGGCATGGTGACGTGTGCCTATAGTCCCAGCTACTCAGGAGGCTGAGGCAGGAGAATCGTTTGAACCCGGGAGGCGGAGGTTGCAATGAGCCGAGATCGTGCTACTGCACTCCTCCAGCCTGGATGACAGAGAGAGACTCCGTTTAAAAAAAAAAAAAAAAAAAGAAATGCAGCTATCAGGATACTTCAAATTTTTCTGATATATTAATAGGCATGTTGCTGTGGCAATTTTTAAAAAATGGCCACTCCTCCCTTTGAGAGGCAGAATCGATGTCCTGTCTCCCCGATCCTGGGTGGATTTGTTGTGTTACCTCATAAAAGACCACTCAGCATCTGCCCTGGGAACCTGTGCCACCTAAGAATTCTGACTACCCTGAGACTGCCAGGCTGTAAGGAAGTCAAGGCCACATGGAAACACTACATGTAGGCACTCAGTCCCAGCTGAGCCCCATCTTCCAACATCCCAAGCCAGGTATCAGATATAAGGGAACAAGCCTCCAAATGGTTCCAGCCCCCAGCTGTTGAGTCTTCCGTGCTGAAGCCAGACATCATGGACAGAGACAGCAGGCCACTCTTGTGCCCTGTCTGAAATCTTGACCATGAGCATGAGAATCCACAAACATAATGATTGTGTTGAGCCACTAAATTTTGGTGTAATTTCTTACACAGTAATAGTGCCTACAACAGCCACCTTAACATATTAAGTAACAATATCAAGTAGCAAGTCATCACTGGGAACTGTTATTTGGAATTGTCATTGGGAAGCAGTGACAACCATGAAGGCTATTTGGAGATGCTGTCAGATGACATAAAAACTGCTGTGGTCTCACTGTTAACAATGCCCCATACCCACGGGGTCTACGGCCTACATTCTGGATGGAAGGAAACACTACATTTTGGTTAGAGGAATGTGAAAATTTACATGGGACGGTCTCACAGGCCCCTAAACTTGGCTCATGGAAACTGCGGGTAATAAACTCAGAGTTAGAAGCAGTCGAAAGCATCAAGGCTGCTCATGAAAGAGCTGAGGGTTACGAACACAATTGTAGACAAGAAAAGAGAAAAGACAAAATGGTGGCTCAGCAGGGAGGTCACAGGGATAGCTGGTATTAGTTTCCAGACATCCAAGAAAAGGACACCCATCTGAGTAATGGATTGAGGGTCACTATTAAGATATGGGGAAATATCAAACGGAAACATTAGTGGCTAATGCTGGGCATTTCCAGAGCTCTCATATAACCACAAAAAACTTAATTTTAGGTACAATGTCAGAAGCAGAGGGGTGCTGAGAATTAAGGACAGGCCTATGAAGAATGTGGGGGCTGTTTTATAAAGCACCGAATCTTCACACCTCATGAAGTTAGCAACCTGGAGCCTATAGGAGGTGTCTCATTCACACTATGAAATAAATCCTGTGAAAGTAAGAGATCCACCAACATATATATATATATATATATATATATATATATATTTTTAGACTGAGTCTTGCTCTATGCCCAGGCTGGAGTGCAGTGGCACAATCTCGGCTCAATGAAACCTCCACCTCCCAGGTTCAAGTGATTCTCGTGCCTCAGCCTCCTGGGTAGCTGGGATTACAGGTGCCCGCCACCACGCCCGGCTAATTTTTGTATTTTTAGTAGAGATGGGGTTTCACCATCTTGGCCAGGCTGGTCTCAGACACCTGACCTCAAGTGATCCACCCGCCTCGGCCTCCCAAAGTGCTAGGATTACAGGCATGAGCCACAGCGCCCAGCCCACTGACTAAGATTTTAAAGGAGTTAAGAAGACAGAATCATTACCACTATAAAAAAAATCAAAACCCACTTTGGGAGGCCGAGGCGGGCAAATCATGAGGTCAAGAGATCGAGATCATCCTGGCCAACATGGTGAAACCCCATCTCTACTAAAAATACAAAAATTAGCTGGGCGTGGTGACACGCGCCTGTAATCCCAGCTACTCAGGAGGCTGAAGTAAGAGAATCACTTGAATCTGGGAGGTAGAAATTGCAGTGAGTGGAGATTGTGCCACTGCACTCCAGCCTGGTAACAGAGCAAAGGGAAAGACCTGACCATCCCCCAGCCGGACACCCATAAAGGGTCTGTGCTGAGGAGGATTAGTGAAAGAGGAGGGCATCTTTGCAGTTGAGGTAAGAGGAAGGCATCTGTCTCCTGCTCATCCCTGGGCAATGGAATGTCTCCGTGTAAAACCCGATTGTATGTTCTATTTACTGAGATAGGTGAAAACTGCCTTAAGGCTGGAGGTGAGACACGCTGGCAGCAATACTGCTCTTTAATGCACCGAGATGTTTGCGTACGCGCACACCAAAGCACAGCACCTTTTCTTAACCTTGTTTATGACAGACCTTTGTTCACATGTTTTCCTGCTGACCCTCTCCCCACTATTACCCTACTGTCCTGCCACATCCCCCTCTCTGAGATGGTAAAAATAATGATCAATAAATACTGAGGGAACTCAGAGACCAGTGCTGGCGCAGGTCCTCCATATGCTGAGCGCTGGTCCCCTGGGCCCACTTTTCTTTCTGTATACTTTGTCTCTGTGTCTTTTTCTTTTCTCAGTCTTTCATCCCACCTGAGGAGAAACGCCCACAGGTGTGGAGGCGCAGGCCCCCCCCTTCAACATCCCACTAAATAATACAACTGGCAAAAAGTGGGATTTTTAAAGGTTGGGGAGCCATATTAAACATAATCTAAATCAGGAGTTTATTTTATTTTATAAACCGAAACCCAGCAGTCACTCCCTCCCCTCAGGGCATTCTGCAACAAAACACCTGCCGAAAAATAAAAGGGTGTTTTACTTGAGTGGGCTGAAAAGTCCCCGTTTTTATACCTTTAATCTCCAGATCCTATGTGTCAGAGGTCGGGAAACTACATCAGCCCCAGTCCGGGCGCCCATGAGACCTGTGGACGGACGGGGAAGGGCCTGGACGCAGCCCGGGCCCCAGTTTCTGCCGTGGCGATGGCCGATTGAAGGCCAGGACTCCCCGCCGCTGACCCTCCAGTCAGGAGGGTTAGGCAGGCGCTCCCATGTTAGGCAGGCGCTCAGCCGAACATCCCAAGGTTGCGGAACCACTATACCCGCCGTGCGCCTGGATGGCATCTGCAGACCCAGCGTCCGCCGGGCTCCCGGAAACGTGGGGGCGGGCTTCCGGAAACGGTGACCAATGGGAAACGCGACCAGCTGACAGTCCTATCCAGGCAGCACAGAAAGAAGGGAAGGTGGCAGTCAGACTTAAGTAGACAGATCTTTTAGCCAATGGATGTGCAAGAGAGGGGAGGTTTGCTCCATGTTGGCCAGTAAGAAGTGCTTGGGCCGACCCGCCTCCAAGTCCTGGGAGGACAGTTCAAATTATGGAGGAGGGGCTGGTGCTAGGCAGCAGTGGCGAGGGGAGTAGTGGGGATTAGGGGGAGCACGAGATCATTCACCTTTGCCGCTCAGATTACCAAGCCTGTGACTTTGAGAATGGGTGTCTTCCTTGCAAGGTTTCAATCTGAGGCTCTTGGGAAGAGGGAGGAATTGGAGCCTGATGGAAGCGCTGGTGAGAGGAGCGGGTGTAGGGAGAGTGGAGAATGTGTCAGTCAGGCGGTGTCTTTATTCCTGGCACCTCACTTAGCCTGCCCTAGTTTCTCAGTCTATTCCAGGAGCATGCTCTTGACCCTGCAGGGGCCTGAAAGGGAATGTTGCTCGCCAGTCTCTGCTTCCTTGGACTGGATTGGAATTGGTCCCACGAACTTAGGCATTATGATATATTGTTGCGTTTAGATTCACTTGGTTTTTACATTGTGCTTTCTTTTCCCCTTTCCCTTCAAGGATTTAGAATGTTTTATTTGCTCTGTTTAATTATATATGATTGCCTTGAAGATTTCACCTTGAATTAAAATTACATGTTTTTGCCTGTCTTTATTAATATTTAAAAATACTAAAATAACACATGTTCATAATGAAAATGAAATATTACAAATAAATATAAAGGAAAGGCAGTATTCCCCCTCCAGTTCCACTCTTGAAATAACGAGTTAACAAGATGATGAGCATCTTCCCATTATGTTCTCCACGATTCATGTAAGTATTTACACACATACAGAAGCATATACAGTAGTCCCCCTTTATTCATGGTTCTACTTCCCACAGTTTCGGTTACCCACAGTAAATTGTGGTCTGAAAATATTAAATGCAAGATTCCCGAAAGAAACAATTCATAAGCTTTAAATTGTGGGCTGTTCTGAGGAGCGTGATGAAATATCTCACTGTCCTGCTTTATTCTGCCTGGGATATGAACACCCCTTTGTTCAGCAGATGCACGCTGTATGCGCTACCCTTAGTCGGTGAGTAGCCAACTTGGTTATCAGACTGACTGCCGCAGTATCACAGCGCTTGTGTTTAAGTGACGCTAATTGTACCTAATGATGGCCCTAAAATGCAAGAGTAGTGATGCTGTCAATTTAGATATGCAGAAGAGGAGCCCTAAAGTGTTTCCTTTAAGTGAAAATGTGAAAATTCTTGACTGAATAAGGAAAATAAGTCGTGTGCTGAGGTTGCTAAGATCTATGGTAAGAACAAATCTTCTAGCTGTGAAAGTGTAAGGAGGAAAAGAAATTTCTGCTAGTCTTGTTTGTTGAACCCCAAGCTCTAAAAAATACAGCCACGTGTGATAAGTGCTTAGTTAAGATTAAAAAAAAAAAACATTAAATTTGTGCTTGGAAAACATAAACAGAAATGTGTTCTGATCGACAGCAATTGGGTCATACTATCCACGGTTTCATACATCCTCTGCGGGTCTTAGAACACATCTCCTGCAGATAAGGGAGGGCTACTATATAAAGTTTCTTTTATTATTATTATTATTATAAAGCATTTTCCTTTTTTAATATAACAATTTGAATCAGACACCACTTCAGGTACAAAGATATTAGGATACCTTTAGAGTAGAAAGGGAGCTAACTCATTCTTTCTAAGAGTTAAAGTATCTTCCATTATATGAGCATTTAAGATGTTAAAGTACTTTTGCACCAAAAATAATACTTTTTTTTTTTTTTGAGATGGAGTTTCACTCTTGTACCCCAGGCTGGAGTGCAATGGTGTGATCTTGGCTTACTGCAAACCCTGCCTCCCGGGTTCAAGCGATTCTCCTGCCTTAGCCTCCTGAGTAGCTGGGATTACAAGCATGCGCCACCACACCCGGCTAATTTTTGTATTTTTAGTAGAGACGGGGTTTCACCATGTTGGCCAGACTGGTCTCAAACTCCTGACTTCAGGTGATCCTCCCGCCTCAGCCTCCCAAAGTGCTGGGATTACAGATGTGAGCCACCACGCCTGGCCTGTAAATATTATTTTACTTATATGAGTTTTTACTTCTGCTGGGACAAATTGCACGAGTAAACAAATATATGTGCATATAATGTAATATATGTGTATATAATTATATATGTGAATCTACAACTTAATATATACACATACATAAAATAACATATACAATTTAACATATACACAAATATAAGCTGGGTGCCGTGGCTCACTCCTGTAATCCTAGCAGTTTGGGAGGCCAAGGTAGGGGATTGCTTGAACCCAGGAGTTTGAGACCAGCCTAGGCAACATGGTGAAACCACATCTGTACAAAAAATACAAAAATTAGGTGGGTGCGGTGGCATGTACCTGTAATCCCAGGTACTTGGGACGCCAAAGTGGGAGAATTGTTTGAGCCCAACAGGCGGAGGTTGCAGTTAGCCAAGATCATGCCACTGTACTCCAGCCTGGGTGACACAGCGAGACTCTGTCTCAAACAAAAAGTCAAAAAACAACTGATGCTGGTGAGGCTGCGGAGAAAAGAGAATGCTTATACACTGTTGGTGAGAGCATAAAATAGTCCAGCCAGTGTGAAAAGCAGCCTGGAGATTTCTCAGAGAACTTAAAACAGAGCTACCATTTGACCCAGCAATCCCATTACTGTGTATCTACCCAAAAGAAAAGAAATCATTCTACCAAAAAGACAAATGCACTTGTATGTTGATCGCAGCACTATTCACAATAGCAATGATGGGGAATCAACCCAGGTGCCCATCAATGGTAGACTGGATAAAGAAAACGTGGTACATCAAGCTCATCCAACCCACGCTCCATAGGCTGCATGTGGCCCAGGATGGCTTTGAATGCAGCCCCGCAATCCACCCTCATCCAAAATGCACAGCAATGATTGGATATGTTGGCTATGTTTAAAGACCCTTCAAGTAGGAAGTAAAGGGCATAAATGAATGAACAGTGATACTGCAGCAGATAGGATAATAGTCCAAGTTTATTTATAAAATATATCCCATCCTGTCAAATACTGCTAGAAAAAAGGGTTCATCTAGAAGATGTTGAGGTTAGAGCATATATTTTCATTGACAGAACTTTAGTTATTTGAACTTTTGCAATCCCATGTAAATTATCTTATCTTGTATTCCAAAAATCCCATGCTATCCACATCTATTTGGTTCCTGAGTTCAGACACTAAGAAATACAATCTTATCTAAATCAATTTGATTTTCAAGTTTCAGAAAGTAGAAAGTTTGATTTATCAGAATTGTTTTTTCCTAAATTCAGAATGTGACAAATATTTATTTTCAATGGGTTACTAGATTTGATTTGCTAATTTATAATGCTGTATTTTCATAACTGATTCTGGACAAATTGTTTTGGGTTCTAGTAGGTTGTAACATCAGGATTATGACAAATTTTAAAAATAGATAATTTGCTATCTCAGTCTATGTCCTAGAAGAGTTTCCTAAGACATTTCATAGATTTCACCTATAAAAATCTCTACCTTGGTGTCTTTTTTAGTGTAGCAATTTGACATTTAAAATATATTTTAAGAAAAATTTTATTTCACTTATTTATTTTTGAGAGAGTTTCACTCTTGTTGCCCAGGCTGGAGTGCAATGGCATGATCCCCGCTCACCGCAATCTCTGCCTCCCGGGTTCAAGCCTTTCTCCTGCCTCAGCCTCCTGAGTAGCCGGGATTACAGGCATGAGCCACCACGCCCGGCTAATTTTTTGTATTTTTAGTAGAGACAGGGTTTCTCCATGTTGGTCAGGCTGGTCTCAAATCCCCGACCTCAGGTGATCCACCCGCCTTGGCCTCACAGAATGCTGAGATTACAGGCGTGAGCCACCATGCCTGGCCAGTCTTATTTTTTTAAATAAGTTTATTCTGGAGGGAGGTCTATTAAGATTTTACACCTCCAGTTAATTCTGATGTCGTCAACTTATTAAAAATCACAGACTTTTTCCAGATTTTCAGATATATTATAAAAATGTCTATAATACCAACTTTTAAGTTTGTTGTTTTAATTTTTTTTTTTTTCTGTAGAGATGAGGGGAGGGGGATCTCATTATGTTACCTAGACTGGTCTTGAACTCCTGGCCTCAAGCCATTCTCCTACCTCAGCCTCCCAAAGTGCTGGAATTACAGGCATGAGCCACTGCAACCAGCCTTAAGTTTTTAAATTGAGATCAAATTCACACAGCATAATATTCACCCTTTTAAAGTGTATAGTTGAGTGACCTGTAGTATATAAACAAAATTGTACAACCTTTACCCATGCCACATTTTCATTACCCCAAATGACACAGTTCTTTTAAGTTTACATATATAGCCATTTCAATTTCTCATATACAATATTGTTTATTTGTCATCCTTATTTCACCTCTGGAATCACTAAACTTTGTCTCATTTTTTTTCTCTTCCATCAAATATCAATTTTGGATTCAGATCCAGTTTTTTTCTTTCAATTATTTCTGCCTTTTAAAATAATACTACCTCCTTCCTCCCACAATTCATTTCAGCTTGTTTTAGTTCCTTGGGTTCTATATTTTTTCTTCCTAGTATTACAATATATGCACAAATATTAGGTTATAAAACTTCCAATACAACTTTTACTGCCACTCACAGGTTTTTCAATTGTTTTCATTTTCATGTACATTTAAATAATGTATATATTAGGGATTTATTCCTTAACCCATGTTAATTAAGAGGGAATATTGAATTAATAATCAGATATTTGATGGTTATCCTATTGTACTGCTTCTTCTGGTCAAATAATGTTGCCAGTATGTTTTCTGCATTTTGGGGGGAAATATTAGAAAAAATTTTATAATCTCTTCCTGCTTTTTTGACAGCTGTGCTTTCTACTACTCATCATATTTTCAGGGTTTCAGATTGGTAACCGTTTATTTTTTATTTTGTAAGACAGAGTCTCGCTCTGTCACCCAGTCTGGAGTGTGCAGTGGTGCAATCTCAGCTCACTATAACCTCCAACTCCCAGGTTCAAGCAATCCTCCCACCTCAGCCTCTTGAGTAGCTAGGATTACAGGCATGCAACACCATGCCTGGCTATTTGTTTTTGTTTTTGTTTTTTTTGTATTTTTAGTAGAGACGGGGTTTCACCATGTTGGCCAGGCTGGTCTCGAGCTCCTGACCTCAAGTGATCCACCCACCTTGGCCTCCCAAAGTGCTAGGATTACAGGTGTGAGCCACCGCGCCCAGCCTCAGACTGGTATTCTTTATGTAGCATAAAAGATAAAGTCTGAACAAAGACTATGCACACATACTTTTTCTCTTCCTTTTAAAATTCCACACTGAATAATAATGATAGGGAAAGGCTTCGTTATACTCATTACAAGTGTTTCTCTTTTTCCACCATGAATTACAAATTTGCCAAAGGTAAACAACATGGTTAAAATCCTTTCCATAAATCCTAATGAAGATACTTATGATAATGAGTATATCACTGATAATAGTGGAAAACTTTTACTAAACCTGTATTATGTGATAACAGTTTGAGGTACTTTGCATTTATTAATTCATTGACTCTTCACAGCAATCCAATACATACAGCCTTATTATAGATGCCTAGACATAATTTTTTAAAATACCACTAACAGCCAGGGGCGGTGGCTCACACCTATAATCCCAGCACTTTGGGAAGCCAAGGCAGGAGGATCACGAGGTCAGGAGTTTGAGAGCAGCCTGGCCAATATGGTGAAACCCCATCTCTACTAATAATACAAAAATTAGCTAGGCATGGTGGCGCGCGCCTGTAGTCCCAGCTACTCGGGAGGCTGAGGCGGAAGACTCACTTGAACTCGGGAGGCAGAGGTTGCAGTGAGCCGAGATTGCACCACTGCCCTCCAGCCTGGGCAACAGAGCGAGACTGTGTCTCAAAAAACAAAAACACCACTAATAGCTATAAGAAAAAATAATTGACCGGGCACAGTGGCTCACACCTGTAATCCCCGAACTTTGGGAGGCCGAGGTGGGTGGATCACAAGGTCAAGAGTTCAAGACCAGCCTGGCCAACATAGTGAAACCCTGTCTCTACTAAAAATACAAAAATTAGCCAGGCATGGTGTCGTGCGCCTGTAGTCTCAGATACTAGGAAGGCTGAGGCAGGAGAATCGCTTGAACCCGGGAGGCAGCAGTTGTGGTGAACTGAGATTGTGCCACTGCACTTCAGCCTGGGCAACAGAGTGAACTCCATCTCAAAAAAAAAAAAAAACAAACAAACAAAAAATTAATATCTGGATTGATAAATAACACTTTCATAACAGTGTTACTTTCTAGTATGGCATTGGGATTAGGATTGATGTAAGGGAACAAAACAGCTCACAAGGAGAAAATGTAGATAATTTTAGCAATTAAAATAAATGTTTTAAAAGTAAAAATAAGCATCCAATGAGGTCAGCAGTTTTTGTGTTTTTTTGAGACGGAATCTCACTCTGTCCCCCAGGCTGGAGTGCAGTGGCACCATCTCAGCTCACTGCAACCTCCGCCTCCCAGGTTCAAGCAATTCTCCTGTCTCAGCCTCCCGAGTAGCTGGGATTACAGGTACATGCCACCACGCCCAGCTAAGTAGAGACGGGGTTTCACTGTTAGCCAGGATGGCCTTAATCTTCAGACCTTGTGATCCGCCCACCTCGGCCTCCCAAAGTGCTGGGATTACAGGCATGAGCCACTGTGCCCAGCCGAGGTCAGCTTTTATAGCTGCAAAAATTTAGTGGCAACCATAATGGGAATAGTCATTTTAAAGTCATTAAATATGTCATGAAAATAATAAAAATCTATATTTACTGAAATGGCACTCATGAAATCTTTGGCATGATAAAAGCAGTTAAGGGTACAGCATGCATATCATAATTACACTTTCTTAAAAAAGCAAAGTATAGCACGATTTTCTCTACCAAATTGAGAGCAGCCATCTATAAGTATGATTACAATTAATTTTGGCTTTTTAGTTTGTAATTTTTTGCTTTGTGATTTTGGCTTAACAATTAAAAATGTACATTTGTAAAATAAAAAGACCGGCCGCAGTGGCTCACGCCTGTAATCCCAGCACTTTCGGAGGCCGAGGCGGGTGGATCACCTGAAGTCGGGAGATTGAGACCATCCTGGCTAACATGGTGAAACCCCGTCTCTACTAAAAATACAAAAAATTAGCCGGGTGTTGTGGCACATGCCTGTAATCCCAACTACTCAAAAGGCTGAGGCAGAAGAACCACTTGAACCTGGGAGGCGAAGGTTGTGACGAGCCGAGATTGCACCATTGCACTCCAGCCTAGGCAACAAGAGCGAAACTCCGTCTCAACAAAAAATAAAGCCAGGTGCAATCGCTCATGCCTGTAATCCCAGCACTTTGGGAGGCTGAGGCAGGTGGATCACCTGAGGTCAGGAGTTCAAGACTATCCTGACCAACATGGAGAAACCCTGTCTCTACTAAAAATAGAAAATTAGCAGGGTGTGGTGGCACACGCCTGTGATCCCAGCTACTCAGGAGTCTGAGGCAGGAGAATTGCTTGAAGCCGGGAGGTGGAGGTTGCAGCGAGCCGAGATTGCGCCACTGCACTCCAGCCTGGGCAACAGAGTGAAACTCCGTCTCAAAAAACATATAATAATAATAATAAAATAAAACAAAAAGACTAACACTAACTTCAAAAACAAAGTTAAACCTCCACAAGGAATTTAAAAATATTAAAGGTCACACAATTCAAACAGTGTGATACTGGTGCAAACACAAATACACAGATCAGAAAAGATAGCTCTAAAAACACAAGCAAATATAAACATGAGTATAATGTGTCACCAAGAAAGTAGAACAAAACAATGAATGAAAGAATTATAGAACAGCTGGCATCGGTATATGACTGGGGGAGAGAGGGAATGTCACTTTAGACTCCGAATTTATAACCTGGAATGAAATACATTTGGATACAAAATTTAAATACAAAGTTTTAAAAAAAACTACGGAAGAGGGTAACTATTAGACATGATTTTTGGTTTAAAATATGAGGAAGGTGACAGGGGCTTTAATTTTTATTATTTATTAGTATGAATTCCCTGATGACGAATGAGATCCGAGCCACTACTAAAAGCCTTCCCACATTCCTTACAGTTATAGGGCTTTTCACCAGTGTGAATTCTCAGATGTCGAGTAAGGTTTGAGCATTTATTAAAGGCCTTTCCACATTCATTACATTCATATGGTTTTTCATCTGTATGAATTCTCTGATGCTGGAAAAGTTGTGAGTTCTGAGTAAAGGCCTTCCCACATTCAAGACATTCAAAGGGTTTCTCACCAGCGTGAATTCTCTGATGTTGACGAAGCTGTGAGCTCTGAGTAAAAGCCTTTCCACATTCCTTACAATCATAGGGTTTCTCACCAGTGTGAATTCTCTGATGATTAGTAAGTGCTGAGCCACTACTAAAGGCTTTGCCACATTCCTTGCACTCATAGGGTTTCTCACCAGTATGAATTCTCTGATGTTGAACAAGCTTTGAGCTCTGGGTAAAGGCTTTGCCACATTCCTTACATTCATAGGGTTTCTCACCTGTATGAATTCGTGCATGCTGAAAAAGTTGTGAGCTCTTAGTAAAGGCTTTCCCACATACTTTACATTCATAAGGTTTTTCACCAGTGTGAATTCGCTGATGGTCAATAAGATTTGAGCAATAACTAAAGGCCTTCCCACATTCCTTACATTCATAGGGTTTCTTACCGGTATGGATTCTCTGATGTTGAGAAAGGTATGAGCTACAACTGAAGGCCTTTCCACATTCCTTACATTCAAAGGGTTTTTCGCCAGTATGAATTTTCAGATGCCGAGTAACATGTGAACCACAACTAAAGAATTTCCCACACTCTTTACATTCATAAGATTTTTCACCAATATGAATTCTCTGATGTTGAATAAATTGTGAGTTCTGACTAAAGGCCTTTCCACATTTCTTACATTCATAGGGTCTGTCTTCATTATTAATTATTTGATGGAGAGTAAGGAATGTCTGTTGAATAAATGTGGGCATGTATTCAGGAGTGAATATTTCTTGACTAAAATGCCCATTTGGATATCCCAGTTGTTTTGCAAGGTGGCTTCTATATTCCAAAACATCTCCAAAACTGGAGTACTCAAGGCCATGCTTTGTAAGTCCCATTATCTCCCTCTGGCATAATTCTATTTCATAAACTTCCTTCTTTAGAGATAATAACTTGGTTTCACACATCGATTCCAGATCTGAAAGAAAATAAAATGGTAAATGTTCTTTTTTCCTATTTGTGAAAAATTAAACTTTTATAATAGAAATGGAAAAATTAAAGTAAGAATAGTATCTACTAGGTAAATGACACAGGGTTCACAAGGATATCTGTGTTATCTGAAAAAATGGACAAGAAAGACAAAGAAATTAGTAAGATAATGCAGGAAGCAGAGGAAGGTAACTACGCAAATAAGTTACTACAATGATACTCAAATATGGATGTGGATCAGAATCAACTGGAAAGGCTGGTAAATATACAATGGTTGGGCTATTTTCCATATTAAAACATGACTGGCCATATATATGTACATAAGTATACTTTTATAGTATATATAGATACTATACTATATATAGTATAGTATCTATACTATATATAGTATCTATATAGTATATATAGTATCTATACTATATATAGTATCTTTATAGTATATATAGATAAGTATATATATTTATATAGTATATATAGACATACTATATAGTATATATATACTTATATAGATATATATGATATACATATATCTATATAAGTATGCGTGTGTACATAAGAGATAAGTATATCATACAATATGTGTAACATGAAGTGGATCATTTTCTAGCCTCCATTAAAGGTCTCCTGAGAGAAATAAATGCATATGGGGAAGATTCTTTGGCTCTGAGGTATAATAAAGCCCCACACTGAGCTTCAAAAACACTTGGAATTTCCTGACAGGAGGTCTTTGTTATGCTAATAAGGTAATTCATGGTAGGACCTTAGAAAGCTTCAGGGTGGGGTCTGATTACCAGAAACACTAGCTTGTGATTACAAGGGTGGGACTTGCAGCTGCTTGACCTCTGAGAAGTGTAGAGAGGCTAGAGATTGAGTGGCACAGATTTAATCAATTGTGCCTGTGTAATAAAACCTCAATAAAAATGCTGGGCAGTAAATTCAGTGGAGCTTTCTGGTTGGTAAATGCACTGATGTGATAGGAGAGTGACAAACTGACTCCACAGGGAGAGGGCATGGAAACTGTCCAGTTCCAGATCTTGCTCAAATATGTATCCTAATAAAACTGTAGCTTTAAATACAGAGCTTTCCTGATTTCTATGAGTCATTCTAACAAATTATTGAACCTGAGACCTTGGAAACCCCTTAATTTATTGCTGTTAGCTGGCTGACCTGCAGGTAGCCGGGGGACTCCCAAGACTTGCAGCTGGCATCTGAGGTGAGGACAGTACTATGGAAGACTGTGAGGTCTCCACATCCTGAATAGTGTCAGAAGTGAACTGCAGCAAACCCAGTTGGGGTGGAAACAGAATAAGGTCTTTAATAAAGGATACAGTGGATACAATTTGAATGTGGTGGCTGGGCATGGTGGCTCACACCTGTAATCCCAGCACTTTGGGAGGACGAGGCGGGCAGATCACCTGAGGTCAGGAGCTCCAGACCAGCCTGGCCAGCATGGTGAAACCCTGTCTCTACTAAAAATACAAAAATTAGCCAGGCATGGTGGCACGTGCCTGTAATCCCAGCTACTCCGGAGGCTGAGGCAGAAGAACTGCTTGAACCCAGGAGGCAGAGGCTGCCGTGAGCTG